>NC_000012.12:123476274-123777897 GCF_000001405.40 Homo sapiens | reverse complement strand
TGAGCCCAGGAGTTTGAGACCAGCCTTGGCAACATACTGAGACACCGTCTTTAAAAAAAAAATACAAAAATCATCCAGGCATTGTGGCGTGCACCTGGCTAATTTTTAGTAATCCTCCCAGCTACTCAGGAGGCTGAGGTGGGAGGATCGTTTAAGCCTGGGAGGTTAAGGCTGCAGTGAGCCATGCTCGCGCCACTGCACTCCAGCCTAGGTGGCAGAATGAGACGCTGTCTCAAAAATAAGTAAATAAAAATAAATAAATAAATAAGAAGGTAGCCAATGTTCTTGAGTCCTCCAAAGTCACACTAGAAAAAGACATCATCCCGATGAAGGAGGTTGTCTTCAGGTAGAAAGTCCCTTGTGTGCAGGCAGCTCAGTGGGGAGGGCCCCACAGCCTAACTCACAGGATGACTTGTACTCCGTGAGACCTCGTCTGCTCCCATCCCCAGAACTGCTCACATGGAAGTCACCCAGGGCCAAGCCCTCCAGCTCTTCTTTGCCTGTGCCTTCTTGACTTCCAGCAGCAAGTGGCACGGCGGGCCCCTCCCTTCTTCAGTGAAGCATTGTCTTCTCTTGGCTTCTGGATCACCCACGTCCTAACTTTCCTCTCCCCTCATCTCTTCCATCTCTACTCCCTCCCTTGGTTGTTCCACCCAGTCCCTTGGTTTTACACCATCTCTGTGCTGATGATGCCCATGTTTTAAAGCATCACTCTGGTTGGCATGTGGAGAAGGCAGCGTAGAGGGTAAGAACAGAAACTGAGGGATCTTTTTGGAGGCTCCTGCGATAGTCCAAGCAAAAGAGGATATTGTGTTGGTTTGGACTTTTTTGTCCAAATCTTCTCAGTGAAGTCTTCCTGGCCACCCTATCTAAAATTGCAAAAGCCCCACCTTTCCACCTATCAACTTTCCCTCTCCCCCTTGTTTCCTTTTTCTTTCCTATCTGGCTTCATTTTTCTCCCTAACTCTTGTTGCTGTCTAACACACTATATATTTTCTCATTGATCTTGGTTAATGTACATCTTCCTGTCTAGAATGAAAGCTCCACGAGGCAGAGACCTTGTCTCAGTTGTTCATTGCTATGAAATACAGTAGGTGCTCAATGAATATTTGCTAGACGGATGCCCTGAGTTCCCCGCAGAGCTCCAGATTCATACATCCTGCTTCACGTCTTGATTTGAATGTCTAAGAGGCCACCTGTGCTTAACATTATACATCATGTTTTGATGTTATCTTAATTTATTTTTCTTTTTTTTTTTTTTAGAGATGGAATATCTCTCTGTCACCCAGGCTGTAGTGCAGTGGCATGACCACCATACTCTGCAACCTTCCCGTCTAGAATGCAAAATACAACACTTGAGTTTCCCTCCATATCTGTTTCTCCCCATCCTCCATCTCAGTAATGACTTCACCATCCTCCCAGTTTCTCAGGCCCAAATCCTAAGAGTCATTCTTTTTTAAATTTTTTTTTAGAGATGGGGCCTTGCTATATCGCCCAGGCTGTTCTCAAACTCCTAGCCTCAAGCGATCCTCCCGCCTCACCCTCCTAAAGTGCTGGGACCAAGAGTCATTCTTGGTACTCTCTATTCTTGTGATACTCTTCAAAGCCTCCAGATCCCGGTCATTAGCAAGTCCCATGGCCTGATCCTCAAGGCATTCCTCACACTGTCTGCTTCTCCCTCCCTCCCCTGATTGGAGCCTAAATAACCATCACCCTTGATGTGGTTTGGCCGTGTCCCCACCCAAATCTCATCTTTAATTGTAGTTCCCATAATCCCCACGTGTCATGGGAGAGACCTGGTGGGAGGTAATTGAATGATGGGGGAGGTTACCCCCATGCCACTGTTCTCATGATAGTGAGTGAGTTCTCATGAGATCTGATGGTTTTATAAGCGGCTTTTCCCTCTTTGCTCAGCACTTCTCCTTCCTGCCGTCATATGAAGAAGGATGTGTTTGCTTCCCCTTCCACCATGATTTTAAGTTTCCTGAGGCCTCCACAGCCATGCAGAACTGTGACTCAATTTAGCCTCTTTCCTTTATAAATTATGGGCAGTTCCCTACAGCAGCATGAAAATGGACTAATACAGCCCTCCACCTGGGCTCTTCCATGGCTTTCTATTTGGTCTTTCCTTCCCCTCCACCCCAGCAATATGTTTTCCCACAATAGCCAGAGGTAAAATGCAAACCAGATCCTGTTGTTCCCCTGCTTAAACCTGCCTTCATTTCCAGCCCTCCCTCCAGCCACAGTGGCCATCCTCCTGCTACTGGGCCAAGCTGAGGCTGCTTCTACCTCAGGGCCTTTGCACCTGCTGTTCTCTCTGCCCAGCATGCTCTTCCTCCACATCCTATCATGTCTGATGCCTTGGCCTCATTTGGGTCTCAGTTCAATATCACCTCTTCCTTCCTTCCCTAGTGCATTTCCCTAATAACTTATCATTCATGAAAAAGGCCTGCTGATGAGTTTTTCATTTTTTTGGTCTATAAAGCTCAGGCCAAGCATGGTGGCTCATGCCTGTAATCACAGCACTTTGGGAGGCCAAGGCGGGCAGATTGTTTGAGCCCAGGAGTTGGAGACCAGCCTAGGCAACATGGTGAGACCCTGTCTCTACAATAAGTACAAAAATGAGCCAGGCATGGTGGTGTATGCCTGTAATCCCAGCCACTCAGGAGGCTGAGGCAGAAGGATCACTTGAGAGTTGAGGCTGCAGTGAGCCGTGATTGGGCCACTGCACTCCAGACTGGATGGCGGAGAGACCCTGTCTCGAAAAACAATAAAAATAAAAAAGAAAGCTTAGACATCACATCCTCAGCAAGGCCATTCCTCACCATGCCCTCTGCACACACACAGTGCACATGCCTATTTCTGTCTCATATCAGGGTTTATTTTCCTCATGCCACTTGTCGGTATTTTCTCATAGATGTGCTTGTGTGCCATGTCTTTCCCCTACATAAGCTCCTGGAGAGCAGGGCCATTGCCTGTCCTGTCCACTGCTTGACCCTCAGTGTTGGGAGCAAGACCCCAAAATCTGGCCACAAACTGGCCCCAAAACTGGCCATAAATAAAATCTCTGCAGCATGGTAACATGTCCATAATGGCCCCAACGCCCAAGCTGGAAGGTTGTGGGTTTACGGGAATGAGGGCAAGGAACACCTGGCCCGCCCAGGGTGGAAAACCGCTGAAAGCCATTCTTAAGCCACAGGCAATAGCATGAGCGATTTATGCCTTAAGGACATGCTCCTGCTGCAGTTAACTAGCCCACCTATTTCTTTAATTCGGCCCATCCCTTCGTTTCCCATAAGGGATACTTTTAGTTAATTTAATATCTATAGAAACAATGCTAATGACTGGTTTGCTGTTAATAAATATGTGGGTAAATCTCTGTTTGCGGCTCTCAGCTCTGAAGGCTGTGAGACACCTGATTTCCCACTTCACACCTTTATATTTCTGTGTGTGTGTCTTTAATTTCTCTAGCGCCGCTGGGTTAGGGTCTCCCCAACCGAGCTGGTCTCAGCACCTCAGTGCCCATAACAGCACCTGAGACAGAAGAGCTGCCCGCTACCTATTTGTGGAATAAACAAACCACATGACCTCAACTTTAGAAATACTAGAATTTCTTCCTTTCTCCATGTTTACCTGACATATAATATTCTTCAGAAAATGGAGCACATTAGCGTTTATAATTCCATACTCCAGTGTTTCTGGCATAATTTCCATAGCTTCCTTCATGTCGGTAGCTTCAGAGATTGCCTCTAAAGAAGAACAGGTGTAGAATGTAAGGTCAGTGGGAGAGAGCAGCCAACAGTTAACATTTCCAAGAGAACAGGAATCTTCTCCTTCTTCCCAAGCTGCTACAAGGAATGTTCTGGTTACAGATTCAGAATATCCCCTATTTGTGTTTAAACAAATCTGAGGGCCCATGAGAAGCTGAAATGGATACCAATGCACTGTGGTTCGTGGATTAGTATGAACAGTGCACAAGAGCTGCACACATTTGCTGATCTGGTTGGAGTATCTAACGCTGGACAAAATCAGAAATTATTTGGGTTGTCTAGAAATGTTGGCTGGATTCTTTGCTGCTATGGACTGAATGACCCCAAAATCCACATGTTGAAGCTTAAATCCCCAAGGTGAAGGTATTAGAAGGTGGGGCCTTTGGTAGGTGATTAGGTCATGAGGGTGGAGTCTCACGATTGGATTGGTGTCCCTATAGGAAGAGACAGGAGAGCTTGCTCTCTCTCTCTCTGCTCTCCACCATGGGAGGATAGGAGAAGGTGCCATCTGTGAACCAGGAAGTGGCCCTCACCAGATGCCAGATCTGCCAGCACCTTGATTTGGACTTCCCAGCCTCCAGAGCTGTGAGAAATAGATGTTTGTTGGTGAAGCCCCCCAGCCTATGGCAATTTGTTACAACCATCCAAGCTGGCTTGGGCATGGGCTTTGCCTGTCTTCACTCCCCAGCAAGTCTTCCTCAATTCATTGCCAAAGCATATTTTGAGTCATGGGTTGTTTGAAAAGACCTACTTGGTAATATCTACCCTTCCAACAAACAAGGTTTTATTTGATATGTATTTGCTCTACCTGACCAAAAATCAATCACCATGGTAAACATTTTAAAGGTTACTTGGACTCTTCCCTTGATCTAACTGGGAAACAAAAGAGACACAAGAAATATGCCCACTGAAGCCATTATTTCACAAGTTTCAGTCTTCACACCTTCTCCAAATATGTGCAGACATGCACTATCACTGGCTGAATACATTTCTTTATCTCTAACACTTCTTTACTGGAAATTAGCTTTGAGAAGACTACGTAAGAACCCAGTACAGTATGGAAAAGAAAGAGAGCTTGGCATAGGTGAAAGATAACCATAAAAAGACAACAGAATGAGAGTGAACAAGTGCATGCACAACCACACCCCCTCAACACACATACACACACACGTGCCAGAAATGTACCTTTGGTATTTCTGAGGAAAAACACCACGTTTTGGTCCAGGAACTCCTCGGGAAGAGGGGTACAGAGCATGTGGAGATGCATCTTTTCCATGATGTGCTTCGCAGTTCTCTGAAACATGGGGAACAAAAACCATTCATTCTTGTGATACATCCATTCACCTAAAGAACCTAATATTCAAGTACACCTAAGCTCTCCTCTCAACACAATGGCTGGTCTCATGTTCTGACAATGTAGCCACAGCCACACAGTGGGTACCAGCCAAACACAGGAGCTAAATGCACCCAGACTCTGAGCTGTCAGCCTGACTCCTCTATTGACCAACCAGTACAGCAACACCTAAACAAACTGACCTGGCAAAGGTCCAGATGGAGCTTGAATTTTGTTTTGCAGATGGGACGTACTTATGAAGCAATGAAGCACGATTTTGGTAAGCATAGGCCAGGCTGAATGCTTACATCCTAGCCTTAAACTCCAACCTTGGGGTTTTCACAGAACAGGGTTCATTTAGCAGGTCTGTGTTGTCCAAACCCCACACATGCCAAACGTCTTCAGAACCGGCCTTCGGCTCTTAGGGTGACAACTTCCAAGCTTTTGGAATACCCTTCCTAATATGGGAGTCTTTGTGTACCTGTAGCCTTGGGCCATGCCTGAAGGTGTATGCTAACAATGCGAGTTTGGTGAATGCCTGTTTTTGTTTGCTGGGGCCCCAGTCATACAGGATCAGTTCAACCTCTAGGGTGGTGGTGAGGGCTGGAGATGAAGGGGAGCTGAGTAACTAAGGTCAGCCACGTGGATGCTCCATGCCTGTGTGACTGATCCCCATTAAAAACCCCAGACAGCAAGGCTCAGGTGAGCCTCTCTGGTTGGCAATACTTCATGCATGTTGTCACTCATAGCTACCAGGAGAATTAAGTGCTATCCATGAAACTCCATTGGGAGGGAACAGATGGAAGCTTGTGCCTATTTTCTGCTGGTCTCTGTCCTGTGCACGTTTTTTCCTTTTTTTGCTGAGTCTAATTTGCATCCTTTCCCTGTAATAAACTATAACTATGAATATAACAGATTTTCTGGGTCCTGTGAGTCCTTCCAGCCAATCACTGAATCTGAGGGTGGCCTTGGGATCCTATAATTTCCATTCCAACATGATAAATCCCTTGGATGGGGCTATGTCAGTTACCCTGAATCCTAGAGGGCATCAAGGGTCCCCATTACCCCACCAACAAGGACAAAGAGCCATGCTTACTTTGGAAGGGAGTTTTTCTGAAATCTCTTTGTCCATTTCTTCATCCTCTCTGTTTAGAGGTTGGCCTAGAGATTCGGTTCTCAGTGACACACGCTTAGCTGCAAAACAGCAATCAGTTTAAGAGAAAATAATCAGAAAATTAGGTTTCCTACCATCAAGAGCAGCCCTGCATTTTGTGCACCAGTACATTTCATTCAAAAGGCGAGTTATCAAATAGCTGTGCATACCTTCTGTTCCAATCAATCAAATTGTGGCCTTGACTCACATTGTAATTGACAAGAATTGTGTTTCGTTTTTGACAGGGTGTCCATCAGAAATTTTACATGTTTGTGTCTGCGTTCTCTCAGGTACAGTGTCCACCCTGTGACCGTGTGACTTCTCTGAGGTTTTTTACTTAAAAGGGAGTTTATCATAAAGACAAGAATTACAGTCCAGGCGCAGTGGCTCATGCCTATAATCCCAGCACTTTGGGAAGTTGATGTGGGTGGATCACTTGATGTCAGGAGTTTGAGACCAGCCTGGCCAGCATGGCAACACCCTGTCTCTACTAAAAATACAAAAATTAGCCGGACATGGTGATGCATGCCTGTAATCGCAGCTACTCGGGAGGCTGAGGCAGGAGAATCGCTTGAGGCCAGGAGGTAGAGGTTGCAATGAGCCAAGATTGTGCCACTGCAGCCTGGGTGGCAGAGCGAGACTCCATCTCAAAAAAAAAAAAAAAAAAGAATTACAGCTAGCATGTTAGCATTTACTCCTTTTTCACTATGAGATGCAAAACTTGTGAGGGACAAGAAGAAAAACAGTCTAAATGAAATGACGCACCTGTCTCAAGTCCACTCTGATTGATACAGATTCAGAAACCTCAGCAGACACCAAGTCTGAGCCCTCAGAACATCCAACAAGGCCGGTGATTAGAGAAAGGAGCTTTCCCTGGGAGCTTTCCCTCAGCTCTTACTTTGAAAGGCACTGTGCAAAGTCACTGTGGCTTTGGCATCAACTCAATGTCAGGGGTCTGAATCCTCTCTGCTATTAGTTTTTGCATCCATAAAATGGGACAGTAACATCTACCAGCCAAATTCTGGAGGACTAAATGACAGCACGGGTAAGGGCATTGGCACCGTGGTTGGCAAGGGAATAGTCTATAGACAGCAGTACCAACATTATTAGAGAACTAGCAATAGACTACAGTAAAAAAAAAAAAAAAAAAAAAATCACACTTACGAGCAGGTGCCGTGCCATAAATAGCCTGTAGTCCATTGCTAATTCCCTAACAGCATTAGAGTAGTCTCTAATCTCTACAAAAAATCAAAATGTTATCCAGGAGTGATGGTGCCGCCTATAGTCCCAGCTACAGGGTGGAAGATCATTTGAGGCCAGGAGTTTGAGACCAGCCTGGGCAATGTAGTGAAACCTCATCTCTACAAAAAAAATTTTAAAAAAAAATTTTTTTTTGAGACAAATCTCACTGTGTCACCCAGGCTGGAGTGCAGTGTCACGATCTTGGCTCACTGCAACCTCCGCCTCCCGAGTTCAAGCAATTCTCCTGCCTCAGCCTCCCGAGTAGCTGGGATTACAGGTACATGCCACCATGCCTGGCTACCTGGCTAATTTTTGTGTTTTTAGTAGAGATGGGTTTCATCATGTTGGCTGGGCTAGTCTCGAACTCCTGACCTCAAGTGATCCTCCTGCCTTGGCCTCCCTAAGTCCTGGGATTATAGGCGTGAGCCACCACAACAGCCCAAAAAATTAAATTTAAGTTAAAAAAAAAAAAAAAAACCTTAGCCAGGCATGGTGGCACACATCTGTAGTCCCAGCTACTTGGAAGGCTGAGGCAGGAGGATCGCTTGAGCCCAAGAGTTCAAGGCTACAGGGCACTATGATCACACCACAGCACTCCAGCCTGGGCCACAGAGCAAGGCCCCATCTTTAAAAAGGAAAATACACTTATGAATGTACTTAATGCCACATAGAAATGGTAAAAATGGTAAAAGTGACATCCATTTTACCACCATAAAAAGAAAAGAAGAAAATATATAATAATGTTAATTTACTTTATGAGAAAGGACTTCCCCGACCTTCCCACCTAAACAGCTCTTCCTTCCCAAACCTGTCCTCTTCATGGATGTACTGGGCTCCGAAGCCGAGAGTGCCTTCCTAGGATACCTCAGCAGACATTGCTGTGGCATCCAGAACTACCATCTGCCTTATCAAAACCCACTTTAGGCCGGGCGTGGTGGCTCACGCCTGTAATCCCAACACTTTGGGAGGCCGAGGTGGGTGGATCACCTGAGGTCAGGAGTTTGAGACCAGCCTGGCCAACATGGTGAAACCCCGTCTCTACTAAAAATACAAAAATTAGCAAGATTCTGTCTCAAAAAAAAAAAAATTAGCTGGATGAGGTGGCGTGTGCCTGCAGTCCCAGCTACTCAGGAGGCTGAGGCAGGAGAATCGCTTGAACCCAGGAGGAGGAGGTTGCAGCAAGCCGAGATCGCACCATTGCACTCCAGCCTGGGTGACAGAGCAACACTTCGTCTCCAAAAAAACCAAAAACCCACTTTAAACAAGGCTTACTCAAACCATCTTTTATTTCTAACTTGTAGTTCCCTCTCCACAGTCTTTGCTACTTGAGGGGATTACAATTTGGTTAAAAATAAATGCTTGGCCAGAAGCAGTGGCTCATGCCTGTAATCCCAACACTTTGGAAGGCTGAGGTGGGAGAACTGCCTGAGCCCAGGACTTCAAGACCAGCCTGGGCAACATAGTGAGACCCCATCTCTACAAAAAATCAAAATGTCATCCAGGCATGTTGGTGCACCTCTACAGTCCCAGCTCCTCAGGAGCCTGAGTCAGGAGGATTGCTTGAGCCTAGAAGTTAGAGGCTAAAGTGAGCTATGACAGCACCACTCCAGCCTGGGCAACAGAGTGAGGTCCTGTCTCAAAAACAAATAAATACATGAAAAGTTCTGTGCCTTGAAGATTCTCCTAAGAAAATGGCATCTGTAGCTTGCACAGTGGGAAGCCCACCTACAAAACAAAGTACAAAGCATGTGTTTGCTGAGCTGGCTGAGACATCGCCTGCATGAGTGTTTGTATGTTACATACTACACTCGGTTGAAGAGTGTCCCCCACAATGCATGTCCTAAAGCTGTGACCTCATTTGGAAACAGGGTCTTTGCAGATGTAATTAGTAAAGATGAGGTGATATGGATTAGAGTGGGCCCAAAATCCAATGTGACTGGTGCCTGTATAAGAGGGAGAGAGGACGGCCGGGTATGGTGGCTCACGCCTGTAATCCCAGCACTTTGGGAGGCCGAGGAGGGCGGATCACCTGAGGACGGGAGTTCAAGACCAGCCTGGCCAACATGGTGAAACCCCGTCTCTACTGAAAATACAAAAATTAGCTGGGCGTGGTGGTGGGCGCCTGAGATCGCAGCTACTTGGGAGGCTGAGGCAGGAGAATCACTTGAACCTGGGAGGCGGAGGTTGCAGTGAGCTGAGATCACGCCATTACACTCCAGCTTGGGTGACAAGAGCGAGACCCTGTCTCAAAAAAAAAGGAGGAGGAGGAGGAGGAGGAGGAGAGAGGACACACGGAGAAGAAAGATACAGAGGGGACAAGGCCATGTGACGATGGATGTAGAGACTGGAGTGATGATGCTGCAGGCCAAGGACACCCTGACCCCCAGACTGCAGTGAGGAGGCTAGGAAGGATCCTCCCCTTGGTCCTGCAGAGGGAGCGCAGCCCTGCCAGCACCTTGATTTTGGAGTTCCGGCCTCCAGAGTTGTGAGAGAATACATCTGTGTTGTTTTCAGCCACCCAGTCTGTGGTCACTTGTGACAGCAGCCGTGGGAAACTACTACATCCGTCTATTCATGACCCAGCACTTTCTCTTTGTGGTTCATACCCAGTGAAAGTACAACTGATTGTGGCACGGCAGGCAGCACCCTACTCCCGCTGCGGGGGGGCTTTCTCAGTTCCACCCTCCCATGACCCCTCCCAACTCCACACCTCGCACTTTATCCACGGACTCCACTTTTTGAGAATAAGTCTCTTCTTCCTCTTCTCCCTCTTCAGACAGGACAGGTATCTCATCTTTATGGCCACATAAATGGGAAGAAAATATTAAACGTAATTGTTCACTGCATGAAACACCTGATATCTTTGCTTTCTGTGGAGCCAAGGGGTTGGTATGTGGCCCACAGGAGACTCGTTATGTTACAGTGGTACAGCAGTATTCCTTACTGGATGGAGCCAGCTTTCAGTGACAGCCAAGGAGGTTTGTGCAAATTCTGCCAAGAGACGAAGGATACAGAAATGATCAGAGTTACCACCAGCCCAGAAGAAATACAAATAACCAAGAAGCATAAGAAAGAGGCTCCTGGGTGCACAACACTATGAACGTATTTAACACCCTAAACTGTACATTTCAAAATGGTTAAGATGTAAATTGCAGGCCGTGTGTATGTTACCACAATTTAAAAACTGAAGGAGGCCAGGCGCAGTGGCTCATGCCTGTAATCCCAGCACTTTGGAAGGCCGAGGTGGGTGGATCACTTGAGATCGGGAGCTCGAGACCAGCCTGGTCAACATGGTGAAACCTCGTCTCTATTAAAAATACAAAAAAATTAGCTGGGTGTGGTGGTGCGCGCCTGTAATCCCAGCTACTTGGGAGGCTGATGCAGGAGAATCACTTGAGCCCAAGAGGCGGAGGTTGCAGTGAGCCGAGATCACACCACTGCACTCCAGCCTGGGAGACAAAGTGAGGCTCTGTCTCAAAAAAAAAAAAAAAGAAAAAAGAAAAGAAAAGAAAAAACTGAAGGGAAAAAAAGAGGCTCAACTACACTAACATTTACATAAATTAGAGTAAGGGAGTACAACTACTTTTTTCTATGGAATTGCCAAAAATCTAAAAAATGGCCAATATCAAATGTCAGGAGGCCATTGGGAAACAGGTGCCTCATCCACCACCACTGGCTGTGGACCAACAGGACCCACTCAAATTGTAAAAGACCACACTTGTTACAGATGCATTTCATTTTTATAAATCTATCCTCCAGAAATACACAAAGTATGCAAGGATAGACAGACATTATTCCATTGTTTGTAGAATGAATACTCTGAAAAGCTAAGTGTCCATTAATTAGAGAATGGATGAGTAGAATGTGGTACATCTATGTATTTAAATCTATCAAGTTAGGTAGAACTATAGGAATTGGCATGAAAAAATAACCAAAACATGTGGTGGGGGGAGAAGTCACAAAATAATATGTATATATAGTATGATATTTATAGTTTTAGGAACTCTATATATCCATATATTATCATTATAGAGAGAAATATAGACTGTAGATGGAACAAGGATAGACAGATATAGATGACAAGCAGGTAGGTAGGTAGGTAGGTAGGTAGGCTGATTAATTGATCTCAACAGCCCTGACCTTATGCCTAGACAGACAGAGATAGACAGACAGACAGATAGATAAACAGACATGTAGGTAGGTACATAGATAGATAGATGTATAGATAGAGAGAGATAGATGTATAGGTAGGTAGGTAGACAGGAGATAGATGTATAGATAGATAGACAGACAGATGTATAGATAGATAGATGTATAGATAGATGTATAGACAGATAAACAGATGTGTAGATAGATGTATAGACAGAGATAGATGTATAGGTAGGTAGATAAATTGGTAGATAATTGATAGATGGATAGATAGATGATAGGTAAGTGATAGGTAGACAGACACACAGATTGGTCAGTTGGCACGTAGATAATAGAGGGATAGATGTATAGGTAATTAGGTAGGTAGACAGGAGACAGACAGATAGATGTATAGGTAGGTAGGTAGATAGATATATAGATAGAGATAGATGTATAGGTAGGTAGGTAGATAGATGTATAGACAGAGATAGATAGATGTATAGGTAGGTAGGTAGATTGGTAGATAATTGATAGATGGATAGATGATAGGTGAATGATAGGTAGATAGACACACAGATTGGTCAGTTGGTAGATAGATAATAGAGAGAGATAGATGTATAGGTAGGTAGGTAGACAGGAGATAGATAAATAGATGTATAGATAGAGGTATGTATAGATAGATAGATAGATAGATAGATAGATAGATAAAGTATAGATAGATGCATAGGAAGGTAGGGAGACAGATCAGTCGGTTGGTAGGTGATTGGCTGATTGATTGACTGATAATTTGACAAAAGAGCCAACCAGAAACACACCAAACTAATAATAGTGGTTACCCCTAGGAATAAGAGCAGGACTGGGGCTTAAGGGATGGAGAAGCGTTGCTTTTTCTTTTTATATGTAATTCTATGTTCTGTGAATTCATAAGAGAACATGTGTTATGGCAGTATTTGTGTAATTTCTTTAAATGTAAGGAAGTTACTAAATGATATGTACAGTACGATTCCGTTTTGTTTTTTCCAGAAGGAACACATGTACCTACTGCATCAGTATCTTGGGTATCTGCTGCCCGGAAGGACACCTCGCCTTTATTACCACCACCTGCCCCAGTATCTGCTTGTCTCCATTCCTATCATTTTTAACCAGGAGCAGAGAGAAATCTTGACCGGGGAAGGGGGGCAGAAAGAGGAAAAAAAAGGAAACAAAGGACACGCTGGGCTCTCTGCAGGTCCTCTGAACAGACCAGAACCACCTGTCCCCCAAAAATAATCTAGGGAAACTGTTCAAGGGTTATATGAGCCTGTAGGTTTAACAAGCAGAGAGTGAGTGACAACGTGTGGAGTTGGGGATGAGGTCTCTTCTCCCCACCTGGCCAGAACCCCCAACACCCGACGCCATCTGGCACCTCCAGAATCGGCAGCTTTGAGAGTTTCCAGAGACAGCATCTTCGGCGAGGAATCCATCAGCTTTTCACCATGAGGTGATAGTGGAGAAGGGACGGGAATGGAAGGGAAGACCAGGGACAGAGACAGCCCAGAAACGGGTCAGGGGGCGGGGTGGGGGAGTTCTGAGCTCCCTTTGGAGGGTCCAGGAATTAACCAGGGGGACCCTCTGAGGTGAGACTGAACTCTGCTTCCACACTGGATGACATTTGGGCTAAACACGTGCTAGTAAACACAGCAGACAACAGCCACCCCACCGTTAACAGAGGCCCTTGGAGGGCTTCTGCAAGAAATCCAAGTCACATCCATTGTTTTAGGGTCTTGTAATTTTTTTTTAATGTAAACGAAACCCGAGTTCCTGCAGTGGTGGTACATGTTAAACGGTCAATCCTGCGAGTGTGTTTTTGGTTTCCATAATTTCACTTGGTGCCAATGAAAGTGCCTACATCCGAGGTCCAGTTATAATCTAATGTTCAGGTCCAAAGGTCTGCCAGGGAGAAAAAAATAATAGGCTGGAAGGTTAAATTCCAAAACGTGATCACGTGGTCCTCTCTCCAGATGGCACTAGGGATTTGTTATTGTTGTTTATTTATGGTTTTGGATTTATGATGAAGGCGTTTTATTTTGTGCAAGCAAATAATGAATATTTAAAATAAATGAAGGTGGCCAAGCGCGATGGTTCACACCTGTAATCCCAGCACTTCGGGAGGCCGAGGTGGGCAGATCACTTTAGGTCAGGAGTTCAAGAGCAGCCCGGCCAACATGGTGAAACCCTGTCTCTACTAGAAATACAAAAATCAGCCAGGCATGGTGATGGGTGCCTGTAATCCCAGCTACTTGGGAGGCTGAGTCAGGAGAATTGCTTGAACCAGGGAGGTGGAGGTTGCAGTGAGCCGAGATTGCACCACTGCACTCCAGCCTTGGCGACAGAGCTAGACTCTGTCTCAAAAAAAAAAAAAAGAAGTGGCCAGGTGCCAGATGGCTAACACCTGGAATCCCAGCACTTTGGGAGGCCGAGGCGGGAGGATCACTTGACCTCAGTAGTTTGAGACCACCCTGGGCAACATGGTGAAACCTGTCTCTACCAAAAATATAAAAATTAGCCAGGCATGGTGACGCATACCTGTAGTCCCAGCTACTCAGGAAGCTGAGGTGGGAGAATCACTTGAGCCCTGGAGGCAGAGGTTGCAGTGAGTCAAGATCGCACCACTGCACTCCAGCCTGGGTGACAAAGTGAGACCCTATCTCAAAAAAAAAAAAAAAAAAGTTAAAAAATAGAATACAATAAATGAATCTGCCTGGTACCTTTAAAAAAAAAATCAAAGGTCTGCCGGCCCTGCCACCCGAACCCAGTGAGAGGCCCTGCAAGGGATCCCCAAGTCCTTAAGGGGCTGGAAAAGTAGCCCAGGAGACTGGACAGCCAGGCAGGAGGTCCCGGTAGCTGTGCTCCAGCTGGTGCTCCTGCGAGGAGGCGGCTTTCGAGGTCCCAGTCTCCTTCTAGCTGTTTCTGAAGCGAGTTGTCCTGCCTCCTCCTCTCACCTGTGCTGGCCCCTCCCTGCCCTCTCAGTGTCCCTGGCCTATCAGAGAGTAGGTGGGGCTGGGGATCCGCCTCCACAGAGGGTTCTGGGACCCTGGTCACTGTCTTTTTGTATTTGCGATGCTAATTTGTTCAACATAAACATTTAAAGTCTACTGTAGTTTTTAAACTTTGTCCTAGCCTTATTTTACTTTTTAGGATATAAGGAGCCTCCAGAAGTAGAAAGGGGTGCTCTTCGGACCCTCCGTGAGAGGCTGCGACCGTCAAGGAGAGTGACAGTGACCTGGGTCCCTGCCACACCTGGGCATGGCTCTACCCAGCCGTTCGGATTATTGCACAGTGGATCTTGACGCCCCGTGGGCCTTGGGCAGGTTACTTAACCCCCTCCGTGCCAGTTTGCTCATCTGTAAAATAGGGATGAGGATACACCCGCCTCGTAGGGTTAAGGAGTTGATACAAGCGTTGGAACCGCACCTGGCACGGGGTGCGGGCTAAGTCAGTGTTTGCTGTGATTTTTCAATCAAGGCCTGACTTTCAAGTGGGCTGTGGGCCCAGGAGGGCAGGGACGGCTGTGATTGCTGGGTTCGCCCGGGGCCTGCACGTGGCGGGCGGCAGCGTTTGTGGACAGCACCTGAGGCCGGGGCCGGACGATGGGCAGGCTCTAGCAGCCCCGGCGCCCGCCGGAGAGGCCGGGACGGGCAGGAGGGAAGCCCGGGGAAGGGAGCGGCGCGTCGAGGCTCACCAATCTCCACCTCCACCTCCTCCGGCACCATAGTGCGGTAGATGAAGAGCGCCGAGGGCCCCTCCTCCTCGCTCGCCTGGTTGAGGAAGTGCAAGATGAGGTCCTCGCCCTGGCCGTCGTCGCGGTTGAGCAGGTCCTCGAAAAGCTGGGGGTCGGTGATGCCGAAAGCCGCATACACGCGGTCGCGCATCCACAGCACCCGCAGGTCGTCCATGGCGCCGCGCAGTGCAGAGGGAGCCGGGCGCAGGGCGGGCGTCCGTGGCAACGGCGGCCCTAGCAATGGGCGCCCCGGAAACGGCCGCAGCTCGCCCCGCCGACGGCGCCGGCGCTGGGGGCTGCAAGCTCGGCAGTGCCCCGCGCCCGGCCCCTCGATCCCGAACCCGCGAGCCGCAGCCCACGCCCCGGCCCCGGGATCTCGGAGGCGCGCACCAGGCCCCCGGGCCGCCGAGGTAGGCTGGTTGCTCCCTGGCCCCGGCAGCGCGCACGCCCCTGGATGCGGAGCGGGACCCTCGCCGCCAGGAGCCGCCCTCGGGCCGCTGCAGCCGAGGGTGCGACCCCACCCCACGCCGACCGGTTTGCAAGCAGCCCGCCCACCTTGCAGATGAAGCTGGGGCTAGAGAGTTGGCGAGACGAAGGTCACAGCACCTCGGCGGTGGCAGAGGCGGGATTAGAGGCCAGACGAGGAGGAAATAAGCCGAGAAAGCACGAGTTCCTCATGGCCTACAAAATCAGGGAAGGAGCAGAGTTCTTTAGCTTTCTTGCCAAACTAGAGCATAATAAAGCAAAACACCCACGTTTAAAAATATAGATATATTTATTTGTCATTAGCAAAAGGAAGTTAAATACTGATAGAAGATGCAAATTTGTCCTTTCATGCATTTGTGGAGCAAAGTACTAACTTGTTCACTGTCATTTCCCCTCACAAGGAGTTGAGCCCCTAGATGACTCAGGCTAACCCTAAGAACCTACCTAGCCTTCTTAGATATTCCCATCAAAGAACAGGTGGAGTGTACTAAGTATTTCTGAAAATTCTAAACCAAATCAGCAAAAATGGCCTGACTGTGGGAAGACTGTTCGTTCAAACTGCCTTATTCCCATCATCTTGATTTGACAGCTTCATAATAACCTTCCTGGATATATTCCCTGTGGCACGCAAGCAAACCCGGCTTTACGTTTTTAATAGAGGAATTTATTGTTTTAAATGCGGACTGTAGAATAGGTGTAGAAGTTGTTTTTCTTTTCCAAAATGTATCAGGCTCTAAAACGTCTGAATATGTAATTCATGGACATCGTAAGGCTGACCTATGCTACAGGTATTCTGTGCCTTATTAAACAACTGCAGAGGGCCAGGCGCGGTGGCTCACGCCTGTAATCCCAGCACTTTGGGAGGCCAAGGTGGGTAGATCACCTGAGGTCAGGAGTTTGAGACCAGCCTGGCCAACATGGTGAAACCCTGTCTCTACTAAAAATACAAAAATTAGCCGGGCACTGTGGCAGGCGCCTGTAATCCCAGCTACTCGGGAGGCTAGGGCAGGAGAATTGCTTAAACCCAGGAGGCAGAGGTTGCAGTGAGCCGAGACTGCACCACTGCACTTCAGCCTAGGTGACAGAGTGAGACACTGTCTCAAAAAAAATAAAAAAATTTTTAAATAAACAACTGCTGAGGGGATGCTGACACCAGAATGTTGTTATAAAATATCCATTCCAGAAACAGAGCAGCATTCAGCGAAAGAGGAGTTCCAAGTCCTTTCGCTGCTGGAAAGTCCGCAGGGCTCACCCAGATCCTATCAGACAGAACACCCTTTGCACTCCTTAACTGACCACGGCAATTACAGTCTCCAGCCCAGCAGGTTGAATCAAAGTCTAGTTTACTGAAGAAATCCCTTGGGTTTTAAGATTCTGTTAACACATGGTAATAAACATCTAAATAAAAACTGAGAAATGTCGTGTCGTGACATTTATCTTTAGGAAAATAAACATATTCAGTATCATCCACACAACTTGCCATCTGTGCTCTGGATCTCTGCTATCAAGGGAATGAAGTATGTTTTAAAAACTGGATACATAATAGGTTCTAGCAAAAGCCTTAACAAACAAAACTGAGCGATAACTCTGGTAACATGACACTGGAGCCCATCGCTTTATAGAGAAACAAATTCCCGTGGCCCCTATAAGACACTATTATCAAACTACATTTCCAGAGAGCGCTTTCCCAGAGTTAGGATTCTGAATTCGCTTTTCATATAATGACATTCTACATAAATACTACATAGATTTCAACAGAGAAATGACTGCATCCTCTGCTCTATGCTGAGAAGAGGTGTTAATTAGAAAGAGTTAAAAAAGTGGCCCCATGAGAATTACTAGTGGGGAGCAGTAAACAATTCCCGTGAATATCGTGTCCCTTATTTACCAATCAGCTAACAGTGCCCTGAAGTCTTGGGCTTCCTAGGGATGAAGTAGTTACCATTGTTTTTATGACAGACCCCTGGAGCAAAGTAACACAAATGTCCCCTTGTGGAAGCATCAGCTCTAGGTGAAAGCAACTCTGAGACCTGACCAGCACTGCTGGGATGTCATAGTCACCCAACACAAGTGCCCGACATGACACCTTTCTAGGGAAGCATAACTTTGAGAGCAGAATCATTTTCAAGCATTTCATCGGCATCATTTGATAATTTAATATGAGGGACAAAAAGCAGTAAGTCCAAACTGGCCTTGGGTAACATCTCATCAAGTAGCACACAGAATCTGTACTGTAATTGAAAGGGTTTAATTGTAAGTCACGGCTGTGTCAACGCTGTTCAGCTCATGCCTTGAAATCAGCTGCACAGCCACGTTAAACTCAGCACCTCCAGACTCTCAGCTTGTAACAGAAGTGCCAAGCTCTCTACCTCGAAACAGGATAGAGGAGGATGCGGGCAAATAGCCTTTTAACGTGTATCACTCACAATGTCAAGAAGGTGAAAAAAAGTCAGGTTTCTTTTTGAAAATAATTGTCTAAAATCAAACTAAAATATGAAAAATTAACATAATTTGCAAGAATATAGGTCAAAATGTTCAATAGGACTGACTCAAGTTCACAAAAAACCAAATGTCAAACAGATGAATTTAAACTAAAGATTATAAAACAATGGCTATTAAGAATTAGTTTTCAACTGATCTAAACAGTGTTTGAAAGTTTAAATTAACTCAATACTTTTATCAGAACTTTAGCTAGAAACAGTCTGAAAGTAAAAAAAGTATCATTAGACTGTTCTCAAGGATAAGTGCAATCTCTTCATGGTAAAATATCTTCATTTATATTTAGACTGTTCTCAAGGATAAGTGCAATCTCTTCATGGTAAAATATCTTCATTTATATTTTGTTACAAAAATATACAAAATACTACTTTTTACCTTTCCTTCACTCAGTATAAACCCTTCTGGTTCAGTGACATCAGCCAAGCTGTCACTAAATTCAAATCATGTCCGCATTATATCTTCTACAGTCACACTGGGTTTTAAGGCTCAGCATACAATTTATCTTCCAAACATACAATTATCATAACTGGTTTTATGTAAGGGTAACAGGATAAGAGTCTTTAAAAAAATATACAAGTGGGATAACCATTTGTTGTATGTCATTTTATCCCATTGTCCCCAATTACTAAAACAAGACAAAATTGTAAAAACAATCCTCTACTTGTAATTCTAGGTAGCACAGGATAAAAAATATTTGCATATTTTGGCCAGGCATGGTGGCTCACGCCTGTAATCCCAGCACTTAGGGAGGCCGAGGCAGGTGGATCACTTGAGGTCAGAAGTTCGAGACCAGCCTGGCCAACATGGTGAAACCCCATCTCTACAAAAATACAAAAAAATTAGCTGGTCACGGTGGCGCATGCCTGTAATCCCAGTTACTCGGGAGGCTGAGACAGGAGAATCACCTGAATCCAGGAGGCGGAAGTTGCAATGAGACACGATCGTGCCATTGCACTCCAGCCTACGTGACACAGCAAGACTTCATCTCAAAAAAAAAAAAAAAGTACATATTTTTAAATCCAGCAGAATAAATGTGAATGTTTTGATTACCCATCATTAAATTTTTTAAAAAACTATCCCTACTTCAGCTGTTGGAAAATATTATCTGGCAACTTCAGGTGACAGATTAACTCTGTTGTTTGTTTTAAATAAAGTTTAAAGGAAATAAGTATCTAATACCATTTTCAACTAGCCATGCAAAATTGGCTTCTCTCCCCAAATCCTGTATTTGAAAAAATAACTTTAACATAACGTTTGGCATTAACTTATATTTGCTCATCATAAAAAACCAAAAGAAATTTTTATATCTCAAATTGGTAAACTTTACAAAATATTTAACATATGAGGAAGAGGTATATCTTACAGAATTATTTGGCTATGTCATAAGGCAGTAATGAAGATGGAATTTTTCCTATCATAAATCTGACATAAGTGAAAGTCTATAACATGGTCATTCTCCATAAATCTGAAAGCTTGTTGGTTACAGCAATATGATCATGCCACACTGTCGTCGTTATTGAACTTTGATGAAAGTAGACTGAATGAGAAAGGAACAAATTTGGTGCCTGCACCAACGTAGAATTTGTTCTGAAATTCTACCCTAAAAAAAAAAAAAGCCATGTATTAATGGAAGATTATGAAATCACATTCCTTAAAACAACATTTATAAGTTAAAAAAAAAAATTCCTGTGCTGAAATTGCTTCATTCCAAAATATGTTCTTGGCACATATATTTTTACTTAGCTAAACACTGCCCCGCACCCCCAACCCCGTGCTGGCTTTCCCAGTGTGAACAGAAACTCTGACACATCCGCTGTCTCTCACTGCCCAACACACAAAAGCACGTGCACAAGTAACGAGACCCTCTCCTGCCACTTGAGTCACTGGAGGCACAGAGCAGTAATCTGACCTACACCATAAAACATTAAGAAATACATAAGAAGGATTTATCTTGCAATAAGACAGAGCAACCTGTCAGACCCAAAGTGAATTAGGAGTATGAAACATACGTTAGTATTCTGCAAACTTAAACTTACTTTTACTTGTCAGTGATAATAGTTCAGAATCAAAATACATTTTTTTTTTTTGACACAGAGTTTCGCTCGTCCCCCAGGCTGGAGTAAAATGGCATGATCTCGGCTCACTGCAACCTCTGCCTGCTGGGTTCAAGCAATTCTCCTGCCTCAGTCTCCCAAGAAGCTGGTATTATAGGCGCACGACACCACACCCAGCTAATTTTTGTATTATTAGTAGAGACAGGGTTTCATCATGTTGTCCAGGCTGGTCTTGAACTCCTGACCTCACGTGATCCACCTGCCTTGGCCTCCCAAAGTGCCAGGATTACCGGCATGAGCCACCGCACCCGGCCCAAAATACAATTTTAACTCAGAGGATATGAACACAGATCCCAAGGGAAGGGAAGAACTGGCCTAAATTCAGCATTAGATTTTGCAGGGGCTGTGTATATTTGGTTGGGCGGGGCAGTGGGGGGGCGGGTATGTTTTTTAAATAACAGCTCCAAGGCTAGGTTTCAAACTCACCAGTGGAGGCGTATGGCGTGAAGAAACGCAGAAAGCCCTTCCATGATCAGAAGGATGAAAATGGTCAAAACTGCAAAGAGCGCGATAACCGGGAGCAGTAGCAAGACGCCATAGGTGGTGTCAACGCGGAGGCCCACGCGCATCAGCATGGCCCACAGGACATCAGACAACTCTGCAAAGGAGTGCAGCCTGCACAGGTCATGCTCGCTTATGTACAGTGGGTCCCTCTGTGAGCTACCTGGACTGAGTTTCCCCCTGACGGCCCTGAACTATTATCCCATAAAATAATAGACACACATGTAACACAGACCCAACTGTTTCTCATGTGAAAGCCAGTCAGCTCCGAGACGGTCTCAAACACTAAGGAAGACCTGGTGCTCCAAAAATATCAGAGGCCATCTCCCAAAGGGAGGTCTTGCCCCAGACTAGGTTTGGGTTGTGACCTCCCAAAGCGCACTGGACCAGGCAGCCAGAAACAGGCTCCCAGGCCTGGTTCTGCCACTGAGGGATCAACTGGATGACCATGAGTAAAGCACCGACACTCAGTGGCTTCAGTCACCACCTCTGCAAAATGGAGATGAACGAGACAGGGCCCCTCCAGCCACAAAATTCCAGACCTTTGGCTATGCTTATAAAAACATAAGCATTTTTTTTTAACTAAAAAAAAAAAAAAAAAAAAGACACCCTCTTGTCCGGTGGTTTCCACAAGCACAGGCAGTGCTTGCTTTGCACAGTAAAGACCTTGCAATCAAAACCATCCGAAGCATCCCTATTAATCCATGGGAAAAATGGTTTGCTCTGTGGCCTTTAAAATTGTTGTTAAAACATTAAAAACTCTCTTATTGTTGGCTATATTGTTGGCCAACAATAAGAGAGTTGTTTTTCGGTTTTTTTTTTTTTTTTTTTGAGACAGAGTCTCGCTCTGTCGCCCAGGCTGGAGTGCAGTGGCATGATCTCGGCTCACTGCAAGCTCTGTCTCCCGGGTTCACACCATTCTCCTGCCTCAGCCTCCTGAGTAGCTGGGACTACAGGCGCCCGCCACCACGCCCGGCTAATTTTTTGTATTTTTAGTAGAGACAGGGTTTCACGTGTTAGCCAGGATGGTCTCGATCTCCTGACCTCATGATCCGCCCGCCTAGGCCTCCCAAAGTGCTGGGATTACAGGCGTGAGCCACAGCACCCAGCTAATAAGAGAGTTATTAATGTTTTAACAAAAAATATAGGGAAATGAAAAAATGGTAAATCTATCTTTGAAACATTAGAAGCACTGAGTATTAAAGTCTTTTGTCTGTTATTTAAAAAAAAAAAAAAGTTTATTAGGGTAGTTTGAACAGTGCTTGGTTCCTGCTGTGTAAATTGGCAAGCTGGGTGACCTGATGCAGAGCAAGCATCTTTCCTAATACTTGCCAAATTGTCCTATTTTTTTTTTTTTTTAGCTTTTTTTTTTTTTTGAGACAGAGTCTCGGTCTGTCACCCAGGCTGGAATGCAGTGATGTGATCTTGGCTCACTGCAACCTCCGCCTCCTAAGTTCAATCAATTCTCCTGCCTCAGCCTCCTGAGTAGCTGGGACTACAGGCGCCCGCCACCACAACCAGCTAATTTTTGTATTTTTAGTAGAGATGGTTTTGCCATGCTGGTCAGACTGGTGTCAAACTCCTGACCTCAGGTGATCCACCTGCCTCGGGCCCCCCAAAGTGCTGGGATTACAGGTGTGAGCCACTGTGCCTGGCCTGTCCTATTCTTTTCTACGTCTGAACCCACTTGCAACATTGCACCCTTTGCACAAACCTTCAACGTCCTGAAACATTGCCGAGCACCACTGGTGGGTTATCAGCATCTTCATCACGACACCTGCCGCACGTAGGCTGGTAAATGCACCTGCACCTAACTGCACGGCTAGGTACTGTGGTGACTGAAATGGGAACCATGCTGCTGGGGAACAGGTGTTAACTACACTGTGGAAACTAACATGTGTGCATTACTGGAATTGTGCAAAGGGAGGACTCCTGTGATCAAGGCTACCCATGAGTGCTGTGGCAGGACTTGCTTGAAATAAACAGATATTCACACTTGGTAAGGCAGCAGTGAATGAAATAACTACTAACAGAAACAGTAATGGCAACAGTAGCAAGTGCTTACACCAGAGGCTCCCAAGCCGTCTCAGTTCTCAAAGCCCCTTGTGTCTCAGTGATTTTTTTTTTAAATTGGGCAGGCTCTGAAGCCAGACCAGCCTCAGAGAGACTCCCTCTGTGATTTTTCCACAGCACTCCTCAGCCAAAAGAAATAGCCAAGAGAGCTGTGTATTAAGTAGTGAATAGTGTAAGTTCACGTGGCAGCTGAAAGATGGTGCTATGACTATTAGTTACAAAGTTAAAATATCCCACAGTGCCCCCTGAGTCTGCTGGCACTACAGGGCATTGGGAACTGCAGGTCTAAGCAGGAACTTACGTGCGTGAGCCAGGCTAAGCGCCCAGAGCCTCAGGTAGGAGGCGGTGTTGGAGATGCATCCCAGACAGTACTCGATGGAATGGATTACTTGGGTCATTAATATTTCTCCAAAATTAAACTGAGAGAGATCACACAACATATGTTAAGAGTCATGATGTTACATGTGTACTTCTACATGCCAAGTGGGTTCCACTTCAAGGATTACAATGAAAGAGCTGCCGGCTGGATGCTGGTAAGAACACGCTAGAGTGTGAGGAACAGAAACCCCAGACGCACTCTGTTCACCACTCTGCCACTACCCAGCTCCATGACCAGACTTTACCACCCCAAATCCCCACCTTCATCAGCCCCACTCCCACCGCACGCCTCAGACTCCCCTGTGTAAACCA
This sequence comes from Homo sapiens, assembly GCF_000001405.40. Classification (NCBI taxonomy): domain Eukaryota; kingdom Metazoa; phylum Chordata; class Mammalia; order Primates; family Hominidae; genus Homo; species Homo sapiens. Next base: position 123,754,148 of record NC_000012.12, on the reverse strand, counting down.
AGAAGGTAGACCAGAGGAACTGCCGTGGCCACAGCTGCTATACTAATGGGATTCTGGGGCAGGTCTCAGTAATTATGAAACATCTACTGATAAAATAGGTATTCACCAACCCTAAGAGTAGACTGCGATTCACTAGATGTGAGCATTCTAAGTAGAGCCAACCAGGGAAAACTATGCAAGGGGCCCCTGACAGGGAAAGGGCTGCAAAGCACCAGGCAAGGTGACTCTCATGCGCTTTCCAGCTCTGCTTTTGTTTCTCTATGATCCTAGAACTTAATTATTAATTGTCCCGAATTAAAACACGAAATTACATAATAATTACAAAATGTTGATTATAAGACATTTTGTTTGGTCCTCACTAAATGGCCAAAATAAAGTTTCCATGAAAAGAAAGGAGGCCATGCTCTGCTGTCTTCCTGGGACTGCACCTCTGTTCTTTGCGGGGAGCCGCTACTTCCCTGTCCAGCCTCGTACCCCCAACCACACTGGCTCTGAATTATGTTCCCAAAAGTCTTATGCTGAAGCCCTAACCGCAATGTGACTGTATTTGAAGACAGAACCTTTGAGGAGGTAATCAAGGTTGAGTGAGGTCAGGAGGTGGGCCCTGACCCACTGTGACTACTGTCTTCTGGGAAGAGCAGGAGAAACAGGGGTGCAGGCACAGAGGAAAGGCCCTGTGCCGACACAGCAAGCTGAGCAGGGAGGCCTCAGGGGAAAGCAGCCTGCCAGCATCTCAGTCCGGGCCTGCCAGCCTCCGGGGCTGTGAGAAACAAGTCTCTTGTTGAAGCCACCCAGTCCGTGGTATTTTGTTATGGCAGCCCCAGCGGACTAAGATAGCAGTCACTGGTCCAGGGGACTGAGAACGCAGTCATTGGTAAAGGGGACTAAGGCAGCAGTCACTGGTAAAGGGGACTGACACAGTGGTCACTGGTAAGGGAGACTGAGCAGACACCGGTCCAGGGGACTCAGGCAGCAGTCACTGGTAAAGGGGACTGACACAGTGGTCACTGGTAAGGGAGACTGAGCAGACACCGGTCCAGGGGACTCAGGCAGCAGTCACTGGTGAAGGGGACTGAGGCAGCGGTCACTCGTAAAGGGGACTGAGGCAGCAGTCACTGGTCCAGGGATGGCAGGTATTTGGGGATTCTTTCCTAATAGTAACAAGCTGGTAAGGGCGCTTTGCTCTCTAATGGAAAGACTGAAAAAATAAGCCCAGGGCAACTTGTGACCATGGTTCTAGCATCATGGGGCCAACTGACTTCACAATATAAAGAAAACTTACAAAGAAAAAAAGCCAACCAAGGCCTCTTGGAATTGGAGACCCCAAAACTGTAATTATCCTGAAACCAACTCTACCTCTGTCCTGCCATGAGCCAGTAAAATCCCTTCGCAATCAGAAAAAACTGGGTCTCTATTTCTTGCAACTATGGAAAAGTTCTGACTGACCCAAGAAGCTTCTGAAAGCAATGTTCATGGCACCTTAAGTCACTCCAATCATAACTCTTAATATAACAGCAGAAATCCCACTGGCGAAGTGAAAGGACAAAATGACCCGAACTCATATAATGCCACCAACTCTATCATCAAACAGCATTTGGAAAGCGCTGGTTTCTCATAGTTGTGGAGGCTGGAAGTCCCATTTTCTTAACCATTTTTTAAGATGATTAAATATTATCTTAACATGATTATCTCTATGGAAGCTTGGTTACTTATCTAAGTTTATCAATAGCAGTTGAAAAGATTTACCTCTTCACACGCCATTTCTCTACATCCATCTTCCACCTGGTGATTTCCCTCTTCTATATCTTGGCTTCCCAGCAATGAAACTTCTTCCTCACTATCTTTCCTTATAAGTGTGTAGCCACTCTAACAACCAAAAGAGCACAGAGTCAGTGCCTGTAAAACCACAAGGTTGTGACAAAACCAAACTTGTATAGTTTCTTTGTTTCTCTTAATGATTCAGCTCTTTGAGAATAAAAAAGTTCTTTAGGCTAGGCACAGTGGCTCACACCTGTAATCACAGCACTTTGGGAAGCCGAGGCAGGTGAATCACCTGAGGTCAGGAGTTCAAGACCAGCCTGTGCAACATGGCAAAACCCCGTCTTTTACAAAAAATACAAAAATTAGCAGGGCGTGGTGGCGGGCGCCTGTAGTCCCCCTATTTGAGGGCTGAGGCAAGAGAATTGCTTGAACCCGGAGGGCAGAGGTTGCAGTAAGCTGAGATAGTGCCACTGCACTCCAGCCTGGGCAACAGACGAAGACTCCAGTCTCAAAAAAAAAAAAAAAGAAAGAAAGAAAGAAAAGAAAAGAAAAAAGAAAATCTTAAAGAAGAAATTAAGACGAATATGGAAAAAGGCATTTAAATTGTGCCCATCTGAACTGAAGGACTGAGTTAAACCCCTAATAAGCTTGTAGTTCATACCAGGGCGGGTCTCCACAGGCCCTGGACACAGCAGGCTCTTTCAACATCAATGTTTCATTTACTTATTTATTTTGAGACAGAGTCTTGCTCTGTTGCCCAGGCTGGAGTGCAGTGGCGTGATCACAACTCACTGCAACCTCTGCCTCCCAGGCTCAAGCCATCCTTCCACCTCAGCCTCCCGAGTACCTGGGACTAAAGGTGCACACCACCACACCGGCTTATTTTTGTATTCTTGGTAGAGACAGGGTTTCGCCATGTTGCCCAGGCTGGTCTCAAACTCCTGGGCTCAAGTGATCTGCCCGCTTTGGCCTCCCAAAGTGCTGGGATTATAGGTGTGAGCCACCACACCCAGCCAACATCAATGTTTTAAATAAAGGGAGCTTTGGCTTTTAAATCAAGAGACAGGGACCCTCCAGGAGGTGTTTTCTACACCAATCCTTGTATAACCGAAAGCAAGCTTTGCTCACAGTTGTAAATGCATCCAAACCCGCACTTACCCGGTTCACCCCGAAGCAACTACGCCCATTGTGAAGCCACAACAAAAACAGTGGCTTTCCCAAGAAGAGGACAGGGACAGACAATGCTGTGACAACCAGCAGCACTCTCTGGACATACTCCTGTTAGTGCAGAAGGTGAGAAACCCGATTAAAACGTGAAGGCCTGCCTGCAGGGTCAGCAGCACACGATGAAATCAGGAAAGATCGAACAATGTCTCCACGCGAGGAACATTCAATAAATGCCAGCCAGCTACACTTGCCAGCGGGTTTTCTTTTCCTAAACTCATAGCTGAATTCTAGAACTGATGAATAACATTAATGACCCTGTGGTAAAGTATTATTTTGTTTTAGACCAGCAAGGAAACTTTACAAAAATTCTAAAGAGAGTCAAACTCCAACTAATCATTTTCTGTAAACACTGTAAATGAGAAAGTATAAGCACAAGCAGAATATTTTGTATATTCTTGGTTCTGTTTTCCTGTTCTTTGATGATTATAAAGACCGTCTGAGGACTATGAGTGTGAATCAGCAAGTGGATTTACCTCCACACACAGAAAATCGTGGAAGAGAATTCAGAACAAAACCAAAAACACTTCCTTAGAAAAACGAAGATTTATAGTTACTTAAAGCTAAATCAAAAGCAAAATCCACTCAGGCTTACACAGCCACGGCAGTCTGCATGGCTTCCCAGGGTTTGGACGGGACACTGTGCTGTCCAAGCTTATCACTCTGTATGGTCGCCCCTCACCAAAAACAGGTTCCTAGAGCTCTGTGTGCTACTCAGGCACAAAGCTGTATTATCTACACACCATCAACAGGATGAACCTCTTGAAATGCCGAGAAAGGTGGCGGCCACAGGCAGAGCCACATCAGAAGTCCTGGGCTGGAGCCAGGCTGACCTAGGTTAACAGCCTGGCCCTACAGACCGCTGAGTGACCAGGACTGCCCTGAGCCACCAGTTATCACCAGTAACAGGGGATGACACACCTACCTCCTGGGGCTGTTGTGAGAATTAAGAAACACTAAGTAAGGAAAGCACACTCTCAGGTATGCGGCAGGTAGTAAAGAAAGGTAGCTGCCCTTCCTTGATCTTTCTGTCCATAGCACCTGTGCCCACTGAACGCCCCTGCATTTATCTGTGGTATCTATGCCATTGTACAAAGCTTCAATAAAATAATGATAAAATACAATTCTTAAAAATCATAAACAAGAGAAACCAAAAAAAAACAGAAACAAAAAGTTCAAAAAGAACGCAAATATGCATCTCGTCAACGAGGCCAAAGTTCCGTTAAGTTGAGCTTCAAATCTGACTTAAAACTTTCCAGCACCCAATAGAATGTGAAAAACAAAACCAAATGCTCCATTCACAGGTCAACACGATGAAAAACCAAAACACGGCTCAGGAGGAACACAGGCTCTGATACTACCGACTGGGAGGGTTTCCCCAGATGTCCTCACAGACACTTTACAACGTGGTGAGCCATGTCTGGACCAGCATCCGTGGGCAGGAGATGCCGTGGCGCTCACAGCAGAAAGACCCTCAATGTAAGGTGGGTAAGAACTATGGCAAATGCTGACATTTACTGAGTAGCTGGATTGTGCAAGCACGTTCGTACGCACTTTGGACACGTGCGCTATACTATGAACCAGCTCCTGTTTTTAGTCCCATTTTACAGATGAGGAAACTGAGGCAGAGAGAAGTTAGTCATCTGCTCAAAGCTCCATCCTGAGGAAACAGCAGAGCGGGGCCTCCAAGCAGAGCAGTCAGCCCTTAGAGCCCACTGTGACAGCACACAAACGCACAGTGAGAGGAAAGCTCATTTTTTGAAAGGGTCCATGTGCTGTGATCCAGGTGGTCCCTTCTAAATGGGGGGACTGGGCAGCCCTCAGGATCCCTCTGGTAATGCATTTTCTTCCCACCAGTTTTGTTGGTTTTGGTTTGAGACAGGGTCTTGCTCTGTCACCCAGGCTGGAGTGCAGTGGTGCAGTTATGGCTCACTGCAGCCTGGACCTCCTGGGCTCAAGCGATCCTCCTGCCTCAGCTTCCCAAGTAGCTCGGACTACAGGTGCAGCCATCATGCCTGACAAATTTTTGTGTTTTTTGTAGAGATGAGGTCTTGCTGTGTTGCCCAGGCTGGTCTCGAACTCACGGGCTCAAGCAATCCGCCAGCCTTGGTCTCTCAAAGTGCTGGGATTACAGAAATGAGCCACTATGCCTGGCCTCTTCCTACTCGTTTTGATGGCTACTGAGTGGCAGCGAGTTTGGTCATGCTGCCTGCACACAGCGGTCAAGCTGGACTGGCATCCTCCAGTGATGACACATGCAGAGACAGAAGCAGCCTTCCCAGGCTCCTGTGGAGATCACCCCAACACTTCTACTGCTCAGAATAAAAGACTATTGGGAATACTTCCGTTAAGTTCATGAGGGTGGGAAGATGACTCACCTGCCCTGTGTAAAGGCCACTTGTTTTACTGGCTGGGAATAAAAACATGTTAATAAATTCAATCAGAATGCTGGGAGCAACTCTGGAGGTTTCTGCTGAAAAAACCAGCCACTTGTAGAAAATCATAAATATAAGGTATCCAAAGATACAGAGCATGAAGAGAAGTTCCGGGATGGAAACCAGGTAAATGTTGAACTTCTTCCTGAAGTGCCTAGGAAAGAAAAGGAATCAATCAACCCACGAACAAGATCAGCCTAAGTTAAAAAGAGTAAATTAAACTCTCTGCAACTAAACTATAAAGCGAATTTCAGAATAACATCATTTCTCATATGATGAATCCAGATACATCTGAGTGTCCAGATACATCTACGAGGAAGAGACGTGAGGTCGGCCAAAACTACTACAGTTTTTGCGGTCAAATCTCACTCAAACTTTCTTCCTTAGTTCCCTTATTCAGAAACATTTCCTTCCTTAAAGTAAGGCTACACAATATTAGTGAATCTGGCTCCAAAATGCTGTGTCTTACATTGTTACAAGTTTTTCAAGACTCCTGTTATAGTGACTTCAAGCTACAGCATCAAATTATACAAATTATGTTTAGAGATCAGAATGAACAGGTCTAGTTAGAGAAAAATGACACCATCTCTTACTCTTCATATACTAGCTCTAATAAAGTAAAAACAAAAAGATTTTTTATTTGTAAAATAAAAAAGGAATATGGCAAGCACCCCTTCTGGAAATCGACATGAATGCACATGTCACATGTCTCCCTCACTTGAATGGAAGCTCCACTGGGGCAACAACTTTTTTCTGCCCTCCTCACTGCTGAACTCCTAGTGCCTAGAACAGCACTTGGCACTACTATGCGCTCGATAAATACATATTTGCTGAATGAATTGCTGAAACCACAGAAAATCTAAATAACTTCAACAGAATCATGTAAATACAACATCATATTGGCTGCCCCTTACCCAATAAATACAGTCACCAACAAGAAGCAAAATTGAAGAAATGCCAAGTTTGGTTTATAAATATTGCTTAAAAAAAAATCTGTACTTACAAGTGGTTAAATATTCCCAGAATGACTCCAAAAGTCATATGAATGATTCCTAAAATCACGGACATTTTCATTTTGAAAGAGTTTAGAAAAGTGAGGCGATTTGTGGCCAAGTTCCAAATCTAAAACCAAACCAAACAAGACAAAACAGAATCTTTAACTTCCTTCAACAGGTGACACTCAAGAAAGTTCCTGTCTTAACTTGAAAGGTGGCTCTAAGTTTAAGAAGGAAACAATATTCAGGCTTTTCTTTTGATGCTTTCAATCTGAGAACCATTGATTTCCTTAAACCAGGGCCACAGACAATTACAAAACAATTTTATCGGTGTTAACGTCAAAGGGTGCCAGATGGAACCACATAGCGTTTAGGGAGATGTGCCTAGGAAGTCTTGACAAAAGGCAAGGCAAGGGAGAGTCACACACAGCTCAGAGACTGGAAGGGTCAGGATGCTCTCAAGGTCCTGGGTTATGTCCCCTCTACCTGGGCAGGAGACATACATGTGTTATCACACATTTACATACATGTGCCATACATGCTCCTGTATGTCTATTTTGTCATAAAGTTTAGCTGTGAATACAATGAAATCAGAAATGGTGCAAGTGGCCAACCCAAGATGTGCCAAGAGGGACTCCAGACCATGGCTGACCTCCCCACGGTGCCCCGGCCAGTCTGAGTCCCCGTAACTTCCCCACTCATTGACTGCTTCTCTTACTGTCTGAAAATTAATTCCTACAGCCTGCCCTTCAGGTGGGTTAGGAAAAGGGAAACAGGGTCTATTAAGATAATTTTTTTTTTTTTGAGGAGTCTCGCTCTGTCAACCAGGCTGGAGTGCAGTGGCGCAATCTTGGTTCACTGCAACCTCCACCTCCTGGGTTCAAGCGATTCTCCTGCCTCAGCCTCCTGAGTAGCTGGACCAGCATGCCTGGCTGATTTTTGTATTTTTAGTAGAGAAAGGGTTTCGCCATGTTGGCCAAACTGGTCTCAAACTCCTGACCTCAGGTGATCCGCCTGCCTCGGCCTCCCAAAGTGCTGAGATTATAGGTGTGAGCCACCGCGCCCAACCTTTTTTTTTTTTTTTTTTTTTTTTTAAGGTAAGGGGTCTCACTGCTGCCCAGGGGCTAGAGTACAGTGGAGCAATCAGGGCTCACTGCAGCCTTGACCTGGCTCAAGCAATCTTCCCACCTCAGCCTTCCGAGAAGCTGGGACCACAGGCACGCACCACCACTCCCAGCTAATTTTAAAATTTCTAGCCTCCCAGTTCCTAGCCCTGAACTATCTCATTTTGCCCTTGCAAAAATAAGATTTTAGAATGAGGTATTCAGGGCTGAGAAGTTGGAGGCCAGTCAACTTCGCTGATATATTTATATTATACATACTTTTATATATTATTTTAAAATACGTATTTTATATGTATAACGTACACACATTGGTTTACTTTTGAACCAAATTAATGTAATGCCTAGTTTAAAATTAAGTTAAAACAGAAAGAAGACAAAACCATACCCCAATTTTCCCCTATGCCTCCCAAAAAAAAAACTCACTCAAACTTTCTTCCTTGGTTCCCTTATTCAGAAATATTTCTTTCCTTAACACAAAGCTACAAGTTATTACTGAATTTGGCTCCAAAATGCTGTATCTTAAAGAAATTGTTGTAGCCGTGTTTCCAAGTTTTCAATTACATTAAGACTTAATGCTACAACATGAAATTATACCAATCATGATTAGAGATAAGAATAAACAGAACACACTAAGAGATACTTCCTCCTTGGAGAGCCCAGGTTAAGGAATGCTAGACTTTTTTTGCTCAGTTTAACGACTGTACACAATTACATCCACAAACCAACTTTGAGATTGTTTCTCAGTCATTCTTTTGATTCTCCAGAAAGACTCCTGACAGCTCAGGAAAACCCCACCCAACCCTGCAGTCCACTGCCTCAGCCACCGCCTGCTGAGCCCTCGAAGGGGTTGGGGGTCCTGGCACCCTGGGGCTACTTCTCCATTTTCTTTTTTTTTTTTTTTTGAGACAGAGTCTCTCGCTCCGTTGCCCAGGCTGGAGTGCAATGGCACCATCTCGGCTCACTGCAAGCTTCGCCTCCTGGGTTCACGCCATTCTCCTGCCTCAGCCTCCTGAGTAGCTGGGACTACAGGCGCCAGCCACCACACCCAGCTAATTTTTTGTATTTTTAGTAGAGATGGGGTTTCACCGTGTTAGCCAGGATGGTCTCAATCTCCTGACCTCATGATCTGCCCGCCTCGGCCTCCCAAAGTGCTGGAATTACAGGCGTGAGTACTTCCCCATTTTCTTTCTATTAACACTTTTCCCATTCCAAACAACTACCCCAATAAGCACCATAATAACCTCACGCTTCCTTTCAGCTCTAACACTCCATACCATTTCTTTCGAGATCAAGGGTTTTTAAAAGTTCACATATACGAGGAAGAAATGTAGGAAATGGCACACATTTCAGGGCTACTGAAGTGCCATTTTCAGCCAGAGGAAAATAGGTAGGACACATGACAGAACACAGCCCTGGCTCTCTGAGGACTTCCTCTGACCTCACCTTCCCAAACGGAGGGCCCCCCAGCTCCTGGCCTCCCCTCCCAGTGTCCGGGACTGGGATGCACAGGGGCTAATGAGCACCTCCCGCTCAGGGCAGCGTGAACCCTGCTCAACAGTCTAGAGAAACTCGTGGCGCCCGAAGCTAGGTGGCACCACAGAGCATCCAGAGACAACGACAGAGCGTGGTGCACTCACAGGATCAATGCCAAGGGGATAAGGGCCTCGGAACACTCCAGGAATGCTTGGATCCAGCTGCAAAATGCTGTTGTGTCTAACGACGCTGTCACTGTAACAAAAAGCAGAGTGAGGAGGCTGACCTGGGAGGAGGAAGGTCTAGGAAACATGCTTTCCACCCAGAGCATCACCAGCTATGGGACACTTACTTCCAAAGCACCATCTTCTTATGCTCTGCGGGTGGGTGGCTGGAGCTGTACATGGCCGACACGTTCCACCCAGAGCCGAACAGGTTGACTGACTTTGAAAAGCAGTCGTTGTAGATGAGGCCAGTGTACACTGAGAACAGCCCCATCAGCAGGAGGATGTACCGGCCATTAAAAAACATCCTCATGATCTGTGAAGGGCAAGGCGGGGGCAGAATATGGTTACTGGAGGGTGTCCATGTGACAGCTGTCGGTGTGGGCACGACCCTCACCACTCACTTCTCAGAAAACAGCCTCGCCCCGCAGACATCCCTGTCAGCCGCAGCTGACAGGCCACACACCTGCCCAGCACAGCCGCAGCCTACAGCAAACATCTAAGAGGTGTCTCTCTTTCGGTCACTGCTAATGCCACCTAACCAGATATATGAGCTGGAGTGTTTATATTTTTACCTCTTGTGACTGATTTAGTCTGGGATGATTTTCATTTAACACCAACAAGAGGGCAAATAAAAACATCACAAAGCCATGTCCGAAGTCTCCAAACATCACAGCAAATAAAAACGGGAAGGTGATGATGGTAAAGAGAGCTGCAGAAAAAAGGGAAAGAGATTTCTGATTCACAGCAAATATGGAAAACCTGAGTTCATTCAAACACAATGATACATAACAATCTTGACTTTCTCCAGAATTCACAAGATAGGATTGTGTGGTTACATTTAAAACCTTATACTTTTAAATAAGATAGCAAAAAAGTAATGGTCAGCCTCTCTTTCCAAATATCTATTCCATTCTTAGAGCAAGAATGCAACAATGCCATTGGAAATACGGGTATTTACAAATCAGACTTCCAACCTGGATTGACTTCTCTGTAGCTTCCGACTCCATAAGCATCCACGATGTTCTGAAATCCCTCGGTGAATTTGTTGGTGCGGATCCGAGTGGGGGGTGTTTCTTTTGTGGGGATTATATTCATGAATGAGGGGATTGTAGCACCACTCTCTCTCTTCCACATAAACAAGGAAAGATAAAAAATTACTATCCAAGAAGAAAATAACTATCCATATTCAACGAATCTGGGTTACTGCTTTGTTTTTTGGTTTTTTTTGGTGGTGTTGTTTTGTTTTGTTTTTTTTTGAGACGGAGTTTCACTCTTGTTGCCCAGGCTGGAGTGCAATGGTGTGATCTCGGCTCACCGCAACCTCTGCCTCCCAGGCTCAAGCGATTCCCCTGCCTCAGCCTCCCTAGTAGCTGGGATTACAGGCATATGCAACCATGCCCGTCTAATTTTGTATTTTTAGTAGAGACGGGGTTTCTCCATGTAGGTCAGGCTGGTCTCGAACTCCCGACCTCAGGTGATCCACCTGTCTCAGCCTCCCAATGTGCTGGGATTACAGGTGTGAGCACCGTGCCCAGCCTTGTGTTACTGCTTTGGCAACGCTGTGTGTGTGGCTTTGGTGCAGGATTAATCTCCACTCAACAGGGTCAAGAGCAGCCAGAGGGCCTGGAGGAAAAGTCCATCTGTGAGGAATCAGGGGGTGGCAAGGGCGGCACTTGGGGCCTGTGGCCTCCAAGAAGGAAGGGTGAGAGCAGGACTGAATGCGCCGGAAGTGAATGGGGGCTGGGGAATGCGGGGCACGTGGGTATGGAGTCGGCTCAGTCACTGACAGAAAACCGACACTGAGTACTTTATCTCTTAAAAACGGTGAAGAAAGAGGAAGTTTGAGACAACTGCAATATACTTAATAAAAAAATGAGAAAGGCAAGAATAAACCAAAATGTCAACATGAATTCTATTATGGCAGAATCATAAATATAACTTTATCCATCAGTGTTTGCAATTCTTCTGAAATGCATTATATTGATTTATAATGAAAACACTTTTAAAATAAGGTAAACAGGTTATTGACAGAATAGTAGATTTTCTGGTCAAAATAAGTCTTTTTTTTTTTTTAAAGAAGGAGTCTCGCTCTGTCACCCAGGCTGGAGTGCAGTGGTGTGATCTCGGCTCACTGCAACCTCTGCCTTCCAGGTTCAAGCGATTCTCGTGCCTCAGCCTCCCAAGTAGTTGGGATTACATTGCACACCACCACGCCTGGTTAGTTTTTGTATTTTTAGTAGAGACGGAGTTTCACCATGTTAGCCAGGCTGGTCTCGAACTCCTAACCTCAGGTGATCTGCCCACCTCGGCCTCCCAAAGTGCTGGGATTATAGGAGTGAGCCACTGCACCCGGCCAAAATGTGTCTCTTAAAACGTATGCATGTAATGGGGTTCTGGGGAAATTCTCGAGGGTGGCACAGCTTTGAACGTCCCCAAGTCCCCTTCAGAACAGAAAGTGCAACCAGCTAGCAAGACCTAAAGCCTACGGATGGCATTTACAGCCAAACCACGTCCCCACAGTCCCCAAAATACAAATGGGTGAGGAAACCACCAACAGCTACAAGACCTACCCAGCAGCCTCCAGAGCAGAGGATGCAAGTAAGCAATGTGGCCTCCAAGGGGCCTGGGCCAACAACACCAAAAATGGCCAGAAAGAACCTCCCTGGGAAAGCAGAGGAGGCCAAACCACAAAAAGCAGCTGGAACTGGGAAGAGTTCTGTCCAGTCCAAGAGTAGGCGACGGCACAGGGGCCATGGGCAGTGAAGTCTGCAGGGGTTGGGGCAGGGCAGCCCAGTCCCTAAACTCACGGCACTGACCTGCCAGGTCCTCCCCTGTTGAGCGGCCACACGCTGAGGAGAAACTGCTGGGAGTGAGATCAAAACTGAGCAGGACAGGAACGAAAGAGAAAAGACAGAGGAGTTCACAAGAGAGACACAGAGGACATCTCAGATCCAGGACCCGACGTGTTTGCATTCAGTACACAAAAAATAAAAAAAAGAAAAAACCATCAGTGAGGTTAGGATCGCTATCCTGAACCTGCCATCTTCTAAAAGTTCCTTGAGTACCATAAACATCTGCCAGAAAACTATTTTCATGTAAATATACATTTATATTGCTTGTGTAATAATATAGAATCTCCTTGAGCAGGACAGGCATGGTGGCTCATGCTTGTCATCCCAGCACTTTGGGAGGCTGAGACAGGAGGGTCACTTAAGCCCAGGAGTTCAAGACCAGACACCGTCTTTTGTAGAGACCCCATCTCTACAAAAAAATATAAATAACTAACTAAATAAATAAATAAATTAGCCAGGCATAGTAGTGCATGCCTGTAGTTCCAGCTACTCAGGAGGCTGAGACGAGACGGGAGGATTGCTTGAACCCAGGAGTTTGAGATTGCAGTGAGCTACGACCATTACCACTGTTCTCCAGCCTGGGAAACAGAGTGAGACCTTGTCTAAAAAATGAATTTCCTTGAGCAGCTAAGCATCTTCACCATGTTCCATAAATCTTTTTTTTTTTAAACCTCCGCCTCTGGGGTTCAAGGGAGTCCCGTGACTCAGCCTTCCAAGTAACTGGGATAACAGGCACGTGCCACCATGCCTGGCTAATTTTTTTTCTATTGTGTATTTTTTGTATTTTTTAGTAGAGACAGGGTCTCGCCATGTTGGCCAGGCTAGTCTCAAACTCCTGGACTCAAGTGATCCGCCCGCCTCAGCCTCCAGAGTGCTGGGATTACCAGCGTGAGTTACCGCATCCAGCCTCAAAAGTCTAATTTCATTTAAAAGTGAGCAAGAGGAGGGAGAAGCCCAATCTTACATAAGGTCATAAGAAGAAAAAAGCCAAGGAGTAGAATACCATCCCCACAGACAGTGAGAAGATGCCAGAAAGAATGTCCACAAAACAAATAAAACCATTGTAACTTACTGTTTCAAAAGGAGTTAAAAGAATTAAAAAAAAAATACAGGACAGGAAAAAGCACCAGGAATCAGATTTTAAAAGACTCAGAAATGAGGTAACAGAACTCAAGAAGGAATTAGGAAAAAAAGAAAGAAATTATTTCAGAAGTAAGACAAAACTAGAAGGAACACAAAAGTGAAGAACCCTTCCTCATACTGCCGTAAGAGAAACAGAAGGCGCGAAGAGGAGAAATCTTACAAATCAAAAAGAAGTAACGAAAGACAAAAAGGATTCAAAGGAAAGTGACAGATACTGAAGATAAGCAAAGAAGGTTCCACTGAAAGATGACAGGAGGTCCTAAAAGAAGAAAACCAAAGCAAGACAGTAGAGCAAATACCAAAAACTATAATTCAGGAGAACGTTTATGAAATTAACAAAACCACCACCAAAGACTATATATTGAAAGAACATACAGAAAGACCACGTTAAGAGACACATTCTGGGCCAGGCGCGATGGCTCACGCCTGTAATCCCAGCATTTTGGGAGGTAAAGGCAGGTGGATCACTTGAGGTCAGGAGTTCCAGACCAGCCTGGCCAACATTATGAAACCCCATCGCTACTAAAAATACACACACAAAAATTAGCCAGGCATGGTAGTGCAGACCTCTAGTCCCAGCTACTTGGGAGGCTGAGGCATGAGAATCACTTGAACCTGGGAGGCAGAGGTTGCACAGTGAGCCAGTATCATGCCACTGTACTCCAGCGTGGGCGAAAGAGCCAGACTCTATCTCCAAAAAAAAAAAAAAAGAGAGAGAGAGAGACATTCTGTAAAATCACTGTTTGTTTGTTTGTTTGTTTGTTTGTTTTTGAGACAAGGTCTGGCTCTGTTGCTCAGGCTGGAGTGCAATGCAGCCTCAACCTCCCAGGCTCAAGCGATCCTCCCACCCCGGCCTCCAGAGTAGCTGAGATTACAGGTGCATCACCACATCCGGCTGACTTTTGAGTTTTTTGTAGAGATGCGGTTTAACCATGTTGCCCAGGCTGAAAATCACTGGTCTTTAAAGAAAAAGAAAAGATATTTTTCTAGACAAAACAAAACAAAAAACTAAACTAAAAAACCACATGAATTACAAGGAAAAGAAAATTAGATTAACATCAGGCTTTCTGTTGGGAGCAAGGTGCCAGAACAAGATGGAGGAACATGTGTAAGATACTCAAGGGGGAAAAAAATGAGCCCAGAATTTTATTTCCAGAAAAACTCACTCCTAATTATAAAAAGCAGCAGACAGCCACTGTGATCAACATGAGAATTCAGAGAATATGATTCTTGCAAGCCTCTCTGAGGCTTCTCTAGGGAATGAGCTTCAGGCAGCCAAGTGACTAGAGAGCTTCAGGCAGCCAAGTGAACCCAAGAACTGGGATCTGCAGGCTGGAGGCTGAGATTCCCCGCTTCCGCCTGGCACAGCCTGTTAGGAGTTCTGCATGTGAGACCCCTGTGTACCTGATCAAATTCAATCTTGGCGACAGAAAAAAAAGGCATCCTGTAGACACAAGCTGACTACCAAGGCAACTGTGAAGAGCCAGATTCATGAGGTGTGGGAATGCAGGTGATGAGCCAGCTTTCATCAACACTGGAGAACGTCTCAGTCACCTACTTATGGAGAAAAATAACACAGGACAGGACAGATGAGGAAAGCGAAGAGACAGGGACTATAAGCAGTAAGAGGTGGGCTGAGAGCTCAGTACCCTTGACGGGAAACGAAGAGTCGGTGCCCACGAGCGGAGCAAAGAACAGCTATGCAGCCGGAGGTGGACATGTGGTCACTGAGACCTTAATACGCAGCTCTCAAGAGACCCCAGTGCATGTGCACGCAGGAGATGGCAGAAGCAGCACCATGGGCTCGATCTGAATCGAATGCAGCCACCTTGAAAGTCACAAAGCAGCACACACACCACCTATAACAGGAGTACTAGTCATGTCCCTCAAACTGATGTCACCTCAGTAAAAGAAGAATCATCTGTGTTTATCTCTCAAATAGGTGGTTCCTACTCTAAATAACAAAATACTATTTATGTGTTGCTGTCTTTCTCAGCACTGGGTATTTCATGTTTATGTCATAATGGACATTATATTTTACATTTGTATCATCACAGAATTATGTAATGAGACAAGGTTACATAACCAAAAAACTCATGAAAAAGGTGTTCCCTTAACTGTCACTTGAAATATGTAAACCTGTTCTTTCCATGACCAAAATCTGAGTTTAATGTAGAAGAAAAACCTCACAGGAACATGGAAGAATTACACTATAACCTTGCAGTGGGAAAAGCCTGTGATTCAAAATCTGGAAGGTGTAAGAGCAAAGATGGATAAGTTCAACTATATTTAACAAAAAACTTCTGCATGGCCAAAACAAACAAACAAATAAACAAACAGAAACATCCTAAGTCAAAAGACGAGGGACAAACTGGGGAAAATATTCTTACTGGTGTCACAGACCAGGAGCCAACAGAAATTGGTAAGAAAAAGGCCAACATACGATGGAAAATGGCTGCAGAATATGAACAGATAGTTCACAAAAAAAAGAAAATTGAAAACGCTCTTTTTTTTTTTTTTGAGACAAAGTTTTGCTCTTGTTGCCCAGGCTGCAGTGCAATGGCGCCATCTTGGCTCACCACAACCTCCGCCTCAAGCAATTCTCCTGCCTCAGCCTCCCAAGTAGCTGGGATTACAGGCATGTGCCACCCCGCCCAGCTAATTTTGTATTTTTAGTAGAAATGGGGTTTCACCATGTTGGTCAGGCTGGTCTCAAACTCCTGACCTCGTGATCCACCCGCCTCGGCCTCCCAAAGTGCTGGGGTTACAGGCGTGAGCCACCGTGCCCAGCCAAAAGGCTCTTAAACAAAAAAAAGGTATTCCCCTTCACTCACAATGAGAGAAATACAATAGCTGACAACATCTATCAAAATCAGTCCAGTAATTCCATTTCTGGGAATTTACCCTACAAATAGATTTGACATCATAGTGCTATTTGTAAAAGCGGAAACTACCTAAATGACCAGAAAACTAGTTAAATAAACCATGGTATGCACACAACAGAATATTAAATAGTTATAAGAAAAATAGAGAAGTTTTATTAAGTGAAAAGAATAGTATGAATAGTGCCATTTTGTGAAGAAAAAGAAAGAAAAATAATATCTACTCCTATCTGCTTATCTACAGTTAAGAAACTCAAAGAAATAACAGAACTGAAGTAATGGTTATCTTTGAGTGGAGGAAGTGGACAAGTAAGGCTATGGGGTGGGAGGAAGCCACTGCACTGTGTCTTTCATACTCTTTTATTTCTTTTCACTTTTACACCATGTGAATGAATTACTCAAAAGAGCAATTTAAAAACACATGTACTCACATACAGCTTTGAATGACCAGCTCACCATAATTTCAGTTCAAAAACAGAGCCAAGGCTGGGCACAGTGGCTCACACCTGTAATCCCAGCACTTTGGGAGGCTGAGGCAGGAGGATCGCTCGGGGCCAGGAGTTTGAGACCAGCCTGGGCAACACAGCAAAACCCCATCTCTATTTTAATTTTGTTAATTAATATTTTAAAAAAACAAAAGAAGAGTCAACACACTGCATTCTCATTACTCTATGAAATTCTCACTTCCTTTTTTTCTCTGAATTTATCAGTTCCATCAGTCTCTCTTCTGTTCCTGGCAGAGGAGAGGAAGGCAGCCTTACCGAGCCCTCCTCCAGTGCCCGGCGCAGGTCCTGCAGATCCGCCTCGGGACACCAGACCTCAGCAATGAGGCACTTGTTGGTCACGTCAAAGCTGCACATGTTCAGCATGTGATAGATGGCCTTCATTTTCTTCACCTGGATCACACGGCTGTAGACAGACTCGGCGGCTTTACATAGCACTTGCCTCAAATAGTCCTCGGTTTTGTGCAGTACCTGGGGAAGAACAACAGGGGCTTTCAGTGGAGTGGGCATGTTTTTGTTTCTGTCCACCTGGCACCCGACTTCCCTTAGAGGACTTTCTCCCCATTGACAGAGGATCATTCCAGGCACCTGCCTATCCTGGTGGCAGCTAAGGGAGCCATTCCTTCCTTCTCCCTGCCCCTAGTACCACTCGGAGGTGGGCAGAAAAATCTAAGCCCAATCAATCAGATGCCCTCTTTTGGGAGGTTGCCTCTGGAGAACATGACCCTAGGGCACAGGAAATGGTTAGACGTCATTGTCACTGCGGCAGCGTGATGGCCTACCAGGATCCAGCAAGCTCCCTGGGTTCCTACCCATTCCCAAGCTTGGCCTCACCCCTGTCAACCCTGTGAGCCACCAACGCCCATCCCATCCTACCAAGAAATCCTCTCGCTTAACTGAGTCAGAAGGACACTTCATGCCAACAAGAACCCTCACTGTCATCAAGAGAAAAATGAATTTAAATCCTACTGGTAAAATAATGCCCTCACCATGTTAACTGGAGCTGGCTTGTCTTTTGTGATCAAGAATTACAATCCAGACCGGGGGCGGTAGCTCACACCTGTAATCCCAGCACTCTGGGAGGCCGAGGCGGGTGGATCACGAGGTCAGGAGATCGAGACCAACCTGGCCAACATGGTGAAACCCCGTCTCTACTAAAAATACAAAAAAATTAGCAGGGTGTGGTGGCGCATGCCTATAATCCCAGCTACTTGGGAGGCTGAGGCAGGAGAATTGCTTGAACCTGGGAAGCAGAGATTGCAGTGAGCTGAGATGATCGCACCACTGCACTCCAGCCTGGCAACAGAGCATGATTCCACCTCAAAAAAAAAAAAAAAAAAAAAAGAATCACAATCCAGGCTGAGCATGGTGGCTCACACCTGTAATCCCAGCACTTTAGGAGGCTGAGGTGGGCGGATCATTTGAGGTCAGGAATTTTAGACCAGCCTGGGCAACATGGCGAAACTCTGTCTCTACTAAAAATACAAAAATTGGCCGGGCATGGTGGTGCGTGACTGTAATTCCGGCTACTTGGGAGGCTGAGGCAGGAGAATCGCTTGAACCCAGGAGGCAGAGGTTGCAGTGAGCTGAGATTATGCCACTGCACTCCAAGCCTGGGCGACAGAGCGAGAGCCTGTCTGAAAAAGAAAAATGAATTACCATCCAACATATCAAAGGTGACCACAGAATCTTTTTTTAAAGCCTTGTCATTACTACTCAGGTTCCTAACAAGTTGCTAAAATAAAACTTCCATGGGGAGGAGGGAGGGAAGCAACATTCCAATCTCACTAGAACATCTTGATTTGTCTACGACCAATATTATCTATGTTAAAAAAGAGAGAAAATATACGTGTAAATGTTTGGCAGCCCTCAGATAAAGAGGCAATCCACTTCCAGCTTACTCACAGTGTAGAGATCCTGGATGCGGGTGTTCAGCCCCTCCTGGATCTCCCTCCGCTCCTCGGCTGTGTTTGGATAGGGGTACACGTGGCAGTGGTAGCTGGAAGACAAGAGTTGAACACAGTCTCACATCTGTCAGCACTAGAACTAAACACGTTCACCTCCCCGGCACATCTTCTGGCAAAACGGAATGAAAGCAGCCGTTTGGGAGACACGGGTGCAGATGCAGTCATCTGCCCTTGGTCGGGCTGTGCATACAGATGCTCAACAAGCACCTGCTGAGTGAGATAAATTTAGCAAACTCCCTCTGGGATCCAAATTCCACTCCTGCCCTCAATGATTCCTGGAAGCTCATTCCCAATTCCAGCTTCCTAAAATTCAACAATGTCCTTGGGCTGGGAATCACTGAACAGGTTTAAACACAAACACAAAGACACACACAGACACACAACAGACACACACAGACACACACACACACACACACACACGAAAACAAAAGGAGAAAAGAGCTCTGGCTTCCTAGCAGTTGCCTTTGACAGGTCCTCTCAGGGCCACTCAGCCACTCGGCACCCAGACTGCACGAGGGAATGACGAGCTGTGTCCCCAAACTGCAGCCATTCCCGGACCACCTTCATATGTTAACACCATACCTTTATTTTTCTTTAAGTTCTGCCTTTGAAAAATTAAATACCTATTCTAGCCTTATCCTAAGCAACAATATCTGTGAAATCATGGGTTTGCTGAGCTGGGTATAGTTTTTTAATCTGCAGTAAAACAAATATCTATCTATGAAAATAAAAGGTTTATCCAGGTGACACCTGAAATTACTTTCTATTCCACCAATTGAGAACCAAATTCTAGTAAACAGAAAATGCCCAAACCCCCCTCCACCCTGCAAGAAACAAGGCAAGCTGAGTTGTCCATGGGGGGAAGAAAGCAAAGGAGTTTTCTGACTTTGTTTGGCTTTTGCTTATGTTCCCATTTGCTGACAGGAGTTAAGTCACAGATTATTGTTGTACCACAACTCAAAATTACTGATGGCTTATGCCGAACTGATGTCTTTTACCTGATCATTTCATTTAGTCCTAAAAGACCTATAAGAAAGCAATCACTCTCCCCTTTTACAGATGAAGAAACTGAGGCTTGGTCACTTGTCCAAGTGAGTCCAGTGAGACAGCGACACAGGGAGGCTCTGCATCCAGACAGGCCCCTGAGCGCCTCCTCCTCACCACACGCCACACCCCTGCCCCAGGGTACCCAGGACAGAAGAGATGCACATGCTCAGTGATGACAGGTAAGCCCGACTGGTAGCTCAAAGCAACATGAAGTCACAACATATAAAAACTTTATTCCTTTTTCAACCAATCTGAAGCCCTGATCTCCAAGGAAAAAAGTCAATTCTGGGAATATTATTAACACAGTCTCTACTTTTAAATTATTTTAAGTAATGCATTGGTAAGAGAGATGACAAATTAAATGTTTAAGAACTTGGCAGTGCAGCAAAGAATCATATAACAAAAACTAGCAGCCACTCTATTTCTGACTCCAGAGGGATGTTGAAGGAAAACTAGAGGTGACTGAATATAAAGACATAAATGAAATGAAATGTTTCTTTTTCTTACCAATCACATATCTTCTTAACCTTGTGGCCAATCTGCTCTCCCCAAAAGGATATTAAAAAGACATACCATTTTATGACTTCCCCCTACAAAGAATGAATAAGGATAAGTGTTATTTCTGCGTGTATAAACTTCTAGAACTTCGGCAGCTCAAACACTGTCAAAGCGTTCATTCATTCACTCATTCAATACAGTCAATACTCCTTATTTGAGGATTCTGTAATTACGAATTCACCTACTTGTAGTAACAGCCCCAAACCAATCCACGGAGCGCTTCCAGTCATGTGCAGAGCAGCCAAAACTTTTAGGCACCCGACACCCGCGTTCCCAGGTAAAGTCCAACAAGGTGACGCTCTCCCTTCCCATCTCTGCTCTCAGACTATCACCAAGTGTCCTTTTCAGAGTCTGTTTGGTATCATGTTTTTCACACTTCTGTGCTTTTTTTGGTGATTTCACGGTATAAACAGCCCCGAGTGTAGGGCTGAGGTGCAGTCTGGTGTCCTGAGCACAAGACAGCTGTGATGTCCCTGACAGAGATGTGGCGTGTGTTAGGGACACTTCGTTCGGGCTCGAGTCACAGAGCTGCTGGCTGGGAGCTCAATGTAAATGACTCAACTCCCGTACTTCCCCTAGGAGCAGTGAGTTTTTCCACAGTTGGTAATTCAGAGATTTCAGTGACTTTTTTTTTTTTTTTTTTTGAGACAGAGTCTCTCTCTTGGTGCCCAGGCCGGAATGCAATGGCACAATCTCGGCCCACCGCAACCTCCACCTCCTGGGTTCAAGCAATTCTCATGCCTCCGCCTCCCGAGTAGTTGGGATTACAGGCATGCACCACCACACTCAGCTAATTTTGTATTTTTAGTAGAGACGGGGGTTTCTCCTTGTTGGTCAGGCTGGTCTCGATCTCCTGACCTCAGGTGATCCACCTGCCTCGGCCTCCGAAAATGCTGAGATTACAGGCATGAGCCACCGTGCTCAGCCCTCAGTGACTTTATGAAGCATAACTACTGTAAATAATAAGAATCACCCTGTATTTACAAGTATCCAACAAAACAGAATTCTATAAAAACTGAATAGGCACTATTATAGGTGCTAGGGATACAGCAGTGAAGAAAACTGACAAAAATCCCTGACCTGGGAGGGGAAGGGAACTTAAACTTATATTCAACTTGACAGCAAAAGAAACAAAGAAAGTACGCCAGGTAGAGGTAAGTGCTATAAAGAACAGACGCAGGATGAGGAGACGGGAGGGAGGGAGGGTGGGCTTGGGCACTGTGATCTCACATAGGATGGGCAAGGAAGATCTCCCCGAGAGGGTGACATCTGAGCATAAAGACGTGCAGGTGAGCTTCAAGTCAGGGTAAATGGAAAAAAAAAAATGCAGGAGGTGAGGACGCGAGCCCCATGGCCACTGGGAGAAGAGACTTCCAAGCAGAGGAGTACACACAGAAGCACAGTCAGGAGACTCGAGGAGGCCAGCACCGCCGGGGAGGGATGTAGTAACACAGCTCTGAGGAATGACGAGGGCCACAGGCCCATTGTGCGGCTCCACAGGGCTGTTGCTGAGGAAAACAGGAAGCCCCTGGAGGGTCTTGAGTACAGGAATGAAATGATCTGACTGTGGTTTCCTGTGGATCATTCTGGATGCCAGGAGAAGAGACCAGGCTAAGGCAGAGGCAGGAGCAGGGGCCCAGCCAGGCGAGGCAAGTGTGGGACGAGACCTGGACCAGGAGGGAGGAAGAGCGAGGAGAGGCGGCGGGACTCTCTATTTAGCAGACATGGCCACCAGATCTGCTGAGGGATTTAAGTGAGACGCAAGAAACAGAGAAGAGTGGGGAGAAGCCCAGGGCTTTCAGCCTGCGCAGTGAGATCAATGGGTCTGGAAGGGCAGGTCTGGGAAGAAAGATCAGATGTTCAGTTTTAGGCAAAAGCAGAAACGGTCTTCCAGATACTTAAAAGGAGATATGGAGTAGACAGACATAAAAGTCTAGTATTCTGGGGACAGGTCCAAGCTAGGGATATACACATTTGGGGCATGGTACTTAAAATCATAAAATTATGTGAGATCTCTAAAGGCAGAAAGAAGAGAGAAGCTGTCCAAAAATTGAGCCCTGGGCCCAGGGAACAGGAGCACAGACTGGGGAGCTACAGCATAGCACAGGCAGGCGGTGGTGGGAGGGAGGGGATGGCAGGAGGAGGAGAGGGAGGATGTGGCTGGGAGAATGAATACAATGAATGAATAAGTCAGTTAACTGAGCAACCCACTAGACACACTGAGGATAATGGAAGCTGACTTCACACTGTCAGAAAAGAGTTAGAACCAGGAAAAAGAGGCTGGGAATGGTAATCCCAACACTTCAGGGGGCCAAGGCAGGAGGATCGTTTGAGCCCAGGCCTGTAATCCCAACACTTTGCTGGGCAGAGGCAGGAGGATCGTTTGAGCCCAGGAGTTCAAGACCAGCCTGGGCAACATAGTAGTGTGTCAAGGAACACAACCACTTAAGGCACAAGGCAGAAGAAATGCCACACACAACAGAAAAACACAATCTATACAACCGAAGAAAGCGCCCATGTCTAGCTTTGATGCAGAGAGAATGGTCAGCACTTAGAAACACCAATGGGGGAAAATGGCTAAAAATAGTCTCTAAGGTCTGTAATAACTTCAAGAGGGTCAGACATTGAACCCAAAAGACAGTAAACCTGACACTATAAACAAATCCTAGAACCTGAGTAAAAGTTACCAGATAAAATACCCCTATCTTACCCAGAGAAAGACTGAGAGAACACACTTGGCATGTAAACAGTGGCTCAGAATAGGAGACTGCGAGGGACTTCTTTTTCTTCTTGTTTTCTACATTGTTCCCAATTTTCTATAATGGACATGCATTTTCTTTATAACCGTGGGGACAGGGATTGTATTTTCAAGATATACATCTATCCATTCTCTGTATTCCTTCACAGATGTTTACTGCCCTTTAACATATTCCATAAAAATTTGGCATAAGAGGCCAGGCATGGTGGCTCATGCCTATAATCCCAGCACTTTGAGAGACCAAGGCAGGCAATCGCTTGAGGTCAGGAGTTCAAGGCCAGCCTAGCCAACATGGTAAAATCCCGTCTCCATTAAAAATACAAAAATTAGCCAGGAGTGGTGGTGTGCACCTGTAGTCCCAGCTACTTGGGAGGCTGAGGTAGGAGAATCACTTGAACCCGGGAGGTGGAGGTTGCAGAGGCACAAGAGAACTTTCAAATTCTATTAAAAAACAATTTTAACTTGAGTAAATGCTCGCATGAGAATTACTGATATTTTCTCTTAATAAAGAAAAAACTCAAAAAATATGTAAATGCTACTTCAGAACAGTTTTGATCTTAGTTTTAATCATCAGCTTGAAATAGAAAAGTCATCAAGGTCACAACTGAAGGATAATTAACGATGGTCACTGGCAGTTACAAAAGCCACAAAAAAGTAGAAAATATTACAAGTGAGTGGTTAATGAAGGGCTTAACTGATTAGATTTCAAACGGATTAGATTTTTATTTCAGAAAACCAAAAATAAATCACAGGCTGGGCGCGGTGGCTCCTGCCTGTAATCACAGCACTTTGAGAGGCCGAGGTGGGTGGATCACCTGAGGTCAGGAGTTCAAGACCTAACTCCTGGCCGGGTGTGGTGGCTCACGCCTGTAATCCCAGCACTTTGGGAGGCCGAGGCGGGTGGATCATGAGGTCAGGAGATCGAGACCATCCTGGCTAACACAGTGAAACCCCGTCTCTACTAAAAAATACAAAAAATTAGCCGGGAGCGGTGGCGGCCTCCTGTAGTCCCAGCTACTTGAGAGGCTGAGGCAGGAGAATGGCGTGAACCCAGGAGGCGGAGCTTGCAGTGAGCCGAGATCGCGCCACTGCACTCCAGCCTGGGCGACAGAGCCAGACGCTGTCTCAAAAAAAAAAAAAAAAAAAAAAAAAAAAGACCTAACTCCTGATGGTGTTTCAATATGGTGAAACCCCATCTCTACTAAAAATAAAAAAATTCAGCAGATGTGGTGGTCCACGCCTATATAGTCCCAGCTACTCGGGAGGCTGAGACAGGAGAATTGCTTGAACCCTGGAGGCAGAGATTGCAGTAAGCTGAGATCATGCCACTGCACTCCAGCCTGGGCGACAGGGTGAGACTCCATCTAAAAAAGTAAAAATCAATCAATCAATCAATCACAGCCAAATTTCTCTTTATGCGTCAAAACTACTATGAGATGTATATTAATCTTACAGCCAAAATTCCTGAGGCCAACCTAGAAAAAAAACAACCTTTCCTCAAAATTAAGAAAACCAAGTTCCTTTTCCACCTTTAGTAGATCAGCAGTTCATCCTCATTTAAAACAACAGTTATTTTTACTTTGAAGTTTAAAAAACAGATATCCTAAGGGTGATTATGACTCTGTCTCTCCCCGCTGCCTCCACCCTCCCTTCTGAACCATTCGGCCCCACAGCTGTTAGGTATGTACATGGGGATGGATGGGGTTGGGGGAGAGTAACTGGCCCACAGCTGTAAATGTATATGTGCATGTGCTTTTGTGTGTGTCCCCAAGCTACTCTGACACAGCCAAGGAAAAGCAACCCCTCAGTAACAATGTGCACACCCAGAAGCCACATCTTGGCTTCAAAATACCAAGATTTGCACTCAAAAAAAAAAACAGCCTCCTTGAAGAAACAGTTGATTCCAGAGCCGTGTGAGAGGAATTGCAACATGCATCTGGACATCCTGTTGTACAAACAAGTGCTCAAAAAGTGATGGGAACATGTAAAATGGATATAAAAGCCAGCCTGAATGGATTCCAACTGGCCAAATCTAGGAGAATGTGAATATCAAAATAAATAATTAAAGGAACAGGAACCCATCAAATAAAATAGGAAATAAATGAGGAAGCTGAAAACCTGATGAAGAATAGGATATTTACAGTTTCAAACACAAAAAAAAGAGTAACTTCACAGCGAAGTCTAAAGAGAAGTGCCTTAATCAAGTGATCAGAGTGACCACGACCAGTAATGGAACTAATCAAGTGATCAGAGGGACCACGACCAGTAATGGAACTAATCAAGTGATCAGAGCGACCACGACCAGTAATGGAACTAATCAAGTGATCAGAGTGACCATGACCAGTAATGGAACTAATCAAGTGATCAGAGGGACCATGACCAGTAATGGAACTAATCAAGTGATCAGAGGGACCACGACCAGTAATGGAGCAAACAGAAACATGTGGCACCTGACGGTGCAATGAGAAGAATGCAGCCTCACTTCAGCAACGCTCCTGCCAGAGACACGTGACCTGAGTCAACTCATGAGAAGATACCTGAGAAACCCAAACCCAGAGACACGCTACCAAAAAAACTTGCAGTATTTTAAAATGTCAAGGTCACAAAAGCCAAGGGAAGTCTGAGAAACTGTCCCAGAATGAAGGAGATCAGAGAGACAGGACAGGCCTGGCACAGTGGCTCATGCCTGTAACCCCAACACTTTGGGAGGCCAAGGCAGGAGGATGGCTCAAGACCAGTCTGGGCAGCATAGTTAAGATCCCCATCTCTACCAAAAATAAAAAGTTAAAAAAAAAAAAAAAAAAGCCAGGTGAGGAGGCTCACACCTGTAATCCCAACACTTTGGGAGGCTTTGAGAGGCCTACGTGGGAGGATTGCTTGAGGCCAGGAGTTTGAGACCAGCCTGGGCAACACAGCAAGACCCCATCTCCTTAAGAAAAAAAGAAAGTTTAAAAAAAGAGAGAGACATGACAACTAAATCCAACACGCAATGCTAAATTACATTCTTTGCTTTGACCATACTAGGACAACTGGTGAAACCTGAATGAGATTCAAGGCTCAGGACATAGTAATGTATCTACATTCATTTCCTGACTGATGGTCATGTGATGGCAATATAAGACAATGTCCCTGATTTCAGGAACTATACACACTACACGTGGTTGAAGAGATAAGGCATCAGGTTAACAACTTATTATCAAATGGTTCAGGAGAAAAACATTCTTTCTACCATATCTCCAACTCTGCTGTTAGTCCGTCATTGCTAAAAGGTGATGGTGACATTTACTCACTGTTTCAGGGTCTTCAAGGGATTCATCCAGTTCTGCATAGGACACGATGGTGTACCCTTTGCAGACTCTCCACAACATTTTTTCAAATGCTTCCACTTTTCCTTGGTTAATTAGGCCAGACACAAATCTGTGAGACAGTAAAGTCAACCTGTAGTCAACTGAAAGCAATAAATGTTATCAAACTACATTAAGAATGATGAAGACTTCATTTCTACCAAGTGGTGAAGACATCCTGAGAGCCCTCCAACTGCAAAACATCTCAGGTGCTGGTCAGAATATTTTTGAAACTTCTTTTTAAAGGTAGAGATGAGCTTGTAATAAAGAGAAATTCTTGGCTGGGCACAGTGGCTCATGCCTGTAATCCCAGCACTTTGGGAGGCCGAGGCGGGTGGATCACAAGGTCAGGAGTTCAAAACCAGCCTGTCCAAGATGCTGAAACCCTGTCTCTACTAAAAATACAAAAATTAGCCAGGCGTGGTGGCAGGCACCCATAATCCCAGCTACTCGGGAGGCTGAGGCAGGAGAATCGCTTGAACCTGGGAGGCGGAGGTTGCTAGAGGGCCACTGCACTCTAGCCTGGGCGACAGAACAAGACTCTGCCTCAAAAAAAAAAAAAAGAGAGAAATTCTTGGAATCCAAAGGGAAAACAGGACCTCACAGCTGTCCTGATTATTACACTGAACCCCGTATCTTAAGAACTTGAGTTTAAGGCCAGCATGGGATGCAGGAGCCAGGCACTGGGTCTAGATAAGGTGAGCAGATACAACTGACTCACCTCTCCAGCTGGGACTGCTCCATGCACAAAGAGCTACACCCTCAGTGAAGGGATGGACCAGAAAAAAAATCTACCTTGCAAAGGAGCCTGGAGCCTGCATGTAAACTTGTTTATTTCTATTTTGGTTCTAGATGGAGGGAGAAGTCTTCCCTAAGAATTTATAACCACAGGTTAAAATTCACTCAGGTTTGAGGCTTAAATTCACATTCCTGGCACAGTCAAAAAACAAATCAACAAAAAAATCTCAATGCTGAGAAAAATATAAATGATTCCAGGTTGACAGAGCACTCCCAGGTACCTGACAAATGTCAAAACAAATTCTCTCTGGAGGAAAACATCCTCAAACTAAATATCACTGAATTCCTTCAGATCAGGAACTGTGAAATATGAGTTCATAATAATTTTAAAAATCACAAATCGCACGAGGAAACAAATTACCACTAGTTTCAGTAGGCAGCAAGAATAAACAGCAGCAGGAGATCTTTAAAATATGATTAATAAAAAAACTAACCAACTCGGTTTAGCCACCAAGTTTCTACTAGACAGGATTTGATGCCTGAATGACCAATTGTTTTAGGCTTATAGAAGTAACACTGAATCACGTAAATGTTGTTTCTTTCTAGCTCATTATACCAAAAGAAATTTCCATTGTGTTGAGTAAAAAAGTCAATACAGCTGAGTAATTCAGCTCAACAAGTACAGGAATACAGTGTTTCTTAAACAAATATTCACTATGTTTCATTCAACCCTAGGCTTTAAAATGGTCTCCATTCATCCCTTCTATGGAGCTCATCTGCCTTTTACAAGAAGGGCAGTATGAAGCCTGACACCCCAGGCCTTGTCACCTACCCCAGTTTTGCTCCCAGCCTCTGCATACAGCTGTAATCCAACAAAGAATCACTCTCTAAGGAAGGGAATTCTTCATAAGTGGGTTCAAACTAGAAATAAACATATGAAACCAAGTGTGTCTCATTAAAAGTGACACTTTATTTCTCATGTCAAATTTTCAAACAAGTTTATAGGGCATCCTAACTAACTACTTAGATCTGGGTGCAAAGACTTCTGAGGTAACTTAGATTTATAACTCAATCCTCATAAATGAAAAGATAACTTCCCCATCCTTTATTTGTAAGCCAATTGAAGACATTTACATAAAAGACAGTTATAATTTAGTTCATTGCCTTCATCCAAGATAGAGTAACTTTATCAAAGGTCACTATCATATCAAGTGAAACTAAGTTTGGAACAGATGCACTTGTCTCTTCTATACTTAGCTCCATAAGGTGCTACTACATGGACTATTCTTTATTCTTATAATTTTTTTTCTTTTTTTTTTTTTTTAGATACAGGGTACAGGGTCTCACTCTGTCGCCCAGGCTGGAGTGCAGTGGCGCAATCATAGCTCACTGCAGCCTCAAACTTCTGGGCTCAAATGATCCTCTCACCTCAGCCTCCTTGGTAGCTGGGACTACAAGTATGCACCACCACGCTCAGCTAATTTTTTATTTTTTGTATAGACAAGGTCTCATATTAATTCTCACTATGTTCAGGCTGGTCTTGAACTCCTGGGCTCAAGCCATCCTCCAGCTTTGGCCTCCCAAAGTGCTGGGATTACAGGTGTAAGCCACTGTGTCTGACCTAGTCTTAGAAATTATAGATTATTCTTTTACTTCCTTTACTTAGCAATTTGGAAAAAGTAAATTTTAGAGTTCAACATCCTTCATTCAATTTTTTTCTCATGCTCATAAAAATTTTTTTCAACCACAAACTAAACCATCTTATAAATATTTAGTATTGTAATTGCTGAAAA
The DNA here is from genome assembly GCF_000001405.40 of Homo sapiens. Lineage (NCBI taxonomy): Eukaryota > Metazoa > Chordata > Mammalia > Primates > Hominidae > Homo > Homo sapiens. The sequence goes on along the minus strand of NC_000012.12, from coordinate 123,725,324 downwards.
CAACCAACACAGGAAATGGCTCTTAAAACTTTATTTAAAGTCATATAATCCAACTGAAAAATAAAACCAAGGTTTAAATTTAATCTCTTAAATCTGGGCGCGGTAGCTCACTCCTGTAATCCCAGCACTTTGGAAGGCCGAGGAAGGTGGATCAACTGGGTCTGGAGTTTGATACCAGCCTGGCCAACATGGTGAAACCCCATCTCTACTAAAAATACAAAAAATTACAGGCGTGGTGGCGGGCGCCTGTAATCCCAGCTATTCGAGAGGCTGAGGCAGGACAATCTCTTGAACCCGGAAGGCGGAGGGTGCAGTGAGCCGAGATTGTGCCACTGCACTCTAGCCTGGGCAACAAGAGCAAAATTCCGTCTCAAAAACAAAATATAAAATTAAATAAATAAATAAATTTAATCTCTTAAAAGAAGCAACATATCTATATGAACTAATAGCAAAATACACAGCCTATGGGAATGAGATTTTTATAAAAAGCTGTTTATAAAAACAGCTGTATTTCCTCACGAGCTGTTCAGTACCTCAACATTGCGTTTCACAAAGGTCTTTGTCACTCTCAGCATGTGAGTGTACTCTATCAGTTCCAGCAAGTTTTTCCTCAGTTTCTCCTTGTTCTTAGTGACTTCTCTCAGTTCAACCTCGAGCTTCTGCAACTGCTCCTAAAACAAAACAATGGTTACTTAAGAGGGTAGTAATTAGTTCCAAGTGTAATTCCAATAATCTTCATGCAGTATACCAAAAACAGTGGGTTTTTTTGTTTTGTTTTTTTCTTTTTTTTTTTTTTGAGATGGAGTCTCCCTCTGTCGCCCAGGCTGGAGTGCAGTGGCATGATCTCGGCTCACTGCAACCTCCACCTCCTGGGTTCAAGCGATTCTCTTGCCTCAGCCTCCCCGAGTAGCTGGGACTACAGGTGCGCATCACCACGCCCAGCTAATTTTTTTTTGTATTGTTAGTAGAGACGAGGTTTCACCATGTTGGCCAGGCTGGTCTTGAACTCTTGACCTCAGGTAATCCACCCGCCTCGGCCTCCCTGTCTCTACTAAGAATACAAAAAAATTAGCTGGGCATGGTGGCATGTGCCTGTAATCCCAGCTACTCAGGAGGCTGAGGCAGAAGAATCACGTGAACCCAGGAGATGGAGGTTGCAGTGAGCCAAGATCGTGTCACTGCACTCCAGCTTGGGTGACAGAGCAAGACTCCTTCTCAAAGTAAATAAATAAATAGGCTCATTTATTGTTTCATATTAATTCAGGTAATTTCTGTGAAGTTCACACCACATATTAGCTAAAACATTCCGAAGGCTGTGATGAGCGTGAGACCCCCAAGACTGGCCCTCGTCTCTAACCACAGGTGCTGTCATTTCTCGGATTTCCTTTGTCTGCTTATTCATATCACACATCAAAGACTCTTCCTCTTTAAGTCTACATTTCCTTTTTTTGCAACACAGAATATATTTAGATAATCTTTTCTAACTTATTTTCCTAGTCTCTAGCATATGAGTTACTATGCACTCACATTTACACAATTAATTGAGGATAAAAATTCATGACAATTGGCCAGGCGTGGTGGCTCACGCCTGTAATCCCAGCACTTTGGGAAGCCAAGGTGGGTGGATCACGAGGTCAGGAGTTCGAGACCAGCCTGGCCAAGATGGTAAAACCCCATCTCTACTAAAAATACAAAAATTAGCCAGGCATGGTGGCACGTGCCTATAATCCCAGCTACTTGGGAGGCTGAGGCAGGAGAATTGCTTGAACCCGGGAGGCACAGGCTGCAGTGAGCCGAGATCGCACCACTACATGCACTCTAGCCTGGGCGACAGAGCAAGACTCTGTCTCAAAAAAAAAAAAAAATTCATGAGAATCTTTAATAATTAGTTACATACTAAACATCCTTAAAAATACTTAAGTATTAAAATAACAGAAGCAAAAATCCGTAAGGCAAATCATTGAGTCAATGAAAACTTGTATTCAAACAAATCACTTAATATACTATATTCATTACTTCTGCTTTGCCTTACAAGCACTGTACACAGTCATCACTATGTTTGTAATTACATCACAAGCGACCCATCGAACAGGCCAATCCAGATGACTGCTGTTACTCATCTGGTTGGAGAGTTCTCTCTGGAGTCTCCTGCACCAAGTAATGAAAGACTTCCTCCCGAATAAACAAACAGAGGAGCCCGCAACTGAATGGCTTCAGTTACACAACGATAATTGTTTTAGAAGAGTTATCAAGAGCTCCAGCCTACTTCACAGGGTGAGGAACGAATTCACCGAGGATGCTAATAAGCAGCACAGGTGAGTGTTCTCACCGGGGACACATGTATCCCCAGCACACCAGCCAGGGAACTCAGGGTGACAGAACGCTGCTTGCTGCCCACCCGAGACAACCCATGGACTGCATACCAGCTTCCAAAATTTAGAGGGGAAGGGCCAGGGTAAATGTGGGAGGACTGTGAAGGCACAACACCGAAGCCTCAATTCCTTGCACAAGAAGAGGCAGCTAAGGCATGGGTGACCCTGGGATGAGCTTTCTGAAACAGTACAGGATCATGAACTGTTCTGATCCATCAATCAGGCTTGATGGCCTGATTCTTGTTGCCTCTGTTCACCACCACCTGGAAAGGAAGCATATGCCTTACACTGTAAAAGAAAACTGAATTACTGTTAAAATTTAACACAGATAATCTATTACTGAGGGTTAATCATAATAGCGGTCTTTAATCTCTCTGCCTAGAGAGATCACCATCTTCCATAGTTTTGAGAAGAAAGGCAGAAAAGCATTAGACAACATGAAATAAGTAAGTAAGCAGCCCCCAAGATCAATGGCTGCAACCAGCTTCGTCAGAAGCAAGTTACCTGCATTTCTAGAACCTGTTTCAGGGGTGGCGCAGGAGGGCTGGCCTCTCCTTCAGGAAGGGGAATATCAGCTCTATTAATTTCCTGTACCAAATACACTGTGAAAATAAAAGTTAAACAATTAGATACTAAAATGTACTATAATACATTTCAGTCAGAAACATTTTAAAGCCCAATGTTTCCCAAGCCATCTAAAAATCAATGTCTAAATGCACAAAAATCTTGCTTGTCCCAACTGACTTACTGGTCACTTTTTGCAACCTTGTTTCCAAAAATAATGCTGCCTAGAGAGATCTGCATGCAGTGACAAAATAAACAACAACCTCTTCTATTTCTTAGTGACTTAAAAAATAAATAAATAGAATGAACAACAACCTGGATAAACCTTTTCTGAAATTCCACCCATTTTTTTCATTTCTAATATTCTAGTGAAAGAACTTTTGAGTCGCAGCCATCTACAGGGGCAGAATGAAGCAGAGGTTAGGGGCGCACTTGGAAGTGCAGGAATTACCCAAGTGATAGACCTACAATAGCCCCTATGGGAGCTGGCAACATGATTTCTCGCAGATGCCCTCAGAAAGAAAAGGGCATCCATCAGTCCAACAAGAAAATCACAACCACTACCAGGAAACCCACCCAGCACCAAGAGCCAGGCTCTCTTGCAGCTCCCAGTCAGCCCTGAGGCTGTGGCTGAGGACAACCTGCACTGTTTCACCACTGAAGTTAAAAACTAGATTCAGAAGCCTGGCTGGGTCTTGCAATTGCTGCCCTCGGCAGCCTGGGGGGCAAGTGTCAGGGCAGCCCTAGAAATGGGCAAGTTCATGAAACCTGGGAAAATGGTGCCAGTCGTGGCCGGACACTACTCTGGACACAAAGCCAATCCTCATGAAGAAAACTGATGATGGCACCTCAGACCACACCTGCAGCCACCCTCTGGTGGCTAAAAAAGACCATTATTCCCACAGTGACAGCTGCCATGGGCAAGAAGATTGCCAAGAGGTCAAAGGTCAAGTCTTTTGTGAAGGTTTATAACTATAATGACCTCATGCCCACAGAGTACCCTGTGACCATCCCCTTAGACAAAACCACCAGGTTTTCAGAGACCCTGCTCTTAAATGCAAGGCCCAGTGGGAGGCCAAGATCAAGTTCAAAGAGTGGAACAAGACTGGCAAGAACAAGTGGTTCTTCCAGAAGCTGTGGTTTTAGATGTTTTTTGTTTCAGTCATTAAAACAAAACAAAACAAAACAAAACAAAACACCTAGATTCATGAAACTAATAGTACACCAGCCAAAACTAACTACTTTATTTGGTTTATGTTTTCGATTCCATGAAGCATCCCTTTCCTTAGGCTAAAAGTCACAATATCTGTTAGTCATTATCAGGCCTAATATTTAGAAGTGTTACTAACTGGTTTACAGAGGGAGAGAGGCAGGTAAAGAAGTAAGGAGGAAAAACAAAAAGAAAAAGAAAAGAAACTGTCTTACCAAGATAGCAAAGGAAGCACTGGGTCTAAGAGGTTTCTAGAAATGAACGCAAATTGTTTTAACCAATTTATACTTCAATTTATTCTTTTTTTTTTTAAGAGACAGGGGTCTCACTATGTTGCCCACGCTAGCCTTGAACTCCTGGGCTCAAGAAAGCCTCCTGCCTCTACCTTCAGAGTAACTGAGACTATAGGTATGTGCACCACCATGCCTGGCGTACACCTAAATTTCCTTGAGAGGTCCTTTTTCACTGTTTTAAGTCTGCATTCTTATGGGGTCATACCCTGCTGCCCAGGCTGGAGTACAGTGGTGTGTCATCCTGGCCCACAATAACCTCAAACTCCTGGGCTCAAGCAATTCTCCCACCTCAGCCTCCTGAGTAGCTAAGACTACAGGCACATGTCACCATGCCTGGCTAATTTTATTTTTTGTGGAGACAGGGTCTCAGTATGTTGCCCAGACTGCTCTCAAACTCCTGGACTCAAGTGATCCTCCCACCTTGGCCTCCCAAAGTGCTGGAATTATAGGCGTGAGCCATCGTGCCCAGCCCTGCATTCTTTTGAAACAGTTTAAGCTACAGGAAGTCCTGGATATACCTAATGTGTTATCACATTTGCCCTGCCTTTAAAAACCTTATTCTGAATACACCATCTATCCAATGACTCACCCAGGTTGCAAAGACAGGAATATGGTGCCACTAACGTACATGAACCACACAAATAACTAGGACCTCAAGCAATATGAATAGGACTAGATTTCAAATGACTAAAATTTCCTGTTACACTTAAAAATCCCCAATTTAAAAAAAATAGGCCGGGTGTGGTGGCTCACATCTGTAATCCCAGACCTTTGGGAGGCCGAAGCCAGTGGATCACCTGAGGTCAGGAGTGTAAGGTCAGCCGAGAGAAAGGAAGAATAGACCCAAAGTCAGGTGAGTAAGTTTATTGAACCTGCCGGCTGCTCCACGACAGAGGAGGCAGCCCTGAACTTACAAAATGAGGGGTTTATACGGGGGAGAGAGACCCTGGGGTCGTTTGTTGGTTAACTTTGCCATGTATCACCTTGTGACCTTTACAGTAGCAGCTAAATGAAGGAACTTACAGGAGGCCGTAGGCAAAGTTTGTTTAGGCTTCCCACAACCTCCCCCTGTGTGGTCCGGATGGTTTATAATTGTGTTTTGCTTATCGCAGGAAGGCCTGATAAGTGAAGTTTGCTGGCTTCACTGGGGCACCTAGATAAGGGCTTAGAAATGTTAAAGGGGCTCAGGGGGAGGGGTAGGCAGCACGGAGAGCTTTGGGGGAAGTGTTGGCAGTACCAAGAAGCTTTTTTGGGGCGGTTTGTCCCTAACAAGGAGTTCAAGACCAGCCTGGCCAACATGGTAAAACCCCATCTCTACTAAAAGTACAAAAATTAGCCAGGTGTGGTGGCACGCACCTATAGTCCCAGCTACTAGGGCGGCTGAAGCAGGAGAATCGCTGGAACCCAGGAGGCGGAGTCTGCAGTGAGCCAAGATCATGCCACTGCACTCCAGCCTAGGTGACAAAGCAAGACTCCATCTCAAAAAAAAAAAAAAACAAGCTTTGTCCTTCAGTTGACTGTCTGTCATTTTCCCTCCACTTCAGTGAGAATGTCAAGGCTTGATTTGATAATGACTAGTACCAGACTAAGATGGTAAAGACTTTAGAGATAAAAGAAGTGGCCCTGGGCTGCTTAGTTGAAATGGTTAACAATCAGCACTGATCTAACACACTGGCAAAGGAAGCCCTGAGAAAAAGGAAATTATTGTCAATCACTCTATCTTCCATTTCCCGCCTCCCTTGTTCCTTGAAAAAATTTTAAATTAAGTAACTTATTAACAAGTACAATGTTTTTAAGTTATAATAAACTACAAGGGATCGGTTAAATAAGCCACAGCACATTAATATTAATACAATCAAATAGTATGCTGCCATCAAAAACGATGATGGGTAAATATCTATGTCTACTGACACGAAAAGATGTTATAGTAAGCACTGTTAAGTAAAAAACAAGGGTAACAACAAAATAACCAGGCCATTATGTTTGTAAATTTTTACTTTTATAGATGAATAAAAAAATACAGAAAAATAATACATGCCTACATAACTGTGATTACTTCTGAATGAGAATACAATTTCTTTTTTTCCTTTCTGCTTGTCTATATTTTCCAATATTTTTAAACCGAACAAGGTTTGCCTATATAAAGGTAATTATTTAAGTTGTTAAATCAGAAAATAAACTTACCCAATATTCGCTCTAGCTCTTCACACCTCTTCACCTCACCAACAAATTTTCTTTGGAAAGAACTTACGTTCTGGTTGAGCTGAGAAAAGGATGAAAAATATGGTTTAAATTTCTAAAATTTAAAAATACTTTTATGTAAAAAATAAAACATCACCAAAGTTTGGGGGATGTACACTCTTGTATACTATTGAATGAAACTATAAACTGACACAACTTTTCTTGAGAGCAATTTGTCAACTGTTACCAAAAAAGCCTGAAAATCCAGCCGGGCCAACACGGTGAAACCCCAACCCTGCTAAAAATACAAAAATTAGGCCGGGGCGGTAGCTCACGCCTGTAATCCCAGCACTTTGGGAGGATGAGGCGGGCAGATCACTTGAGGTCGGGAGTTCAAGACCAGCCTGGCCAACATGGTGAAATCCCACCTCTACGAAAACACAAAAATTAGCCAAGCATGATGGCAAGTACCTGTAATCCCAGCTACTCGGGAGGCTGAGGTGGAAAAATTGCTTGAACCCAGGAGGCGGAGGTTGCAGTGAGCCAAGATCGTGCCATTTGCACTCCAACCTGGGCAACAGGGCAAGACACTATCTCAAAAAAAAAAAAAAAATTAGCCAGGCATGGTGGCGCACCTAAGTAATTCCAGCTACTTGGAAGGCTGAGGCACGAGAATTGCTTGAGCCCGAGAGGCAGAGGTTGGATGGAGCTGAGATCACACCACTGCAATCCAGCCCAGGTGACACAGTGAGACCCTGGGTCAAAAAAAGAAAAAATCCTGAAAATGATTATTTGCCCAGCAATACCCCATGAAGAAAATTTAACCTAAGGAAAAAGCTATGGAAACAGATGAAAATCTATGACAACATCAATCTCAGGGAAAAAGAAAAAATGATAACCCAAAAATCCAACAATAGAAAACTAGTTCAAGAAATTACAGTAGCGTAGTTAAAGAAATTATAGCCAGGCACAGCAGCTCGTGTTGATAATCCCAGCAATTTGGGAGGCTGAGGTGGGAGGACTACCTGAGGCCAGTAGTTTGAGGCCAGCCTGGGCAACATGGTAAGACACCATCTCTCCAAAAAATAAAAAATTAGCCAGGCCTGGTGGTGCACGCCTGTGGTCCCAGTTGCTCAGAAGGCTGTGGCAGGAGGATTGCTTGAGCCCAGGAGATCGAGATTGCAGTGAGCAGTGATCACACCACTGCACTCTAGCCTGGGTGACAAAGCAAGAGCCTGTCTCAAAAAAAAAAAAAAAAGAAAGAAAGAAAAGAAAAGAAATTACAGTCTATATCCACACAATGGAATGCTACTTAGCAATAAAAAGGAATGAACTACTGACCCATGCAACAACAGGGATGACTTTCTCTTTTTTTTTTTTTTTTTTTTTTGAGACAGAGTTTCGCTCTGTTGCCCAGGCTGGAACGTACTGGCAGTATCTTGGCTCACTGCAACCTTCGCCTTCCAGGTTCAAGCGATTCTCCTGCCTCAGCCTCCCGAGTAGCTGGGATTACAGCCAAGTGCCACCACCCCCGGCTAATTTTTGTATTTTTAGTAGAGATGGGGTTTCACCATGTTGGCCAGGCTGGTCTCAAACTCCTGACCTCAGATGATTCGCCCACCTCGGCCTCCCAAAATGCTAGGATTACAGGCGTGAGCCACCACGCCCACCCTGGATGACTTTCATACTAAGTGAAAGCAGCCAGACACAAGAAGCCACATACTGTGCGATTCCACTTACATGGAATGTCCAGACAACCCTAGAGGCAGCAAGCAGATTAGTGGGTGCTGGGGGGGTGGGGGTAGGAATAAGGATTAACTGTAAATGAGCATTAAGAATCTTCTGGGGTGATGGAATGTTCTAAAACAATTGTGGCAATGGATGCATGACTCTATAAACTCTTTTTTTTTTTTTTTGAGACAGGATCTCACTGTCGCCTAGGCTGAAGTCCAGTGGCGCAATCTCAGCTCACTGCAACCTCTGCCTCCCAGGTTCAAGCGATCCTCCTGCCTCAGCCTCCTGAGTAGCTGGGATTAAAGGCACGTGCCACCACACCCGGCTAATTTTTGTATTTTGGGTAGAGATGGGGTTTCGCCATGTTGTTCAGGCTGGTCTCAAACTGGTGGGCTCAAGTGATGTGGCTGCCTCAGCCTCCCAAAGTGCCGGGATTACAGGTGTGAGCCACTGCACCCGGCCTCCATAAACTTTCTAAAAATCATGGGTAAACTCTACCATACACCTCAATAAAGTTGTGTAAAAATGACCAGGTATTTGATTATATTAAGAAATGTTATTTAAATTTTCAGGTACAATGTTGGTAATAATTTTTTATCTTCTAGGCCAGGCCTGGTGGCTCATGCTTGTAATCCCAGCACTCTGGGGGGCCAAGGTGGGGGGATGACTTGAGGTCAGGAGTTGGAGACCAGCCTGGCCAACATGGTGAAACCCCGTCTCTACTAAAAATACAAAAATTAGCCAGGCGTGGTGGCGCGCGCCTGTGATCTCAGCTGCTCAGGAGGCTGAGGCATGAGAATCACTTGAACCTGGGAGGCAGAGGTTGCAATGAGCTGAGATCGCGCCACTGCACTCCATCCTGGGCGACAGAATTGAGACTCCATCTCAAAAAAAAAAAAGAAAAAAAATTCATCTTTTAGAGGTACTTGTTGAAAAGTTAAATTATATATCTTGGATTTGCTTCAAAATGATCTAGTCTGGGAAGTGAGAAAAAACTAAGTTTACATTTATGGGTACATGGGGGTACACTGTACTCTTCCCTCTACTTATAATATAAAGTTTAAAACAATTTTAAAAAGTTGTAAAAGAATATTTAATAAAATTAGGAAGTTAGTCATGATTTCTGTGTAAAGCAGATTAGGATGTTTTCAGTGTGGTTCAAATTATATAAAAATACATATATATGGACATTTTTAAACATTATTAGAGAAATGCTGATTGTCCAGTATTAGCCAAAAAGTTAAAGTTAATTTCTAGGCGTTGGGATCATGCAAGGTATGTTACTATTCTTATGTTTTCCACATTTCTCACAATGGTCATCTATCACTTTCATACTTCAACAATTTACAGTATATCATTCATGTTGAAAGCCATTTAAGACACGAAATTTATCTTTATTCCATCCAGGATTTGTACTGGGCACTCTCAAGAAACAGTTAAGATACAACTTGACATGAAACTGCTCAACCTGGTAAGTGTCTACTCAGTGTCTGACTCAGTTCTTGTTCATTTTTTGGGGACTTTTTTTTTAAAAGAACCAGAAAAAAGGTAAAAATTCTCATTTCACTTCTGTTTGTCACCTTCTCATTCATTTCTGGAGGTCGAACTAAAAGTAACCACTTCCAAGTTACTAATGATTCAGACACAATCTAGTTCTATGGAACTTGTTGGAAAGGAAGTTCTGTGTCTAAAGCTGTCACAGGATACTACTTCTCAGCTTTCATTTTCTTCCTTCAATATCAAATAGTACTTAACTCTAAATGGGCATGATGTTTCTACAAATAGTAGAATCTTTATTTATAAAGAGGTAAATTTCTGTGGCAATAATACAAACATGGATTTCACATACATACACCACCATCACCAGCTTACATATATTAACTTTTTTTTGAGACGGAGTCTCGCTCTGTTGCCAGGCTGGAGTGCAGTGGCGCGATCTCAGCTCACTGCAACCTCTGCCTCCTGGGTTCAAGTGATTCTCCTGCCTCAGCCTTCTGAGAGTAGCTAGGACTACAGGCACACCCCGCCATGCCCAGCTAATTTTTGTATTTTTAGTAGAGACAGGGTTTCACCATGTTGGCCAGGATGGTCTCGAACTCTTGGCCTTGTGATCTGCCCGCCTTGGCCTCCGAAAGTGCTGGGATTACAGACGTGAACCACCGTGCCCAGACATATTAACTTTTTTTTTCTATTGTGTGGTTTCTTTTATAAATTTTGGGTTTTTTTTCCCTTTTAGGGCAGCACCCTAATTCAAGGCTAATGGAATAAGGTACATTTTAATGTAGATTCAATTCAAGGCACATTTAACCTAGTAAAACCGGCAGAGGAGATCTGGTGCTGTTTGTTTTGATATTCACAGCCATTGATACTCCCACTTCAGCTGAAGGACTAAAGAGGAAACCTGTTCTTAGACTGAGAACTGTAACAAAAGTGCGAACTTTCCCTTCAGGGAGTCCTCCCCATCAGCTGAATGACCTTTCTTTTCCAGGTACTTCCCACTAGCTGTCACCACGGAAGTCACCACCTGCCCCCCTTTCCCTTGCAAGGGTTACTAACAGTGATCCCATCTGGTCACCACAAAGTCAGTAGGAAACTCAGGCTGAAGACACACTGAAAACCTAGCACCACACAAGAGCTCATCGCAGCAACCTTAGTTTTACTTCCTTCTGGAAAAAGATGAACAGCACTTTCTTCTCCTTTCACTGACATTCAGTTGAAAAGGATCCCAGGTACACTCTATGACTGGAGGTAGTGGCGCTTATTGAAACTGGAACCTTCATAGTGATTAGTACGTTTGCTCAAACCTGTAAGACTGAAGTGTGATAAGTGTCTTGGCTTGAGTACTAACCGGAAGGAAAACATCTACCTGTTACAAATGTAGGAGCCTGCTGCACCTGCAGCTGTTGCCTGAATGTTTTGGGTGCTATTCACAGCTCAGCGCAGCATCCATCAGGTGAATGGGTACAACTGCAGAAGTGGCTCCAGGAACCAGGAACCGCCCTGCATCTTACCTGCACCCTCGCCTGTCACTCAGGAGTCTCTCCATGACTTTGCAACTGCCTTATGGGGCTGATCTGGTATTAGATATCTGATATCAATGGATATCAGATCTCGGGTAGGGCTGATCCCTTTTGAAATTAAGGACACCTTAGGAAGATTAAGGGAAACAGTCAGGAGATGAAAGTGGTGGCCAGGAAATAAAATGTTCGCCTGAGTGGATTTCAATTCAGTCAGTAAGTACTTGCTTCACGGTCTCCCTTCCACACCCTGTTCTTTGCCTTCTTAGCACTTATCACAGCTCATAATCAGAGTGTGTTTAATCTGTCTCCTCCCACACTGGAAGCTCCAGGAACACAGGGACTGTGTCTGCCTTGCTCACCACCGAGTCTCCAGCACCAAAAACAGTGCCTGAACATAGCGGGCAGTCAAGAAAAGCTTGTCTGTTCATTCAACAAATGCCTATCGATGCCAATGACTGCCAAGGACTGCGTTAAGGTACTTACTCTCAGAGGTTGACAGTCCTTGGTGGAGACAAACAATAAACAAGTAAATGGACAAACAAATGTTTATTATTACTTGTTGGGGAGACAGCTTCCACTCGACAAACAATGACTGAGTTCTTAAGTCCTTACACACAATGGTATGTACAGCATTAAGCATCAGTGACCAAAACACAAAAATCCCTCTCCTCAAGCAGATGACATCCAGCTCCTTCCCATTTCTGGCTCTGTCTGGGCTCCTCCTGTTCCCTCCAACAAGGACCCTCTCCCCAGATCTTCCCCACGGCTGGCTCCTTTCTATTTGGGTCTCAGCTGAAATATCACCTTCTCCGGGAGGCTTCCTCGACAATCCCTTCACACTCACCTCCCGCCCGAATCACCTTCACATCACCCCGTTTCTTCTTTATGGCAAACCTTTTCTGGTTGACCTATTTATTTGGTTAATGCGCCCCCCTAACCCCCGTAAAGTTCCAAAAGGACTCCAAGAGGCCTTTGTGGGATTTGTTCTCCCGCTGAGCTCGGTGCCCGGAGCTGATGAAGACCACACGGGCGATCCTAACTAACTGGGGCAGAGCAGCCGCCGACCACACAGACGGCCGGCGACCCTGGAGTCAGCCCCGCGCTCCGGGAAGCTTTGGCCGCTGAGCTGGGGTGTCATCTTCCCCGTCTGGACAATGGGGACGGGGCGCGCCCTTCCTCGGTGCTCCCCGCGGGAGGGCCCCAGCGATGCGCGGGATTGGGGGCGCCAGGAGAGCAGGTGCGGCCCGCGTCTCCCGGGCGACACTCACGTCTCGGAACTGGACCAGGCCTTTCTCGCCCAGGGCGCTGAGGCACTCGTAGGCCGTGCCCGACTGCAGGAAGAGCTGCGCCAGGCACATGGTCTCGCTCCGGAACAGGGACCCCATGGCGGGCCGACCCGCGCCCGGAGGGGCTCGATGGGCGGCGGCGGCTCCGAGCCGCGCGGGCCCGCACACTCAGCCGGTGCGGCCCGGGCCTCGAGCTCTTCCTGTGGCCTGGCCGCGGCCCCGCACTATGGGGCTCCAGACTGCAGCGGCCGCCCCCGGTTCTGCCACCGCGGCCGCCGCTCCAGCTGCCGCCACAGCAGTCCGCGAGGTCCCGCCCCCAAGCCACTGCCGGTTCCGGTTCCGCCCCCGCGTCCCGCCCCCCCCGCCGGCCGACCAATGGACGCCCGAGGTTGTCGCCGCACGACGTGGCGGCAGGGCCAACCAGCGCGAACCCGGCGGGTACGACCACTGCAGCTGGCGCTCCGCCGGACTGGACGCAGAGCTAAATCCCGCGCGGCTCCCCGGCTTTCCTGGAGGAGTCTCGCCGAGTGTGCACGCCGCGAAGCTCACCCGTTCCTAGTGCACGACCCTGTGCTGCTGCGTGTGTGTGTGTGTGTGTGTGTGAGAGAGAGAGAGAGAGAAACGGAATCTCACGCAGTCCCACAGGCTGGAGTGCAGTAGCGCGATCTCGGCTCACTGCAACCTCCGTCTCCCAGGTTCAAGCGATTCTCCAGCCTCAGACTCCCCAGTTGCTGTGACTACAGACGCGCGCCACCCGCGTCCAGCTAATTTTTTTGTATTTTTAATAGAGACGGGGTTTCACCATGTTGGCCAGGCTGGTCTCAAAACTCCAGAGCTCAGGTGATCCGCCTGCCTCGGCCTCCGCAGTGCTGGGATTACAGGCGTGAACCACTGCGCCCGGCCCTGCTGCTGGTTTTTTATGGATAGGGTTTCCCTCTGTGGCCCAGGGAGGAGTGCAGTAGCACGAGCTCGGCTCGCTGCAACCTTGACCTCCTGAGCTCAAGCGATCCTCCCACCTCAGCCTCTGGAGGAGCTGGGATTACAGACGCGCGCCATCACACCCGGCTAATTTGTTTTTAAAATGTTTATAGAGAAGGGGTTTCATCATGTTGGCCAGGCTGGTCTCGAACTCCTGAACTCAAGCAATCCTCCCGCCTTGGCCTCCCAAAGCGCTAGGATTACAGGCGTGATCCGCCGCCCGGAGGGATCCTAGGCTTCTTCGTGAAGTTGGAGTGTGCAGCCAGCATCCCAATCCAGTTTTCAAACATTTCCCACCGACCTCGCAAGACTCCTCCTGCTCAGTTGCAGTCTCCCCTTCCCGCCCGGCCTGGCCACCACAGGACAATTTTGTCTCGCTAAATTTGCCACCTCCAGGCTTGTCCTGTCGATGGAATCACACAGCACCCAGTGTGTGTTCCCCACACTGACCGGGAAGCAGTGGCCCCCCGCCCCAGGCCGCAACCTCACCGCTGTCCCAGTCGAGTCTCTGCTTACATATCCCCTTCCTTGAGACTGTCCCTGGAGTCACATCCTTGTTCTATTTCCTTCACTGCACCTGCCACCATCTGAAATTATCTTGTCTGTGTGTTAGTGCCAGTCTTCCCTGCTAGAATGGAAGCTCCACCAAGGTGGGGACATTGTTTCTGCCACTGTGGTATCTCCAAGCCCCAGCACATAGTAGCCACTCAATAAATAGTTCATGAATGCATACATAAATGTATAAACTTAAAAAAGTTAAAACCATAGACACTCCAGACCCCATTCTGCCAAACTGAGTTTTTTCCTTCTTTTAAGTACAAAAGGCGTCCTCACAAAGCCCACAAAATCAAGCTAAATTACCTGTCATTTGGAAGTTTTAAATTTATTTTCCATAAATACCTGAAATCCAAAGCTAGTTACACTAGGCTGGGTGCCCTGGCTCACTCCTGTAATCCCTGCACTTTGGGAGGCTGAGGCAGGTGGATCACTTGAGGTCAGGAGTTTGAGACCAGCCTGGCCAACATGGCAAAACCCCGTCTCTACTAAAAAAATATAAAAATTAGCTAGGCGTGGTGGTGGGCACCTGTAGTCCCAGCTACTCGGGAGGCTGAGGCAAGAGAATCGCTTGAACCTGGGAGGTGGAGCTTGCAGTGAGCTGAAATGGCATCCCTGGACTCTAGCCTGGGCAACAGAGTGACACTCTGTTTCAAAAGAAACAACAACAACAAAAAGATACAGTAAGAACTGTGAAGGTGAATTCAAAGGCTGAAGTTCAGACAATAATTGACTCAGACCCCAGCTCCGTCAGTCCAGTACTGACCCAGATTCCTGAGTCAGCCCTAGAGGGGTCGGGTGAAGGCCCAACACCACCACAGTACAGATGCTGAAATTCACGGTATTTCCATCATGCAGAAACTTAGGACCTCTGCAGTGACTAGCTCATCCCCCTATTTGAAAGTGGACTCAGGCCGGGCGCAGTGGCTCATGCCTGTAATCCCAGCACTTTGGGAGGCCGAGGCGGGTGGATCACGAGGTCAGGAGATCGAGACCATCCTGGCTAACACAGTGAAACTCCGTCTCTACTAAAAATACGAAAAATTAGCTGGGCATGGTGGTGGGTGCCTGTAGTCCCAGCTACTCAGGAGGCTGAGGCAGGAGAATGGCGTGAACTCGGGAGGCGGAGCTTGCAGTGAGCAAAGATCACGCCACTGCTCTCCAGCCTGGGCAATAGAGCAAGACTCCGTCTCAAAAAAAAAAAGAAAAAAGAAAATGGACTTAAGACTGGAGGAAAATTTGAAATTGCCCCTGGGCAGGAACTCTGCAGCGAAGATGAAACAGCACATTTTATGTGGTGCTGGGTATCAGCAGGCACTAGGAATTCGATCAAAAAGTATAAAAGGGAAAATAATTATTTTTCAAAATTAGGCTTAAATAACATAGAAAATCCATCTGAAACAACTAAGTTACCTGGCACACAAAGAAAACTTACAGGTGATGTGCCATGTGGCCACTGTAGGACCGTGGCTAAAAACATCTATTCCAGGGCTGGGCACAGCAGCTCATACCTATAATCCCAGCACTTTGGGAGGCTAAGGCAGGTAGATCACTTGAGCCTAAGAGTTCGAGACCAGCCTGGGTAACATAGGGAGACCCCCTTCTCTACAAAAAAAAAAAATACAAAAACTAGCCAGGTACAAGCCTGTGGTCCCAGCTACTTGGGAGGCTAAGGTGGGAGGATCACTTGAGCTCAGGAGGTCGAGGCTGCAGTGAGCCGTAATTGTGCCACTGCTCTCCAGCTCTCCAGCCTGGGTAACAGAGTAAGACCGAGTCTCAAAAAAAAAAAAAAAAAAAAAATCCATTCTCCCCACTGAGTGGGGTTGACTGTTCCCATGTGACGGCCCATGGGAGAAATTTGTCAAGACTCAGCTAGGAAAAACTGTCCTTCATTGATAACCAGTTAATTTTTAATGAATAGATTTCATAATTCCTGTATTAATGAATAGATTTCATAATTCCTATAGCTAATCATACTTGGGTTTTTGTAAACTGGGGTCTTGGTTGGGCATAGTGGCTCCTGCTGGTAATCCCAGCACTTTGGGAGGCTTAGGTGGTAGGATCGCTAAAGCCAGGAGTTTGAGACCAGGCTGGGCAACATAGCGAGACCCCCATCTACTAAAAAAAAAAAAAAAAAAAAAAAAAAAAAAAATAGCCAGGCGTGGTAGCTGTGTGCCACCTGTAGTCCCAGCTACTTGGGGGAGAATCGCTTGATCCCAGGTGTCTGAGTTTACAGTGAGCTATAATCGTGCCACTGCACTCCAGCCTGGGCAACAGAGGGAGAACCTGTCTCCAAAAAACAAATAAATAAATAATGAATTAGGGGCCTGCTTCTGCTAAAGGCAACCTCTGGCATGTATTTTAGGGCTTACATGTGCCCCTGGTTTTGTTTTACTTTTCTCTTATTATTTTCCTCCCGCAGCCCCCATATCTTTCCCCATCAGTGATTTTGTGTTTTTGTATTACATGCATTTTTAAGGATTTCTTAATCCTTTCTACGGAATATGGGAAACATCAATCAACACGAATGTATTAAAAACTAAAGAAAAGACTGATTCTCTCTGGTATAAATAAAACTCCTATGACTTTAACTAATTTGTGATAAGCTAAAATTTCTAACATTTTTGAGTTCTTCTCATGCATTTTACTCAGTTCAGGCCAGCGATGAGAATATTCATTCTGCATTGGATAGCTACATATATGAATTAAAGTCACAGGGCACTTAATAAAAATTTTCTACAAAAATAAGACATTTCATTTATTAAAATTTTATAGAGAAGCATACAAGACTACAACAAATCACTGAAGTCAAGGTCTAAAGTCTTTGAGAAGTCAGATGGACCGGACGCAGTGGCTCACGTCTGTGATCCCAGCACTTTGGGAGGCCGAGGTGGGCAGATCATCTGAGCTCAGGAGTTACAGACCACCCTGGGCAACAAGGCGAAACCCCGTCTTTACCAAAAATACAGCCAGGCATGGTGGAGCATCTGTGGTCCCAGCTACACCAGAGGCTGAGGTGGGAGGATTGCTTGGGAGGCAGAGATTGCAGTGAGCCGAGATTGTGCACTGCACTCCAGCCTGGGTGACAGAGACCCCGCCTCAAAAAAAAAAAAAAAAAAAAAAAGGCCGGGTGCGGTGGCTCATGCCTGTAATCTCAGCACTTTGGGAGGCCAAGATGGGCGGATCATGAGGTCAGGAGTTCGAGAGCAGCCTGGCCAATACGGTGGAACCCTGTCTCTACTAAAAATACAAAATTAGCCGGGCGTGGTGGTGCATGCCTGTAATCCCAGTTCTCCGGAGGCTGAGGCAGGAGAATCGCTTGAACCCAAGAGGAGGAGGTTGTGGTGAGCCGAGATCACTTCAGCCTGGGCAACAAGAGCAAAACTCCATCTCAAAAAAATAAAAGCCAGGTGGTTGTCTAACTATAGGCTTTGCATATTCTGGTCCAGGGGTTGCTGAGGAACAAGGCCAATGTGAGGAACAACAGCAACAGTAAGCCCTTAGCAACACACTGAGAATGCAGCTCCCCTGAAAAACAATGGACAAAATTCAACAGCAGTATTTCTTAACTCTTTTGATAACAGTGTAGGTATAGGCTGGGTGTGGTGGCTCACTCCTGTAATCCTAACACTTTGGGAGGCCAAGGAGGGCGGATCACTTGAGGCCAGTTCGAGACCAGCCTGGCCAGCACAGTGAAACCCCGTCTCTACTAAAAATACAAAAATAGCCAGGCATATTGGTGCTGTAATCCCAGCTACTCCAAAGGCTGAGGCACGAGAGTTGTCTGAACCCAGGAGGCAATGGTTGCAGTGAGCTGAGATTGTGCCACTGCACTCCAGCCAGGGTGTCAGAGCAAGACTCTCTAAAAAAAAAAACAGTGTAGGTAGAAATAAACTAAGCCAAAACAGTAATGGTGATCACTTCCAAGTGGCAATATTATCCGTACTTTTTTTTAAGTTTCTATATGTTTTATGCTTTCTGTAACATTTAGACATCATTTAAAAAATTTTTTTAAATTGACATAACATAATTGGTCATAGAAATCTGTTTCACCCTACCTTGATAATACTGAGTCCATGGATATAGAAGCTGCGGCCAACACACCTCATTTCTGTTGCAGTCATACTCTGTATAATTGATCTGGAATCTAGAAAACATTTTAGAGGGTTACAAAAACTACAAGTGAGAAGTATCAGAACTTGATTAAAGGAATAAACTTCCAATTTTCAAATATATATTTTTCTGCTTCCTAATGTCAACTAGGTGAGCAACTGGAGTACCTTGTCAGGGGGTGGGGTAACTGTGCAGGAATTTTAATAAACTGGACGGATGCACTGATAGGGAGAAGGTCGGCCTTGTGCTCACAGGTAAGCCCACACTGGTACTGCCAGTTCACTGAGGAGAACCTAGGAGGGAAAGATCACATGGTCAGCATAGCCACCATTCAGTTCTATTCCACCAAGAACAGCAGGTAACGGATGCAATCACAATATAACCTGAGGTTCTCCTAAGAAGTTTCGCATTCTACCTGGGCTGTTTTTTCTCAGTATTTGTCCATGGTCTTTGACCATTTCCACAGACAGATCCAAAGAGAAGAGAAACTCCTAATAACCCCTCATGGGCCTGTCGCCCAGCAACATCTGCCAGTCTTGTTGTCAGTCTCACTCCTCTCCAGCCAGTGCATTGTATACAGGTGCTATCAAAGGTACCTTTGTTCATCACCTGTTTTTCTCAAACAATATAATAATAAAAGCAGCAGCTAGCCACTTATTGAGGGCTTTCCACGTTCGAGGCACAGAGATAACTTGCTTGCAACACACCATCTCATGTTATCCTCAGAAGAGTACTGCGGAGGTGGTAACTGCACTCCCATTTTCCCTTGCAGAGCCACCACTCTCCATTTCCAGTTCAGTGGAGCAGAAGGAATTGGCCCTAATCCAGAGGTGCACCCATCACCTGAGCCTAGCCAATAAGAGCTGTCCATTGCCCCAGTCATAGGGATTGGTTCAGAAAGGAGCACATGACCTAAACTGAACCAATAAAAGTCTGCCCAGATCTATTTTGAGAAAGAGGAGGGGCCGGGCACGGTGACTCATGCCTGTAATCCCAGCACTTTGGGAGGCTGAGGCAGGCAGATCACCTCAGGTTGGGAGTTCAAGACCAGCCTGACCAACATGGAGAAACCCCATCTCTACTAAAAATACAAAATTAGCCAGGCGAGGTGCCACATGCTTGTAACCTCAGCTACTTAGGAGGCTGAGGCAGGAGAATCGCTTGAACCCGGTTGGTGGAGGTTGCAGTGAGCCAAGATGGCACCACTGCACTCCAGCCTGGGCAACAAGAGCAAAACTCCGTCTCAAAAAAAAAAAAAAGAAAGAAAGAAAGGAAAGAGGAGGAAAGGGGCTTTCTCCCCACTGGACTTGCTGCAGTGACATAAGCCTGGATTGCTGGTGCTGATCTTTGCCATCTCTTGAGGAGAACCTCCCTGAGAATGAAGCCAACCCAAAGGAAGAGGAGCTGAGATACGAAAACAAAAAGATCCCTGACCACACTGGAACCATGAACCATGAACTAGCTGTATGTGGATTACTCTGAACTTGAACCAATAAACTCCCCTTTTTGCTTAAGTCAGTATGAACTGGGCGCCTGTCACTTAAAACCGATGGAGGCAGGCTGGGCGCGGTGGCTCATGCCTGTAATCCCAGCACTTTGGGAGGCCGAGGCGGGCGGATCATGAGGTCAGGAGATTGAGACCATCCTGGCCAACAGGGTGAAACCCTGTCTTTACTAAAAATACAAAAATTAGCTGGACATGGTGGCACGTGCCTGTAATCCCAGCTACTCGGGAGGCTGAAGCAGGAGAATCGCTTGAACTAGAGAGTTGGAGGTTGCAGTGAGTCAAGATATTGCCACTGCACTCCAGCCTGGAGACGGAGCAAGACTCTGTCTCAAAAAAAAAAAAAAAAAAAACTGATGGAGGCTTGATACATAAAGGTATTATCACCATATTACAGAGGAGGAAACTACAGCTCAGAAAGGTTAAGTAATTGGCCAGTGTCACACAGCTCCTAAGTAGGACAGCCATGATTTGAACCTATCTGCTGCCAAAGTCTCTAACCACAGACAATATTCTCTGATCAGATTATCAGTTACATCCATGGATTTCAAAATATACTTAGTACTAAGGGGCCCTTTATTCATCTTTGTACTCCCTAAAATAACTTGCAGACTCTCTTACATATGGCTTTATAAATACTTGTGAGAATAAGTCTCCATTATACACATAGTTCGTACATATTCCATATGTGCATATAAACATCTTGCTAATAATTGCAAGTTGTAAATAAACAATCAGTTTCTAAATAAACATTTCCCTATTGTTTGGGATGCTCTCAACTTTCCTGACTCTCTCTAAACTACGGTGATCCAAGATGTGATCATACCTTGTCTCTACACCGAGTATCTCCTGCTGAGTAATCCCTTCCACCGCGCCAGCATCCGAGATGAGGATGCGGATGCTCAGGTGAGCAGGAATATCCAGGCACATGCCGTTCACACTGCTAGCCAGCGGGTCTGCACCTGGATCAGGGGCATCTACACCTATAGAAATGTTAAGTTATACACTTTTCAAAGAATAATTTGATAAGTTTTCCTACAATGTCGTAATAACCAAAATGGGGAATAATATCAGGCAGGCATCACATTAATGAGGCTTTAGTCTCTTACAGGCTCTAGTTACTTGTCACTCCATAACTGTGTTATCCCTTAAAGTCTACAAGGCATAGGATGGCACTAATAAAAATTGTGTTTAAAATGTTTCCTTGTATGGGCCGGGTGCGGTGGCTAACGCCGTAATCCCAGCACTTTGGGAGGCTGAGGCGGGCAGATCACGAGGTCAAGAGATCGAGACCATTCTGGCCAACATGGTGAAACCCCATCTCTACTAAAAGTATAAAAATTAGCTGGGCGTGGTGGTGCTCGCCTGTAGTCCCAGTTACTTGGGAGGCTGAGGCAGGAGAATGGCGTGAACCTGGGAGGCGGAGCTTGCCGTGAGCCAAGATCACACCACTGCACTGCAGCCTGGCGACAGAGGGAGACTCTGTCTCAAAAAAAAAAAAAAAAAAAAAGTTTCCTTGTATGTTAGCCAGTCACTGGAACTTAAAAGCCCTGACCCACATATTAAAGCCATAAATCATGATTCAGTTTCCAAGCTCCCACTGAAATCTACCCAGCCTTTTAACAGAAACATATATAATTGCAGTGAAATGCCATCGTTATTCCATGCAGTCACAGTTCTAGTAAAAGCTGTGTAAGACATTTAAAATCCATACTAACAACTTTAGGCCAGGCACAGTGGCTCATGCCTATAATCCTAGCACTTTGGGAGGTCAAGGTAGAAGCACTGCTTGAGCCCAGGAGTTTGAGACCAGCCTGGGCAACATAGCAAAACCCTGTCTCCTCGAGAAAAATAAAATAGCCAGTCATGGTGGCACACACCTGTAGCACACACCAGCTACCCAGAAGGCTGAGGTGAGAGGATTGCTTCAGCCTGGGAAGTCAAGGCTGCAGTAAGCCGTGATGGCATGGCACCACTACATTCCAGCCTGGACAAAAGTGAGAACCTCATCTCAAAAAATAAAAATAAAAATCAGTCGGGCGTGGTGGCTCACGCCTGTAATCCCAACACTTTGGGAGGCTGAGGTGGGTGGATGACCTGAGGTCAGGAGTTCGAGACCAGCCTGGCCAACATGGTGAAACCCTGTCTCTACTAAAAATACAAAAATTGGCCAGGTATGGTGGCGCACACCTGTAATCCCAGCTACTTGGGAGGCTGAGGCAGGAGAATCACTTGAAACCTGGGAGGTGGAGGTTGCAGTGAGCCGAGATCATGCCACTGCACTCCAGCAACAAAGTGAGACTCCATCTCAAAAAAAAAATAATGATAATAATTGAAAAAAAAATAATAATAAAACAAAATCCACACTAACGACTTTAATTAGTATGTATTAGATAGGTAAGTAATTTCCTAATGTGTTACCATAGTATTAATACAATTGGAAGAGAATGAAATTGAATGAGAAATGAATTTGCATTCGTCTTGGAGAAAACCCAGCAAGGTCAATTGGAGGAAGTAGGGTAGGTTCTATGGCTCCTCTGAAGGGGGTTCTTTGCTCCTTCAGGGATTCCGAAGGTCAGTAACACTGTTTTATGTCTAATTTCCTTATACATGTGTCAACACCACTTCTCTTCTGCTTATTAACCAGGATCAAGGTTGCTTTTTGGCTCAGACATGAAATAAAAGCTAACCCCTTCCACCTTGAAGGCAACAAAATGTCATCACCACACTGATTTCGTACCTCATCAACCTGGGTTCTCCGTCTGGACATTTTCCCTACCGTTTATTTCCCAACTGCTGACTTTTCTCCAGCCCTCAGGGTCATTCCACAGCCTATCTAGCTGGCCTGGGTGGCAGAGCCCAGGGCTTGACAAGCTCGACCTCTGGGTTCCGTTTGCAAATGAGGATCTAGGTCTGGGCCCAGTGCCTTGAGCACCAGCTAGATGAGCAAACAGCAGCCTGAGTGCCCCGTGGGGGTGGAGTCCAACAGGACTCCCTCCCCAAGTCAGAGAGTGGTCTGGGGCACCTCAAGCTCACAGACATATCACATTATCCATGACCAAGAGGGGGAAGGGAGGGTCCTCATCACCATGACCCCAATCACAAGGAGTAGGCACAATACAGGTGTGTGTCTGTATGGGCCGTTGTGTGAATTCCAGCCTACTGAGCCTAGCTGACCTCAGAGGAGATGGAAAGGGTAGGGACAGGATCCAGAGGGCTGATCCCTACCCACCAGGCAGAGGAGAGGGGCAGAGCAGCATCTGCAGGGAGAGCTGGGCAGGGGCAAAGCAGATGCGCACACTCATTGGGCTCTTTCTGGTCCCAAAAGGCAATTCCATTAATTAGCTCAATAAAAAAAGCTTTCCATTCAAAGTATTTACAGACTCAAGGCTCCCCAAGAAACCGGGAAGTTACCTAACTTGCTACCAGGGAACAGAGGAAAGAGGTTGGAACCCCAGGTTTTCATTCTAGCTCTGCCAAAACTCACTGTGACCTTAGGCCTCTCCAACATAACCCGATGAGCTGGATCTCCATGACTCAAAGGATATTTTGGATTCAGAGGTGAAATCAGGCCTGATGAAGAAGCTTTAAAGTCTGGTTTACCTTTATTCCATGTACATGTGGTATATCTTTTTCCCTTTGTGTACGAGCTACTTGCCAATTCAACACTGCAAATACCTTTGGCCAGAGGCACTGAGCTGTCAAGTCTTTCTATCTGGCCCCCATGATCCCTGCTATTATTAGATCTGTTGCACCCTTTTTTTTTTTTTGTGAGACGGAGTCTTGCTCTGTCGCCCAGGCTGGAGTGCAGTGGCGCAATCTCGGCTCACAGCAAGCTCCGCCTCCCGGGTTCCTACCATTCTCCTGCCTCAGCCTCCCGAGTAGCTGGGACTACAGGCGCCCACCACCACGCCCGGCTAATTTTTTTTTTTTATTTTTAGTAGAGACGGGGTTTCACCTGTGTTAGGCAGGATGCTCTCGATCTCCTGACCTCGTGATCCACCCGCCTCGGCCTCCCAAAGTGCTGGGATTACAGATATGAGCCACCGTGCCCAGCCGATCTGTTGCACCTTAATTACTTTCTTTCCTGACAGCTTTATTGAGATATAATTCACATACTATACAATCCACCTACTTAAAGTGTGCAATTCGATGGTTTCTGGTATAGTCACAAAGCTGTGACTATCAGCAGATTCTATTTTAGAACATTTTATCACTCTGCGAAGAAATCCTTTACCCACGGCAGTCTCTCCCCATTTCCTCCCAACTCCTCCACCTCCGGCATCCACTAATCTGCTGTCTCTATACATTGCCCATTCTGGACATTGCATATAAATTGAGTCATACAATATGTGGTCTTTTGTGTCTGGCTTCTATCACAATATTTTCAATCACTTTATTTTCTTTTAAGTTAACAAAATTACCTTTATAAATTACAAAGTCAATTCTCAAATGCCTGTATTCCTGGCAATCAAAAACAGCAATGCAAACTGAAGTGCACTAACAATCTTCAAACCTTGCTTGGACTTTGTTTTAATGTATTTTATTTTATTTTGTTTTATTTTTAGAGTCAGGATCTTGCTCTGTCATCCAGGTTGGAGTGTGATGGTGTAATCAGAGCTCACTGTAGCCTCAAACTCCTAGGCTCCAGCGATCCTCTTTCCTCAGCATCCCAAGTAGCTGGGACTGCAGGGACATGCCACCACATTCGACTAATTTTTTAAATTTTTCATAGAGACAAGGTCTCACTATGTTGCCCAGGCTGGTCTTAAACTCCTGGCCTCGGCCTGGCACGGTGGCTAACGCCTATAATCCCAGCACTTTGGGAGGCCGAGGCAGGTGGATCACGGGGTCAGGAGTTCGAGACCAGCCTGGCCAACATGGTGAAACCCCGTCTCTATTTAAAAAATACAAAAATTAGCCAGGTGGTGGTGGGCGCCTGTAATCCCAGCTACTTGGGAGGCTAAGGCAGGAGAATCACCTGAACCTAGGAGGCAGAGGTTGCAGTGAGCCGAGATTGTGCCATTGCACTCCAGCATGGGTGACAAGAGCAAGACTCCGTCTCAAAAAAAACCAACCAAACAAACAAAAAAACTGGCCTCAAGCAATCCTCTTGCATTGACCTCCCAAAGTGCTGGGATTATAAGTGTGAGCCACTGCTCCCAGCCTAGACTTTCTTTCACAAAGACTGTTGTTGGCCAGGCGCAATGGCTCATGCCTGTAATCCCAACATGGTTGGGGTTTAAGAGGTTGGGGTGGGCAGATCACTTAAGCCCAGGAGTTAATGACCAGCCTGGGCAACATGGCGAAACCCATTTCTACAAATAATAAAAAAATTAGCCAGATGTGGTGGCGCACACCTGTGGTTCCAGCTACTTGGAAGGCTGAGGCGGGAGGATCCCTTGAGCCTGGGAGGATGAGGAGGCAATGAGCTGTGATTGCACCACTGCACTCCAGCCTGGGTGACAGAATGAAACCCTGTCTCAAAAAAACAAAAACAGAAAATCAAAAAAGTCATTGTGAATAAGAAGAAAAAGACATGCCAAGTTTCCTGCCTGGAGATCTAACCCCTGGGCAAACGTCCAGTTAAGCCGCAGTCAAGCCTCAGGAAGATGACCTACTGGGTTGGGCTCTAATGCTGCGACTACAGTTGGTAGTCACAGCAACCAAGTTACAGGCTTTATTGTACCCGGGTTTGACTTACGTATTATTTCGAGCCAGCCATCACTAAGATCAGCGTAATCGGAGTTGCCTCTCATTGCAACGTGAGTCGCTTGTATTAATGAATCAAGTCTTTCAACAGCATTCTCCCTGCAAGAGAGTAAGACATTTCTCAGCTCATGGCCAGCAGGTCTTGTCCTAAAGTCATTTCCAGTGAATGTCCGGGTTTCACTTCCGAGTGCCTAAATTAAAAACTGCCAGAGGAACTGGCATTAAAAACTGGCTGGGTGTCACCCATGGACTAGGTGTGTCTGATGGCCTTCCCAGGATGGACCCACACACCTGGGGGAGAACATACAGAAGCAATCTTTTACTTTAGACTTAAAATGTTAGTAACTTGGCCGGGTGCAGTGGCTCACACCTGTAATCCCAACCCTTTGGGAGGCTGAGGTGGGAGGATTGCTTGAGCTCAGGAGTTCAAGACCAGCCTGGGCAACAGGGCAAAACCCTGCCTCTACAAAAAATACAAAAATTAGCCAGGCATGGTGGTATGCACCTATAGTTCCAACTACTTGGGAGGCTGAGGTGGGAGGAGCGCATAAGCCTGGTGGGGTTAAGGCTACAGTGAGCTGAGATCGTACCACTGCACTCCAGCCTGGGTGACAGAGCAAGATCCTGTCTCAAAAAAAAAAAAAAAATGTTAGTAACTTAAGTTGGGAATCACATGGTTCACAAACTCTGCCGACTGTCACCAAACTTAGGAGGTAGTTAGAGCACACATCAAGTTAGCAGGATACATTCGTGGGCCAGAGTGATCCAACAGTAAAAGTAACCTATATATCTAGCTGGAATTTTGAGTCATAAAATTAAGTGAAGACTAAGAGTTGGAACGTAGCATTCCCTCCTTCCCAGTACTGTCACTGGAGGGTACAAATCTCATGAACTGCAGGAGAGGGACTCTGCCCATGGACTCAGGCCTCAAAACCTATAATCAGGAGCTGCTGCCAATAATTTATACCAGTTTTCCTTAACTTCTCAATGTTACCCCCATTTCTTCCTGCTTCCCAAAGAACTACACATCTTGGGATATGTAACAGATAAAACGTGTGTAAGAGTGCATGCAGGCCGGGCATAATGGTTCATGCTTGTAACCCCAGCACTTTGGGAGGCCAAGGCAGGAGGATCGTTTGAGCCCAGCAGTTTGAGAGCAGCCTGAGCAACACGGTGAAACCCCATCTCTACAAAAAATACGAAAAATCAGCCAGGCACACACCTGTACTCCAAGATACTCGGGAGGGTGAAGTGGGAGGATCACCTGAGCTCAAGAGGGTCAGGCTGCAACGAGCCGTGATCACACCACTGCGCTCCAGTCTGGGTGATGGAGTGAGACCTTGTCTCAAAAAACAAGCCAAAAAGAACGCATGCAATCAAAACCACAATGAGATACCACTTAGTATCTATTAGGATGGCTACTGTCAAAAAAAAAAACAAAAACAAAAAAACAAAAAACAAGGCTGGGCACAGTGGCTCACACCTGTAATCCCAGCACTTTAGGAGGCTGAGGAGGGCAGATCACCTGAGGTCAGGAGTTCAAGACCAGCCTGACTAACATGGAGAAACCCCATCTCTACTAAAAATACAAAATTAGCCAGGTGAGGTGGCACATGCCTGTAATCCCAGCTACTCAGGAGGCTGAGGCAGGAGAATCACTTGAACCTGGGAGGCAGAGGCTGCAGTGAGCTGAGATTATGCCATTGCACTCCAGCCTGGGCAACAAGAGTGAAACTCTGTCTCAAAACAAAAACAAAAACAAAAACAGAACATAGGCCAGCAGAGTGACTCATGCCTGTAATCCCAGCACTTTAGGAAGCCAAGGCAGGTGGAGGACCACCTGAGCCTGGGGAGGTTGGGGCTGCAGTAAGCCATGATTGCACCACTGCACCCGAGCCTGGGAAACACAGTGAGACCCTGTCTCAAAAAAAAAAAAAAAAAAGTTAATCACCCCAGTTACACTTTGCTCTGGCCTTTTTCATAGCTCTAGGAGTATAAGGTTCCAATGAGGCCAGGCGCGGTGGCTTACGCCTATAATCCCAGCACTTTGGGAGGCCAAGGTGGGCAAGGTCACTTGAGGTTAGGAGTTTGAGACCAACATTGTGAAACCCCATCTCTACTAAAAATACAAAAAAAATCAGCAGGCGTGGTGGTGCATGCCTGTAATCCCAGCTGCTAGGGAGGCTAAGGCAGGAGAATTGCTTGAACCGGAGAGGCAGAAGCTGCAATGAGCCGAGATCGCACCACTGCACTCCAGCCTAGGTGACAAAGTGAGACTTCATCTCAACAAAAAAAACCACACAACAACAACAAAAAAGGTTCCAATGAGCTGAACAAACTTTGGCAGAGACATTTGTTTAAATGTGGATGAAATTTGCTTAAATGTGGATGAACTGGCTTTAGTCCCAAGAAAAAGTTTATTTTCCCTCATATTGATGTTTGAATCAACTCTAAATTGTATTACATGTCTGTATTTATTATCACTTTTACACATTTTAATTGACTCTAATTTTTCATATTCATGCTGTCTTTGATATTCATGTAGTGAATTAATTCTAGGCAAACCATTCACATTGCCGATATATTCATCAATGAAACACTCACCTGAGCTGAGTACAATTTTCATTAATCCCGACTTCTAACAGGCATCCAGAGAGTACATTTTCTCCAAATAAAATGGGTTTGAAAGTTGCTGATGTACACAGACCCCTTCCAGCTATAAAAGAAAAAGATTATCCTCTTGCTACTTTTTGCTAAACAAAAGTAAAGATTAACTTCAGTTTTCCGTGAAAAACAGAAAACAGTAAGTAGAAATAAAGTTGCCAGTTTTCAAAAACTGAGATCACTGTTAGTCTAATCCTTTCAAAGCTGAACAAAGGTGCCTTTATCAGACTTCTCAGATCCTGAGCGGTGGTTTCTTCAGAAGTGACACTGCCTCTGGCAGGTGTGCGTAATTACCACTGAAGCACAGATTTCCTGCAGTTCAGAACGAAGTTATTTTCATGTCTCCAATTAGCACCATCCTGGGCTACAGGCAACAATAACATGGGACTCTCAAGCCAATCTCATATTTCAATCTTTTCTACTAGCAACCAGCACTTCAGGTGCAAACAATGTTAGCATTCCTTTTTAAAAAGCTGTAGAAGCAGGAAAAACCATCATCACTGTTATTCAGCAGCATGTACCTCTCTGCTAAATAAACCAACTAGGCTTTAAAATAATTGATTGCTTGATTAGATTCAAAATATGGTAATACTTCTAACACCAATTTGCCAAAGGGCTAATCATAATGACCAAACCGGATTACCCGATTGCCAAAGATGTAAAGTCGTGACATTATTCATCCTGTTGATATTTAGAGCTCGGACAGGCTTGCCAAGTTGGT
Source organism: Homo sapiens (assembly GCF_000001405.40). Lineage (NCBI taxonomy): Eukaryota > Metazoa > Chordata > Mammalia > Primates > Hominidae > Homo > Homo sapiens. Next base: position 123,696,417 of record NC_000012.12, on the reverse strand, counting down.
AACCTAGACAAACACAACAAAGGAACGTGAGCCTGTTTCCTCCAGCATAGCAAGCCCTAACTCTGCAAATAATACAAGAGTCATGCACAAGGAAAGAAAACACATAGGCGAAGCTTTCGAAAATACCCTTGAGAGAAAGATGGCAACTTCGGGTCTCAAAAAAAACAGTAGCTAAAGAGAAAGAATGCTTCACATTTACAGCAACTTGTTACTATGTACAACAGACTATGTAAAAAAAAAAAATACATTGTTATCACAAAAAGAATACCATGTCGGCCAGGCGTAGTGGCTCACGCCTGTAATCCTAGCACTTTGGGAGGCCGAGGTGGGTGGATCACCTGAGGTCAGGAGTTCGAGACCAGTATGGCCAATATGGCAAAACCTCATCTCTACTAAAAGTACAAAAATTTGCTGAGGGTGTTGGTGGGCACCTGTAATCCCAGCTACTTGGGAGGCTGAGGCAGGAGAATTGCTTGAACCTGGAAGGTGGAGGTTGCAGTGAGCCCAAATCGTGCCATTGCACTCCAGCCTGGGTGACAAGAGTTAAACTCCGTCTCAAAAAAAAAAAAAATGAATACAGTGCCACAACAGAGAATAAAGAGGCTGGGGCAGTGGCTCATGCCTGTAATCACAACACTTTGGGAGGCTAAGGCCAGGGGATCACTTGAGGTCAGGAATTCAAGACCAGCCTGGCCAACACGGTGAACAACAGCCTATCTCTACTAAAAATATAAAAATTATATTAAAGTGAGCAACCCTGCAAGCCTCTCTTTGGAGAAGTAGCAGATGAATAAAACTTCCTGTGTTGTGTGATTAAAAAAAAAAAAAAAAAGCCAGGCATGGTGGTGTGCACCTGTAATCCCAGCTACTCAGGAGGCTGAGGCAAGAAAATCTCTTGAACCCAGGAGGTGCAGGTTGCAGTGAGCCGAGATTGCGCCACTGCACTCCAGACTAGGCAACAGAGCAAGACTCCGTCTCAAAAAAAGAAAAAGAGAAAATAAAGAAAAAGGTCAGAGTCAGAAACTAAATTGGAGAGAGTTACTTATAACCATCCTGATGGCTGGGAGTGTTGAACTAAAGTATGTTTGTAAGATCAATGACTGGCATATACTCATCTTACCTGGATTTCCAGATAATTCTTCTTCATTACCACTATTATAGCTTAAAAATTTTACTACAAATCTCTGTGTCATTATCCCTAGAAATAAAACAAAATAAAATATAATGTGCACCATTTCACTAGGAAAAGAAATTATTCTCCATAGTGTTTACCTTAAAATTGCATTTTGTCATACAAAGTGTACTCTCGTTAATTAAATCATAAATGCACATAAGAAACAAGTCCAACTTAGTTTTATGGGTTATAATTATGAGAATCTTGAAAAGAGGAAAAAAAAATACTTTTCAGTGAAAGCATGCTTGCTACCCTCATCAAAGTTACCTTTCTGGTGGGCATTAATCTCTGCCCTAAAAATTTTAACATTTATTTCACTGATGGTATTATTATTCCATTTGAAAATATAATGTTCTTCCACATTCACAATTCTAGGGGTTGATCCGTTATTTAAAGGAGTTTCTGCAAATACAAGAATATGTTCATAAATTAAAGACCCTCTTTGAGCCTGACTCTGTTACTGGGAGGTTCTCTCTGCTTGCGTGGCCTTCCCCAAGTGCCCTGCCCCTGCCCTCCCTATCTCCAGCTCCCTAACATGGCACGGTCACTGCTTCCTTGAGGAAGCCTGCCCTGGTCCCACCAAGTCAGCATTAGCTGCCTCCTCTATGCCATCACAGTACCCAGAATGAGATCTGTTCCTTTCATTTCTATATCTCCAGCACCTGGCTCATAGCTTGCCATGGAGCATGCACTTGGTAAAATGTTTGTGAGATGAAAGACCAGAGGGTCAGTTCCGCCAGGGCAGGGGCCCGCTATCTAGTTCCCTACTACGGCGTAGGAACTCCACTAACATTTGATGAGCCAATGAATAAATTTGAGAAGTACAACACATCAGAAAGAGACACCCAGCACTTGGGGAGGCCGAGGTGGGCAGATCACCTGAGGTCAAGAGTTCGAGACCAGCCTGGCCAGCATGGCGAAACCCTGTCTCTACTAAAAATACAAAAATTAGGCCGGGTGCGGTGGCTCACGCCTGTAATCCCAGCACTTTGGGAGGCTGAGGCAGGCAGATCACGAGGTCAGGAGTTCAAGACCAGCCTGGCCAACACAGTGAAACCCCCTCTCTACTAACAATACAAAAAATCAGCCAGGCATGGGGGCAGGCACCTGTAATCCCAGCTACTCGGGAGGCTGAGGCAGAAGAATCGTTTGAACCCAGGAGGCAGAGGTTGCAGTGAGTGGAGACTGTGTCACTACACTCCAGTCTGGGTGACAGTGAGACTGTCTCAAAAAAAAAAAAATACAAAAAAATACAAAAATTAGCCGGGATTGGTGGCAGGTGCCTGTAATCCCAGCTACTCAGGAGGCTAAGGCATGAGAATTGCTTGAACCTGGGAGGTGGAGGGTACAGTGAGCTGAGATCACCCTATTGCACTCCAGCCTGGGCGACAGAGCAAGACTCTGTCTCCAATTAAAAAAAAAAAAGAAAAGAAAGAAACAAACAGTATCCTTCATTAAAAACTAAAGTTCTGGTAAAATTAGCCAAACTGAGCCAGTCGCCGTGGCTCACGCCTGTAACCCCTGCACTTTGGGAGGCCAAGGCAGGTGGATCACCTGAGGTCAGGAGTTCGAAACCAGCCTGGCCAACATGGTGAAACCCCGTCTCTACTAAAATACAAAAATTAGCCAGGCATATGGTGGTGAACACCTGTAATCCCAGCTACTTGGGAGACTGAGGCAGGAGAACTGCTTGAACCCAGGAAGTGGAGGTTATAGTGAGCCAAGATTACACCACTGCACTCCAGCCTGGGTGACAGAGCAAGAATCCATCTCAAAAAAAAAAAAAAAATCTGCCAAACTCTACGTAACTTATTTGGCTGCATCACAATTGGAAAGTTTAATTATCAAAAAAAAAAAAAAAAAAAAAGGAAAGAAAGCAAAAAGTGAAAATGCTGTGCCCTAAAAAGTTCTTTTAACTGGTCGGGCGCGGTGGCTCACACCTATAATCCCAGCACTTTGGGAGGCCAAGGCAAGTGGATCACCTGAGGTCGGGAGTTCGAGACCAGCCTGACCAACAGGGAGAAACCCCGTCTCTACTAAAAATACAAAATTAGCTGGGTGTGGTGGCGGGTGACTATAATCCCAGCTACTCAGGGGGCTGAGGCAGGAGAATCACTTGAACTCAGGAGGCGGAGGTTGCAGTGAGCCGAGATCATGCCATTGCACTCCAGCCTGGGTGACAAGAACAAAACTCCGCCTCAAAAAAAAAAAAAAAAAAAAAAAAAGAATTATTTAACTATCAAACATTTAAGGAAAGGTTCACGGAAGCTGGAACTAGAAGGGTCGGTGGAACTCAGAGAATCCAGGACTGTGGAGGAGCAGGCTCAAGGTCACAGAGAGCACTCTAAAGCCCAGCAGGACAGAACGAGGAACAAATGAAATGTTCCTGGCAGATCTTTCTAACTATTGTGAACCTTTTTAAATGACTAACAAAAATATACACTCTGAGGGTATATATTACTTGTAAGAAATGACATATCTGTTTCTGAAGAAATGACGTCAAAGTGTAACATTAAATACCTGTATTGGTGATGAATTTGTCTAGGTCAGTTGCTTCCTCATAGATCACTTTTGGTGTAACTATGCCTAAAGAGATAACATAAATTAACTTCCACAGGCGTACACATGGCCTACCATGATCACACTTACTCAAAGTATAGCTTACAAAGCAAATATGGTGACCGCAACTGCCCAGGGTGCTGACTACAAAACCCTCCCCACTCCCCAAAAACCATCAGATAGGAGTCCCCATCCTCTTAGCATCTAATTATAACGGAGGAAGAAAATCCACAACAAACACACAAACAAACAAAAACCAGGGTCACTGTGACATAAAAACAAATATGCAGTTCACTGCTGGTGGCAATACAAAATGGTGCAGACACTGTAGAAAACAATTGGCCAGGCGCAGGGGCTCACGCCTATAATCCCAGCACTTTGGGAGGCCGAGGCAGGCAGATTGCCTGAGGTCAGTTTGAGACCAGTCTGGCCAACATGGTGAAACCTCCTCTCTACTAAAAATACAAAAAAATTAGCCGGGCGTGGTGGCTCATGCCCGTAATCCCAGCACTCTGGGAGGCCGAGGTGGGTGGATCACCTGAGGTCAGGAGTTCGAGATCTGCCTGGCCAACATGGTGAAATCCCATCTCTACTAAACTTCGTCTCTACTAAAAATACAAAAATTAGCAGGGCGTGGTGGTGGGTGCCTGTAATCCCAGCTACTCGGGAGGCTGAGGCAGGAGAATCGCTTGAACCCAGGAGGTGGAGGTTGCCGTGAGCCGAGATCGCGCCATCGCACTCCAGCCTGGCGGACAAGAGCAAGACTTGGTCTCAAAAAAAAAAAAATTAGCCAGGTGTGGTGGCACATGCCTGTAATCTCAGCTACTTGGGAGGCTGAGGCAGGGGAATCGCTTGAACCAGGGAGGTGGAGGTTGCAGCGAGCCGAGATCACGTCACTGCACTCCAGCCTGGGTGACAGAGCAAGACTCCCTCTCAAAAAAAAAACCAAAAAAACAAAAAAAAAACAATTTGGTGGGTCCTCAAGAAGTCATATTAGCATGACCTGTCAGTTCCACTCCTAGGTGTCTACCCAAAAGAAATAAAAACACACATCTACGCAAAAACTTGGACACGAGTGTTCATGGCAGCACTATTCACAACAGTCAGAGATGAAAACAACCCACATGTCCATCAACTGAGGAATGGACAAACACAATGTGCTCTGTCCATGCAATGGACTATGATTCAGCCATAAAAAGGAATGAAGTGCTGCCACACACTACAAACACGGATGAACCATGGAACACCATGCTCAGTGAAAGAAGCCAGACACAAAAGGCCACATAGTGTATGATTCTGTTTCTAGGGAACACCCAGAATAAGCAATCCACGGAGACAGAAAGCAGATTGGTGGCTGCCAGGAGCTGAGGGAAGAGGGGTAGGGAGTGACTGCTAATGGGTACAGATGCCCTTCTGAGGCGATGAAACGTTCTGGAACTAGAGAGAGGTGATGGTGGCACAACAGTGTGGAAGGTACTAATGTCAATGAATTGTACACTTTAAAAGGGTTAATTCTGGTGGGACGCGATGGCTTACACCTGTAATCCCAGCACTTTGGGAGGCCTAGGAGAGTGGATCACCTGAGGTCAGGAGTTCAAGGTCAACCTGGCCAACACAGTGAAACCCCATCTTTACCAAAAACACAAAAATTAGCCAGTCATGGTGGCAGGCACCTGTAGTCCCAGCTACTCGGGAAGCTGAGGCAGGAGAATCGCTTGAACTTAGGAGGCAGAGGGTACAGTGAGCCGAGATCACGCCACTGCACTCCAACCTGCGTGACGGAGAAACAAACAAAAAGGCTAAATTTATGTTATTTGAATTTTACTTCAATTTCAAAATAATTAATATGCAATATGCTGTCTTACGGAACTAAACTTTTTCCAAAGAAAATAATTGGCAGTTCAAATATTATTTGAAGTTGAACCAGTAGAAATGATTTATACTCTCATGAGATCATACTTTATATTCATGTTTGGGCCTGTGTTCTTTTTTCAAAGAAATGTAACATACCTCCTAAGGCAACATTCTTTATCTTCGCATTGATAATACCATCTCGTTCTTGGTATAGTTCCAAATTAGTAACGCATTTAACATCAAAATTGTGAAGAAATGCCACTGGGGCGTTCTGCATACACTGCCCAGCCAGGGACACCTGAGGGAGAAGGGCAAAGCCAACAGATTTATGGCCTCTCTCCTAATCATACAAAACAGATCAGCATCCCTTAAAACTGGTCTTTCTGCAGCCTGCTCCCATTGCTGGTCTGGTTTCAGCAACGGCAAGTTCACCGACTAGTTGACCCGCTTTAGCAAAACATCTAACTGATTTGCCCATCAAGGTCTGGAAGCCACTGGTTGTGGAGTCACAGTAAATATTGTCTAATAAAAACAAAGAAAATCCCTTGTCCTGTTCTATTTAGTTTGCAGAGACATGACTATATTTAACTTCATGTTCTCTCCCTCATCACAACCAGAGTTTAATACCATAAAAATGGATTCATATGAATAGGAAAGAGAAATTTTCACCTCCCATGCTTTCTTCCCACAAATAACACTCCTCATAATGTTGAACTTAAAAAAAGATTTCAGGTTGGGAGCAGTGGCTCACACCTGTAATCCCATCATTTTGGAAGGCTGTAGTGGGAGAATCATTTGAGCCCAGGAGTTCAAGACCAACCTGGGCAACATAGCAAGACCCTGTCTCTACAAAAAGTAAAAAATTAACCGGGTATAATGGCATGCACCTATAGTCCCAGCTACTTGGGAGGCTGAGGTGGGAGGATTGCTTGAGCCCATGAGATGGAGGCTGCAGTGAGCTGTGACTACACTCACTACACTCCAGCCTGGGCGACAGAGCAAGACCCTGTCATTCATTCACTTGTGCATTCATATATAGATATACAAATGATTCCATATACAACCTTACAGCCTTAAAATATTTTTCAAAATTCTAGAATGGTAAATAAAATGATGTATTTATCTAACCATTGTTTTTTATACCGGACCCTACTTGAGGGTAGTGAGTAGGAGGAGGGAGAGGATCAGAAAAAAACTATTGGGTACTTGGCTTAGTACCTGGGTGACAAATAATCTGTACAACAAAACCCCATGACACAAGTTTACCTATATAACAAACCTGCTCATGTAGCCCTGAACCTAAAATAAAAATATAAAAAGAAAAAGAAGCAAAGAATGATAGTTACTGCTAGCCAGGCATCAAGGCTCACACTGTAATCCCAACACTTTGGCCAAGGCAGAAGAATTTCGAGGCCAGGAGTTTAAGACCCGCCTGGGCAACATAGTGAAACCCCCATCTCTACAGAAAAATTTTTGGCTGGGCGCGGTGGCTCAAGCCTGTAATCCCAGCACATTGGGAGGCCAAAGTGGGCAGGTCACTTCAGCCCAGAAGTTAAAAAGACCAGCCTGGGCAACATGGCAAAACCCCACCTCTACAAAAAATTAGCCAGGAATGGTGGCATGTGCCTGTAGTCTCAGCTACTTGGGAAGCTGAGGTAGGAGGATCACTTGAATGTGGGAGGTCAGGGCTGCAGGGAGTTGAGATCACGCCAGTGCACTCCACCCTAGGTGACAGAGCAAGACTATGTCTCAAACCAAAACAAATTTTTTTAATTTAAAAAAAAAAAAGACTCATGCCTGTAATCCCAGCACTTTGGGAGGCTGAGGCAGGCAGATCACCTGAGGTCAGGAATTCGAGACCAGCCTGACCAACATGGAGAAACCCCGTCTCTACTAAAAATACAAAATTAGCTGGGCGTGGTGGTGCATGCCTGTAATCCCAGCTACTTGGGAAAGCTGAGGCAGGAGAATCGCTTGAACCCGGGAGGCAGAGGTTGCGGTGAGCTGAGATTGTGCCATTACACTCCAGCCTGGGCAAAAACAGCGAAACTCTGTCTCAAAAAAAAAGAAAAAGAATGATAGGTACTTCCATGGAAACTTATAGAAAATCTTTTGGTTTTATTTTGTAAGTTCACTCTGAGTTTTAAGCAAAGACAGTGATTAAGAGTGACTATATATTTTATTAATTTGGAGAACATAAACAGTTAAGTCCCTGAAAGGTAGAAAGGAGGAAAGTAAGTAACTTAAAAAGAGATTTTAAAGAGAAATATGACTTAAATTAACAATAGGACAGGAAAAATAAAAGAAGGGTCTAGTGGCCAGGCATGGTGGCTCATGCCTGTAATCCCAGCACTTTGGGAGGCTGAGGCACTAGGATCACAGGGTCAAGAGATCGAGATCATCCAGGTCAACATGGTGAAACCCCGTCTGTACTAAAAATACAAAAAATTGGCTGGGTGCGGTGGCACACACCTGTAGTCCCAGCTACTGGGGAGGCTGAGGCAGGAGAATCACTTGAACCCGGGAGGCAGAGGTTGCAGTGAGCCGAGATCTGGCACTGCACTTGAGCCTAGGAGGTAAGAGCGAGACTCCGTCTCATAAAAAAAAAAAAAAAAAAGAGAACGGTCTAGCATACTAATATTGCAACGATTACCTGCGGAATAGTAAAATATGCCTTCTTTACAGTCATAATGGGATCTCCTTGTTTGTAACCAAAGTCTGCAAAGTCTTTTGCGTCAGTATCCACATATACTTCAAAGGAAGAGTCCTGTTTGGGGGAACTGAAAATCAATAAGAAAGGCTGAATAGTTTCAGTTATCTGCTAAAACACAATTCTTCCTTAATGTTGTTCTTTACTCTTGTTTTCTGAGATGGAGTCTCACTCTGTCACCCAGGCTGGAGTGCAGTGGCGTGATCTTTGTTCACTGCTACCTCCGCCTCCCAGGTTCAAGCAATTCTTGTGCCTCAGTCTCCCGAGTAAGCTGGGATTACAGGTGCCCACCACCACACCTGGCTAATTTTTTGTATTTTTAGTAAAGATGGGGTTTCACCACGTACCCAGGCTCGTCTTGAACTCCCAACCTCAGGTGATCACCCTGCCTCAGCATCCCAAAGTGCTGGGATTACAGACGTGACCCACTGCACCCAGCCTCTTTACTTTGTTTTGTTTTGTTTGTTTTGGGCCAGAGTCTCGCTCTGTCGCCCAGGCTGGAGTGCAGTGGCGCGATCTCAGCTCAAGCTCCGCCGCCCGGGTTCAGGCCATTCTCCTGCCTCAGCCTCCCTAGTAGCTGGGACTACAGGCACGTGCCACCACGCCTGGCTAATTTTTTGTATTTTTAGTAGAGACAGGGTTTCACTGTGTTAGCCAGGATGGTCTCGATCTCCTGACCTCATGATCTGCCCGCCTCGGCCTCCCAAAGTGCTGGGATTACAGGCGTGAGCCACCGCTCCCGGCCTACTTTTTAATTACAAAAATCATAGATGTAAATTTTTAACAATCCCAAACTGTAAAATACAGAACATTAAAATCTCCCATGAGCCACCACTCCTTCACCTCCCCTAGAAAAGCACCATGAGCTGTTTTCAATGTCAATCAATTTCTTTTCAATGAGGCCCAATTCTTCCAAATAATGCAAAATAAATTGGCTAACTGAAATCTAGAATTGAACCCTTTAGGCACGGAACCTCTGGAGAGGGGTTGGGAAAAACGTGACCGCGTTGCAGGGCCTACTAGAGTATGGCCCCACCAGGGCGGGAGAACAATGCCCCATCCCAGGCGGCTGCTCAGACACTTACACAGCACCATGATAGAAGTAACCAAGGAAGGGTGTGTTGGCAAGGGGGGACTGCACACACAGAAAGGGAAACCAATCGGGGACACCACGTGTCGTCGTCCCAGCAGAGCAGAGCTGATCAAAAGGAGGATTGACGTCTCCTCCAAACACGCCGGTGAAGCAGGACCGTCTGAACAGCGTTGTTAAATTTGATGAGCATTCCTGGAAGACAAACATAAAGGCAGGAGCTGTGACCGTGGTCAGGATCTCCTGGCAAGCGTAGCGAATGCTAACTCTTATTTAAGGCCAGCAGGACACTACCAAGTAAGCAAGAAAACCTATAATCTGTGTCTCATCTAAAAGTGCCTTGTGCCCACAAAAAGTAAAATAGTTCTGGAATTTCTTTTGTCAATTCCCCAAATAAGCCTTCAAGTCAGAAACTCCAAGCATTCAGGGGAACCACAGTTTTACCAAGGACATGAGATATTCCCAGTAAAACAAAAGAAGAAAAGATAGTACAGAATAGATCTCAAATGAAGACAAAAACATAGTAAACCTCCTTTCTTAATTGTCATTACCATTCAAACCCTTAGCCCAGAAAAGCCTCCAGACATTTAGAGTGAGGGGAAACGTTCCATATTCCACAAGGATCCTCCAGGCCCTCACTAGATTATAACACGACCCAATTAATGTCATCAAGAAATTGCTTGGGGCTGGGTGCAGGGGCTCACGCCTGTAATCCCAACACTTTGGGAGGCCGAGGCAGGTGGATCACTTGAGGTCAGGAGTGTGAGACCAGACTGGCCAACATGGTGAAGCCCCATATTTACTAAAAATACAAAAATTAGCCGGGTGTGGTGGTGGGCACCTGTAATCCCAGCTACTCAGGAGGCTGAGCCATGAGAATTGCTTGAGCCCAGGAGGCAGAGGTTGCAGTGAGCCAAGATCACACACTGCACTCCATCCTGGGAAACACAGTGAGATTCTGTCTCAAAATAAATAAATAAATAAATAAATAAATTACTTGGACTGCACGCAGTGCATCATGCCTGAAATCCTAACATTTTGGGAGGCTGAGGTGGAATGAATGTTTGAGCCCAGAAGTTTGAGACCAGCCTAGGCAACATAGAGAGACTCAGCCCCGACAAAATTAAAAAAAAAAAAAAATTAGCCAGGCATGGTGGTGGACATCTGTGATCCCAGCTACTCAGGAGGTTGAGGAAAGGACTGCTTGAGTCCAGGAGGCTGAGGCTGCAGTGAGCCATGATTGGGCCACTGAAGTCCAGCCTGGGCAACAGAACAAGACCCTGCTTCTTAAAAAAAAAAAAAAAAAAAAAAAGACCGGGCGCAGTGGCTCACACCTGTAATCCCAGCACTTTGGGAGGCTGAGGCACGCGGATCACCTAAGGTCAGGAGTTCAAAACCAGCCTGGCCAACATGGTGAAACCCCATCTCTACTAAAAATAAAAAAATTAGCCAGGCGTGGTGGCACACACCTATAATCCCAGCTATTTGGGAGGCTGAGGCAGGAGACTCACTTGAACCCAGGAGGCAGAGGTTGCAGTGAGCAGAGATCACACCACTGCACTCCAGCCTGGGTGACAGAACAAGACTCCGTCTCGAAAAAAGAAGTTACTTGATTCAGATATTCATCTGTATTTTTCCTTGTTTCACGAAGGATCCAGAGAGCTGTAAGTTAAATTACGTCCTGAATCTTTGTTTATTGACAGTAGAGAAGTGATCTCTCATTTGAAACGAGAGCAATTCAAATTAAAAATTGATTGTTTATAAAGTGCTGCTGCATTGTGGTTATCTGAAGATGTCACTGATCCAGAATACTAAAGGACGTCAGGGGCTGGTACTGTAGCACACAGCACAACACATGCAAAAGGGAGTCCGACATGGGACACAGCGTGGCCTGGAAGGAAGAGAAGGAGGGGCCATTTGACAATTCTAATGATACCTGAGCCAAATGTATGATGTACTTTACTCTTTTTTTTTTTTTTTTGAGATGGAGTCTCGCTCTGTCACCCAGGCTGGAGTGCAGTGGCGCGATCTCAGCTCACTGCAACCTCTTCCTCTTGGGTTCAAGCGATTCTCCTGCCTCAGCCTCCTGAGTAGCTGGGACTACAGGCACCCACCAACATACCCCGCTAATTTTTACATGTTTAGAAGAGACGGGGTTTCACCATGTTGGCCAGGATGTTCTCTATCTCCTGACCTCATGATCAACCCACCTCGGCCTCCCAAAGTGCTGGGATTACAGTGGTGAGCCACCGTGCCCGGCCGCTGTACTTTACTCTTTTAATTAAATTTAATTGTTCTTAGGATAATTTTTAGTGTAAAAATCACAATATTGGCCAGGTGTGGGGGCTCACGCCTATAATCCCAGCACTTTGGGAAGCCAAGGTGGGTAGATCACTTGCAGTCAGGAGTTCGAGGCCAGCCTGGTGAACATGGCAAAACTCGTCTCTACTGAAAATACAACAATTAGCCAGGTGTGGTTGTGCATGCCTGTAATCCCAGCTACTCAGCAAGCTGAGGCAGAAGAATTGCTTGAACCCGGGAGGCGGAGGTTGCAGCGGGCCGAGATCGCACCACTGTACTCCAGCCTGGGCGACGGATCAAGACTCTGTCTTAAAAAAAAAAAAAAAAAAAGAATGACAATATTAATGCAGACCCTAAACTTCCCTTTCCTGTTTAGTGAAACCAACCATGATAGGACACTTAAAAATTTGCTAAGAGGGTAGATCTTATGTTAAGTGCTTTCACCACAAAAGGAAACAAAACAAAACAACAACCAAAAAAACCAAAGGAAACCTTTGGAGGTGAGGGGAAAGCATATGGTATTGACTGCGTGGATGAGCTCATGGGTGTGTACTTATCTCCAAACACATATTCAAGGATACTTTGAATATCTGCAGCTTTTCTATGCCAATCATACGTCAGTGAAGCTGTTTTAAAAAAATAAGTTTGCATTTCCCAGTGGGGAAGTAAAAAACCAATGAAACATTAACTGTCCTCACCCAAATACGAGAGGGACTTGGGACTTGGGTACCAGTAAATTTCTTCTTTTGCAGTTCTCATTCCCCTTAAATTTAAATAAGAACAAAAATTGTGGCCAGGTGCAGTGGCTCACGCCTGTGATCCCAGCAATTTGGGAGGCTGAGGTGGGTGGATCACGAGGTCAGGAGATCAAGACCACCCTAGTTAATACGGTGAAACCCCATCTCTACAACAAAATACAAAAAATTAGCTGAGCATGGTGGCACGCGCCTGTAATCCCAACTACTTGGGAGGCTGAGGCAGGAGAATCGCTTGAACCTGGGAGACGGAGGTTGCAGTGAGCCAAGATCGTGCCACTGCACTCCAGCCTGGGCAACAGAGCGAGGCTCCGTCTCAAAAAAAATTTTAAATGTGCTTCAGTGCTTCTTCTTGATAGGTTAAAAAAGAAAGGTTAAAAATAAAAATAAGAAAAGGCCAGCCACGGTGACTCACACCTGTAATCCAGCACTTTGGGAAGTCAAGGTGGGCAGATCACTTGAGGCCAGGAGTTCAAGACCAGCCTGGCCAACACGGCAAAACTCCATCTCTACTAAAGACACAAAAAATTAGCTGGGCATGGTGGCTCACTCCTGTAATCCCATCGCTTTGGGAGGCCAAGGCGGGAGGAATGCTGAAGCCAGGAGGCAGAGGTTGCAGTGAGCGGAGATGGCACCACTGCTCTCCAGCCTGGGTGACAGAACAAGGCTCTGTCTCAAAATAATAATAAAAATAAATAAATAAATAGAATCAGAAAAAAAGGTTAATCAAAAATTATTATTATTATTTTTTTGAGATGGACTCTCACTCTGTCGCCCAGGCTGGAGTGCAGTGGTACGATCTTGGCTCACTGCAACCTCTGCCTCCTGGGTTCAAGTGATTCTCCCGCCTCAGCCGCCGGAATAGCTGGGACTACAGGCACCGGCCACCACGTCCAGCTAATTTTTGTATTTTAGTACAGATGGGGTTTCACCATGTTGGCCAGGTTGGTCTCGAACTCCTGACCTCAGGTGATCCACCCACCTCGGCTTCCCAAAGTTCTGGGATTATAGGCGTGAGCTACTGAGCCCGGCCAAAAAATTTTAAATGTGTATTTCGCCAGGATTAAACAATGGTTTCTGAAATATGACACCAGAAATACAAGCAACAGAAGAAAAAAATGAGATAAATTGGACTTCATCAAATTTTTAAATGTCTGTGCCTCAAAGGACAACAACAAGAAAGCAGACAACCTGGCTAGGCACAGTGGCTCACCCCTCTAATCCCAGCATTTTGGGAGGCTGAGGCGGGCGGATCACTTGTGGTCAGGAGTTCGAGACCAGCCTGGCCAACATGGTGAAACCCCATCTGCGCTAAAAATATAAAAATTAGCCAGGCGTGGTGGCACGCACCTGTAATCCCAGCTACTCAGGAGGCTGAGGCAGGAGAATCGCTTGAACCTGGGAGGCGGAGGCTGCAGTGAGCCGAGATCACACCATTGCCCTCCAGCCTAGGCAACAAGAGCGAAACTCCATCTCAAAAAATAAATAAAAAATAAATAAAACAAACAAAAAAAAGAAACTAGAATCCAGAATATATAGTGAACCCTCTTACAATTCAGCAAAAAGACAGCCCAATTTAAAACACGGGTGAAGGGTATAAACAGACATTTCTCCAAAAAAGATATACAAATATCCCATAAGCACATGAAAAGATCTTCTATATCATTTGCCACTAGAGAAATATAAATCAAAATCACAGTGAGGGCAGAGCATGGTGGCTCACGCCTATAATCCCTGCACTTTGGGAGGCTGAGGCCAGAGGATTGCTTGAGCCCAGGAATTGTAGACCAGCCTAGGCAACACAGCAAGACCCCACCTTCACAAAAAAACACAAAAATTAACTGTGTGTGGTGGTGTGCACCTGTGGTTCCAGCCACTTGGGAAGCTGAGGTGAGAGGATCACTTGAGTCTGGGAGATTGAGGCTGCAGTGAGCTGTGATTGCACCACTGCATTCTATCCTGGGCGACAGAGCAAGACCCTGTCTCAAAAATTTAAAGAAAAAAACAAAGAAGGAAATCATAAAGAAATATCAGTTCACACTTACTTAACATGGCTATAACCAAACAGACAAATAATAACAACTGTTGGTGAGGATATAGAGAAATTATACCCCACATACATTGCTGATGGGAATTTAAAATGATGCAACTGCTTCAGAAACTAGTTCCTCAAAAGGTTAAACATACAGTAATAACGCAACCCAGCAACTCCACTATATATATCCCCAAGAGAAATGGAAACATATGTTCACACAAAAACCTGTCCACAAATGTTCACAGCGGCACTATTCATAATAGCCAAAAAACAGAAACAACTCAAATGTCCATTAGCCAATAAATAGATAAGAAATATGTGATATATCCATACAATGGAATAGGATTCAAACACCAAAAATGAATGAAGTGGTAACAGCTGCTACAAGGTAAAAGAACCTTAAAAGCATCATGCTAAGTGCAAGAAGAAAGTCACTGAAGACCACATATTGCATGATTCCATATACGTGCAATGTCCAAAATGGGCAAATTCATGGAGACAGAGGCAGATTCACGGAGGCCTTGGATGAGGGATGGAGATAGGAACGGCTACAGGGACACACGATTTCTTTCTGGGGTGGTAGAAATGTTCTGAAGATAGATTGTGGTGATGGTTGTACAACTGTGTAAATTTACTAAAAATCACTGAAAACCTGTGATTTCTTTCTTTCTTTCTTTTTTTTTGAAAGAGAGTCTTGCTCTGTCGCCTAGGCTGACATGCAGTGGTGTGATCATAGCTCACTCCAGCCTTGACCTCCTGGGCTCAAGCGATCCTCTCAGCTCAGCCTCCCGAGCTGGCACTACAGGCCTGCACTATCATGCCCAGCTAATTTTTGTAGAGATGGGGTTTTGCCATGTTGCCCAGGCTGGTATCCAACTCCTGAACTCAAGTGATCCACCCACATCGGCCTCCCAAAGTGCTGGGATTACAGGCGTGAGCTGCTTCGCCAGGCCTGTTCTTTCTTATTCTTTCTTTTTTTATATTTCTTAAAGGTTTCTGAATAAATATTATTAAAACCATCCCCCCAGTATGATCTTCACAATCATGATTTTATCCAAAGAGATATTCTTTCCTTCTTCCAAAAACTAGACTGACTATGCCAGATAAGAAAATACTGAATTTAGGCCCAGTGCAGTGGCTCACTCCTGTAATCCCAGCACTTTGGGAGGCCGAGGTAGGCAGATCACCTGAGGTCAGGAGTTTAAGACCAGCCTGGCCAACATGGTGAAACCCCGCCTCTACTAAAAATACAAAAATTAGCCAGGTGTGGTGGCGCACACCTGTAGTTCCAGTTACTCGGGAGGCTGAGGCACAAGAATCACTTGAATCCAGGAGGTGGAGGTTGCAGTGACCCGAGATCGTGTCACTGCACTCCAGCCTGGGCAACAAAGCGAGACTCTGTCTCAAAAAAAAAAAAAAGAAAGAAAAAAGAAAGAAAATAGAGTTTATATGTTGTATTGCTCTAAGCCTAAAAGAAAAAAAGTCAGGCCGGGCATGGTGGCTTACACCTGTAATTCCAGCACTTTAGGAGGCCGTCTCAAAAAAAAAAAATTTACTCAAAAGTTGTGTGATTTTTTTTTTTTTTTTGAAACGGAGTTTCGCTCTTGTTGCCCAGGCTGGAGTGCAGTGGCACAATTCTGGCTCACTGCAACCTCTGCCTCCCTAGTTCAAGCGATTCTCCTGCCTCAGCCTCCAGAGTAGCTGGGATTACAGGCGCCCACCAACACGCCTGGCTAATTTTGTATTTTTAGTAGAGATGGGGTTTCTCCATGTTGGTCAGGCTGGTCTCAAACTCCGGACCTCAGGTGATCCGCCCACCTTGGCCACCCAAAGTGCTGGGATTACAGGTATGCGCCACTGCGCCCACCAAAATTTTTAAATTTAAAAAAATACTCAATTTGGGCTGGGCGCGGTGGCTCACGCCTGTAATCCCCGCACTTTGGGAGGCCGAGGCGGGCGGATCACGAGGTCAGGAGATCAAGACCATCCTGGCTAACACGGTGAAACCCCGTCTCTACTAAAAATACAAAAAATTAGCTGGGCGTGGTGGTGGGCGCCTGTAGTCCCAGCTACTCAGGAGGCTGAGGCAGGAGAATGGCATGAACCCGGGAGGCGGAGCTTGCAGTGAGCCAAGATCACGCCACTGCACTCCAGGCTGGGCGACAGAGCGAGACTCCATCTCAAAAAAAAAAAAAAAAAAAAACTCAATTTGAAAACAATTTGCAATAGAAAACATAATCTCAGTTTTGGAAGACCATCCCTTAAAAAGCTGTTGGGGCAAGGCATGGTGGCTCACACCTGTAATCCCAACATTTTGGGAGGCCAAGGTAGGAGGACTGTTTGATCCCAGGAATTTGAGACCAGCCTGAGCAACATGGCAAAATCCCATCTCTACAAAAGATACAAAACAATTAGCTGGGTGTGATGGTTCATGCCTGTGGTCCCAGCTACTCAGGAGGCTGAGGTAAGAGAATCACTTGAGCCCGGGAGGTCGAGGCTGCAGTGAGCCATCATTGCATCACCATACTCCAGCCTGGGTGACAGAGCAAGACCCTATCTCAAGAAATAAAAAATGAAAAAAGCTGTTGGTGGAACTGCTGGTGTTCTCACAGGTAGCATAACTTTTGTGCCCAATAACCAAAGAACATACCTGGTCACAGCAGCAGCGAACATCACAGGCTCCAGCTGTTAAATTACAAGGACAAGGGCCAAGGGGCTGATACACCTGGTTAGGAATGACAGTCACGTTCTCTGAAAAGTACACACAACAGAAAAATTCAGCTAAGAAACATTCCGACAAAGCACAGTCACATTTTTGACATTCAAAAGAAAGCTGAATTATCGGCCAGGCGCGGTGGCTCACGCCTGTAATCCCAGCATTTTGGGAGGCCAAGGCAGGTGGATCATGAGGTCAGGAGATCGAGACCATTCTGGCTAACACGGTGAAACCCGGTCTCTATTAAAAATACAAAAAGTTAGCTGGGCGTGGTGGCAGGCGCCTGTAGTCCCAGCTACTTGGAAGGCTGAGACAGGAGAATGGTGTGAACCCGGGAGGCGGAGCTTGCAGTGAGCCGAGATCGTGCCACTATACTCCAACCTGGGCGACACAGTGAGACTCCGTGTCAAAAAAAAAAAAGCAAGCTGAATTATCTTGTTTTGTAAATCATTATTACCAAATATTTGACATTAAGGAATCCACGAAGTATATGAGGCCTGCATCTACCACTCCAACAAAAACCCAAACATAAGAAAACACGCCAGTTACAATGAACCAAAGAAGTCATAGTTGATCTAGAAGATAATCAATTGACTAAGAGTCACAAGTTAGTATATACATAATGTACTGATTTTAGGCTGGGCGGGGTGGCTCACACCTGTAAACCCAGCACTTTGGGAGGCCAGGGTGGGTGGATCACCTGAGGTCAGGAGTTCAAGACCAGCCTGGCCAACATAGTGAAACCCTGTCTCTAATAAAAATACAAAAAGTAGCCCAGGCTACAAAAAAGAAACAGATAAAATTAACTTAATATATTTTACTGAACCCAACGTATCCAAAATAATATCATTGCAACAGGCAATCAATGTAAAAATTATGAATGAGCTATTCCACATTCTTTGTTTCACATTAAGTCCTCAAAAACTGGTGGCTGTTTAACAGTTACAGCACATCTCAATTAAGACCCATCCCCTTTCAACTGTCCAGTGTCCAGACATGGTTCGTGGCTGTGGTACCCAACAGTGCAGGTGGGACAAATGTGGTCTGACCACGAGAGTATGGGGGGCTGGGTTATGCAGGGATGATACAGTGAGACACAACAGCTTCCCTGAGGGGCTCGCACTCTCAGAGGGAGGAGACAGGTAAAGAGATCATGTGACCATAAAGGGTAAACACTGAAATGGATCTGCCATGGGAACCCAGGGAGGGCACGTGGCTTAGGCTGGGCGTCAGGAAGACTTGCAGAGAGAGAGAATGCGCTGAGCCTGAAACACACGTAAGAGTTTGTACAGGTAGCCAGGCACAGTGGCTCAGGCCCGTAATCCCAGCACTTTGGGAGGCCAAGGCGGGGGAATCACCTGAGGTCAGGAGTTCGAGACCAGCCTGACCAACATGGAGAAACCCCATCTATACTTTAAAAAAAAAGAAAGAGTTTGTACAGGTAAGAGGGGCTACTGGAGAGCTGTAGGTGGAAGACAGAGGGGGTGGATGAATAGGGGGAACACTGTGGTGCAGGGGAGAAGGTGGCGGGCGTGAATGGGACAAGGCCAGAGAAAGCAGCTCAGGAGAAATGCTAAAAAGGTAAACATTGGCAGGGCCCGTTGTTTATAACTCTTCAGGATATTACAGGTTTCCGAACTTGTTTTCCTCTTTGAAGAGGAATATGTTACACGACATTTCAGCCTCCTAACTCAGAATCCAGTGACAGTAATGCTTTGGATTTCTCTCCAATCATTTATCAGATAAAAGTTTCATTCTGCTGAATTTTACTTTTGCATTTGGTACACGTTAGAAAACCATGCAGGAACTATTTGTTTAAACCCCACATAACAGTTAACTGTAATGACACAATAGCTGAAGTATCTAAAGAACAACTAACGATCTGTTCTATCCTGTAACATAGCAGAAGGTCAATGATACATCAATGGTATCCGGAACAAGGAGAAGGTCCACATCGCAGACCACGTTACACGGGTAAGGGTCTGACCCTCAGTGTTATCAAACCCATGTGACACAAGCAAGGCACTTTATTGATTTTTTTTTGAGACAGGGTCTCACTCTGCTGCCCAGGCTGAAGTGTGAAATGGCACAATCACAGCTCACTGCAGCCTCAACCTCCCAGGGCTCAAGTGATCCTCCCACCTCAGCCTCTCAAGTAGCTGGGACCACAGGTGTGCACCATCATGCTCAGGTAACGTTCATATTTTCTGTAAAGACAGGGTCTCACTATGTTGTCCATGCTGGTCTCAAACTCCTGGGCTCGAGTGATCCTCCCATCTTGGCCTCCCAAAGTGCTGGAATTACAGGCATAGTACATGAGCCACCACCCCCAGCCACGAGACACTTCAGAATAGGGTTTTACTATGTGTTATACAAATAGATGTTTGTGTGTTGATTTATGTTTTCTACATTGTTCGCTGGCTTCATTGTTACTGGGTATGACACATACCTCCTGTCTGTGCTTCCATTCTTTTTCTAGTTTTAATCGCTGGCTGGCTGAGTAAAAAATTTTTCATGCCTTCATGGGGTCAGAGCTGACAACTCAATCACTCATATACAAAGATGTTCAATTTTCTAAGTTTGGTATTCTAAAATATTAAATATTACCTAAATATACTGAAGCATATTTTCCTTTTTTTTTTTTTTTTTTTTTTTTTAGATGGAGTCTCGCTCTGTCACCCAGGCTGGAGTGCAGTGGTGTGACCTTGGCTCACTGCAAGCTCCACCTCCCGAGTTCACGCCATTCTCCTGCCTCAGCCTCTCGAGTAGCTGGGACTCCAGGCACCCGCCACCATACCCGGCTAATTTTTTGTATTTTTAGTAGAGACGGGGTTTCACCGTGTTAGCCAGAATGGTCTCGATCTCCTGACCTCGTGATCCGCCCACCTCAGCCTCCCAAAGTGCTGGGATTACAGGCGTGAGCCACCGCGCCCGGTCTTTTTTTAGAGACAAGGTCTTGCTCTGTCGACCAGGCTGGAGTACATGGAGCAATCCTGGCTCACTGCAGCCTCCACCTCCTGGGCTCAAGCGATCCCCCGACCTCAGCCTCCCTCATAGCTGGGGCTACAGGCACCGACTACCACGCACAGCTAATTGTAGTATTTGTTTGTAGAGACAGGGTTTTGCCATGTTGCCCAGGCTGGTCTTGAACTCCTAGGCTCAAGTGGCCCACTCACCTCAGCCTCTAAAAGTGTTGGGATTACAGGCATGAGCCACCACCTGGCCTCAAGCATATTTCTCAAAGGAAAAAAGTCAGTGCTTTGAATGGTACAGCTATCATGAATCCCTTCTGTTGTTTTGGGGGGATTTTTTTTTTCATCATTGAATACGGTTTTTTTGGCTTTGTTTTGAATTTTAAGCCATAGAAAAATTTAAAACTTTTAAGTGGGTAACACATTTGCATGGTTCCAAAAAATCAAAAGCATATTAAAAAATTCCTCACTGTCAGCCCTTTCCTGTTCCCACATCATCCTCCAACTTGGTAGCACATTATTAGCTTCTCCAACATCCTTCCAGAATTTCTTTATGCAAATGTTTTCATTTCTGCCTCCTTTATGCAAAAGATAGCACACTGTAGGCAGCCATCTGCACTTGCTTTTTTCACTTCATTCATCATGGAGGCCTTTCCATGCAAGTACACTGAGGGCACAGTAGTCTGCTGAAAGGAGCTGTCAAAACTTGTCTTATCATCCTAAACTTCCAGAAGCACCAGGAGGACCACAGTTAGGGATGTAATAAGGGAAGCGGCAGTAAAGGAGTCTCCAGGTAACAGACTTTTGCTACTAAAGTCTGGAACGCTTCTCCCTCCATGCCACGTGGCCATAAAGGCAAGAGATGTCAGAGTTCGCCACCGGAGACAGGGGACATGGCAGTAGCACTCATCACTGCAGAGCCCTCTACATCGGCACATCTAGTTGAAAGCTCTTTTGGTTTAAGAACACTAACATCATGTGAGACGGAGATGAACACAAAACCATTTTCTCATGTCCAAAGATTCATGTACACGGGCATAACGATCTTTGCTGTAGCATCAAAAGCTGGGAACAGACCAGGTGCAGTGGCTCCTGCCTGTAATCCCAGTACTTCAGGAAGCCATGGTGGGAGGATCACCTGGGCCCAGGAGTTCAAAACCAGCCTGGCTAACATAGTGAGACCCTGTCTCTACAAAAAATGTAAAAACTAGCCAGGTGTGGTGGTGCACGCCAGTAGCCCCAGCTACTATGGAGGCTGTGGCAGGAGGATCGCCTGAACCAGGAAGGTTGAGGCTGCAGCAAGCCAGGATCGTGCCCCTGCACTCTAGCTCCAGCCTGGGTAACAGAGTGAGACCGTGTCTCTAAAAAAAATGAAAATAAAAATAAATTTTAAAAAAAGCTGGAAATGATGTAAACTTCATCAGCCTCAAACTCCTACGCTCAAGCGATCCTCCCACCTCAGCCTCCCTAGTAGCTAGGGCTACAGGCAGGCACCATCATGCCCAGCTTTTTAAAATTTTTTATAGAGACAGTATCTGCTGTGTTGCCCAGGTTGGTCTCGAACTCCTGGGCTCAAGAAATTCCCCCGCCTTGGCCTCCCAAAGCACTTACAGTGTGGGAGCCACTGCGTCTGGCCACCCTTCCTTTTTTCTTCTTAAGATGCAGTCATGACAATCAATGCACGTGCCGAGCACAGTGGCTCACGCCTGTAATCCCAGCACTTTGGGAGGCCGAGGCAGGCGGATCACAAGGTCAGGAGATCAAGACCATCCCAGCCAACATGGTGAAACCCCATCTCTACTAAAAGTACAAAATTAGCTGGGCGTGGTAGCGTGAGCCTGTAGTCCCAGCTACTCGGGAGGCTGAGGCAGGAGAATCGCTTAAGCCCAGGAAGTGGAGGTTGCAGTGAGCCGAGATCACAACACTGCACTCCAGCCTGGTGACAGACTTAGACTCCATCTCAAAAAAAAAAGAGAGAGAATCAATGTACATAAACAAATTTCACCTTCTCCCAAAAAGGATTCAAGGTAGCTTATAAAGATGCAAACAGTAGAGAAAGATCAAATAAATGTTAAATAAAATAGTACAAAATGAAATTTCTTAAAAGAAAACTAAACAAAAGAAAAATAAGTTTAGAAAAGCAAGACAGACTCAAGTGAAGTATACTTTACAAATTGCATGGCATACACTTATAATCAAACAGGTAAGCTTGACACAAATTTTTCTTTTTTTGTTTTTGTTTTTGGTTTTTTTTGAGACAGGGTCCCACTCTGTCACCCTGGCTGGAACGCAGTGGCGCGATCACAGCTCATTTGTAGCATTAACCTCCCGGGCAGCTCATTTATAGCATCAACCTCCCGGGCTCAAGCAATCCTCCTACCTCTTCCTCCTAAGTAGCTGGGAACAACATGAAAGTTTTGACAGTCAAAGACTTCACTTGCCTGAGGCATTATGGGTCAGAGAAGAGTTGGCATAAATTTCCACTTGAATGAGTAGATGTGCTGAACAGGATGAATTATGAGATGCTGAAACCAGAAGGGTCTGGAGGATACAGGGGGACTCTGAGAAGGAATCTGTCTCATTGGAGGAACACCAGTCCAGACCTCTCTTCCACCTCACTGTCACTTCCAACACCTTCTGAAAGGAAAACATTGCTGTATTTTTAAAGTGACTCAAAACAGGGTCTATAAGAATACATAATGGAAAACACAATAAAAGTACACATCAGCCTCCGTTCATTTTATAAAAGGGAAATGTATACAGAGATGACACAGTTATCTTCAGTTCCCCCCCATAAACCTATGGTAACATGCAAGCCCTGATTCTTCTTCCTTAACATAAAAGCAAACAACTTCGGGATACTTAGAGAAAGCTAAACACAGATCTGATAAATAAACTCAGTTTATTGTACACCTTTTTAGTTTCTTTATCATCCTATCAGTGGAAGAGTAAATACACAAAAAAAGTCAATGAAAACAATCCTCAGTTTATCCCAGAATGACTTTAGACATGTACATGTTCACTCCTGGGGTACAAGCAGAGCTTGTCTTTCCTGTCCTTTTCTCTCCAGAATTGATGTTGCATATACTAGGTATCCAATAAACACTTATTAAATAGAAGATGCTTAATCTCTCCAGGTTTGAGTATCCTTACACATAAGCTCAGAGTTGGGCAAGATCAGTGGTTATGAAGCTTTTTTTTTTGAGACGGAGTCTCGCTCATCACCCAAGCTGGAGTGCAGTGGCGTGATCTCGGCTCACTGCAATCTCTGCCTCCCGGGTTCAAGTGATTCTCCTGCCTCAGCCTCCAAAGTAGCTGAGATTACAGGCACCCGCCATCACGCCCAGCTAATTTTTGTATTTTTAGTAGAGATGGGTTTCACCATGTTGGCCAGACTGGTCTTGAACTCCTGACCTCAGATGATCCGCCCTCCTCGGCCTCCCAAAGTGCTAGGATTACAGGCGTGAGCCACCGCGCCTGACCAGCTTTTTCTTTTTTTTTAAGAGACAGGGTCTTGCTCTGTTGCCCAGGCTGGATGAAGTGCAGTGGTGCGATCATAGCTCTCTGCAGCCCTGAACTCCTGGGCTCAAATAATCCTCTTGCCTCAGCTACCCCACCCCCCTCCAAGTATCTGGGACTGTAGGTGTACGCCACCCACCTAATTTTTTTTTTAATTGTTTTGTAGAGACGAGGTCTCGCTATGTTACAGGCTGGTCTGGAACTCCTGGGCTCAAGCAATCCTCCCGCCTCAATCTCCCAAAGCGCTATGAGTACAGGCGTGAGCCACGATGCCTGGCATAAAGCTTTTTTGAATCACTGACCCATTTGATGATCTAAAGGAAACTGGTGACCCTCTCATCAGAAAAATGCACATACACACAGAACTTTACATACAATTTCATAGAGTTCACAGACCCACTGAAATACATCCAAGGACTCCTAACCCCAGGGTAAGGAACCCGTGGGCTGGATAAGTGTCTACCAGATCCAACAGCCCACAATTTCATGATTGTTGAGAGCATGGAGAAAGCCATGCCTTGTTAAATAAAGAGAGCACTGCAGAAACCCTAGCTGGGGGCCTCTTCACAGGCTACAGAGAAGGTTTACTTCTGGCCTTACCGCACCGGGGATCACAGTCACGCTCCAGTCTTCCGTCTCATTGTTCAGCACTCCACACGTCGGAATTGGCAATATTCCTAAAGAAAGAAGACCAGCATGCAAAGGCAGCAAGGTCCAGCAGCTCAGGGGGTGCATTGAGTCAGACTGCCTAGGATGGACTCACATTACAGCCTAAGATTGGGCCCTTTACAAGCTGCTTGACACTGGGACAGTGACAACCTCTCTGAACTTGTTTCTTCCTTGGTCAAAGGGGATGAAAAGATATTACTGTTCTTACTAGGAAAATGGGATGATGCACGATGTTAGCTCAATGAATGCTAACCATTATTATTTCAGGCTTTCTTCGAACCTGTCCGTCTGTCCTCTTTGGCCTACAGCAGCCGCCCGATCCTTTTCTCCCCATGCGACTTTGCAGAGAACAGAGGCAGGGGGCCCCAAGGATGCCACCTCTCCAGGCTCCTTGGGAGGTCTGGATCCAGTCCAACCCCCACCCTCCCCAAAAGAGGGCCGGACTTTACCCGCCTCGTCCTGCAGCACTGCCAGGGACACGGTCACACCCTCGGTGTCTCCGACCAGGGACGCGCTGACCGCAGGGCCGGACATTCGGATAAAAGGAGGGATGAAAGCTAGGCGGGAAGGAAAGGGGACAAGGAGGGGTTAGCAGTGGAAGAATCACCGCCTAAGGTGTGTGTGGCGGCTTGCTTTGGCGTTGTCGACTCCCGAAGCTCCCGGGGGAGTCCAAGTCTGGCCCTTTTAACGCCCAGTCCCCTCAGCCCCGGCCCACCGAGGTCACTGCCGCGCCGTACACACCCAGGTCCCCCCACAGAAGCCTCAGGATGCCCTGCAGAAGGAAAAGCCTCAAAAGAAGAGCGGCCGGAGGCTGGAAGCCCATGCCTTAGACCTCGCGGGCCGGGCACAGCAGAACCGCGCCCTCATTAGAACCCAGGAAGGACTCAGACACGAAAACGCAGCAGCCACTGCCCCGCCGCCGCCATCTTGCAAGCGAACGCCCGGAGCTATGGCAACCACCAATCGGCGGCCGGCCAGGAGGAACGCCGCGCTGTGATTGGACCAGTGGCAAGAGCGGGCACCCCGGCCCCGCCCACAAGGCCTAGCATTTTTGCTGCTTGACTCTGGTGGGGAGAGTGAGGGCTGAAAAACTACCTATCCGGTGCTCCACTTAGTACCTGGGTGACGAAACAATCTGTGCACCCAACCCCCGTGACACGCAATTTACCTATATAGCAACCTGTACATGGACCCCTGGGCCTAAAAGTTGAAAACATCAAAATTAAAAAGGTCCTGAAAAGCAGGAGTGCGTGTCCGGCTCAAAAACTGGAGTTTTCCCCTACCCTGGAATTAATCCAACAATAGCCAAGAGCGATCCTATAGACACTGGCTTCTAAATAAAAAGGGTGGGACTTGCTCCTTAATAAACTTGATTTTTATACGGATTTGTTTTAGGGGTGAGTAGAAAAAGGGGATGGGGCTGCCGCGCTGTGTTTATTATCTTTACTATCGTTTATGATGTATTATTTATATTTTATATTTTTATAAAATAAATATATATTTACAAAATAGATATACTTTGTTTTATATATATATATCAGATATACATACTTGATATATATAAAATACATATAGGCCGGGTCTGGCGGCTCATGCCTGTAATCCCAGCAATTTGGGAGGCCGAGGCGGGCGGATCACAATGTCAGGAGTCTGAGACCAGCCTGATCAACATGGTGAAACCCCGTCTCTACTAAAAATACAAAAAATTAGCCAGGCGTGGTGGCAGGCGCCTATTATCCCAGCTACTCAGGAGGCTGAGGCAGGAGAATTGTATGAATCTGGGAGGCGGAGGTTGCAGTGAGCCGCGATTGCACCACTGCACTCAAACCTGGGCGACAGAGCCAGACTCCGTCTCAAAAATATATTTATTTATTTATTTATCTTATAAAATATATATGTATTTATATTTTATCTTATATATATTTATCTTTTATATAAGTATATATTTTGTAAATTTTATACTTATATGTTATAATTTTATAAAATTTATATTTTTATAATTCTTATCATTATCATTTATTATCACTATTGCTTTTATTATCATTCTCCTAGGTTTTTGAAGGATTTTCTCCCCTGCACAGAGCTCTCAGCACTCTGAAAGCAGATCCAATCACAGAACACACAAGAGGTTTTGCCCAGCAATAGGACAGATGTGAAAGAATCAAAATTCTGTCTGGAAAAAAATTGTTTTTTCTTATATCAGTAGCCTCAGAACATTTCAAATATTGTCACGGCTTGGGGACTGAGAGTGCAGGGTCTGAGGTCAGGCTGCCTGGCATGGGATTTCGCCTTCCCTCCACAGATATTCTCAGCTGTTAAGTGACTTTGGGCAAGTCAACCTCTCTAAGTTTCAGCTTCCTCATCTATAAAAAAGGGATGATAATAATCCTTCCTTGGGGATTGTGTGAGGATGAAATGAGGTAACATATCTAATGAGGTTAAACCAATGGCTGGCATACAGTAAGCACTCAGTTAATGATCAGTTACTTGTTAACTATCAGAGAGGTGGTGTATCCTTTAGCTGAGACAATCATGGTGTTCAGCATTGTGGCTGACTGACGGTAAATGCCAAGTAAATGTTTGCCATTATTAGTCTTTTTTTTTTTTCTTTTTGAGACAGGGTCTCACTCTGTCACCCAGGCTGGAATGGTGCAGTGGCACAATCATAGCTCACTGCATCCTCAAACTTCTGGGCTCAGCTGATCCTCCCACCTCAGCCTCCCAAGTAACTGGCAATACACCACCACACCCGGCTAATTTTTGTATTTTTTATAGAGACGGGGTTTCACCATGTGGCCCAGGCTGGTCTCAAACTCCTGGGCTCAAGTGATCCTCCTGCCTTGGCCTCTAAAAGTGCTGGGATTACAGGTATGGGCCACCGTACCCAGCCCCATTATTACTCTTAATGTTCAGTTATATATTCATTGATCAGCAAATCTAACATTGTGAAAGGATTCTGAAAGTTGAGGCTTTATAAGGGCCTGACACTGGGTGTTATCTTTTTCTTATACTCCCTGAAAAACTGTGGGTCACTACAGTTGTAACATGAGCATGAAACTTTTCCCGTGTACCTCAGCTCCTCTCTGGAAGACTGCAAAATGTTTACCTCTCTTGATATCTTGGAATGAAGCCTAGGAGAACGTTACTAAGAGGAAGCTGTCAAACACTTAAATATTTCTGTTATTCCCCATCTGTCTTTGGGGGGAATTAATCTGCAAATTAAGTTGGCAAGGCCAAGCGGTAAAGATTAAGAGATAAATCCTCCCAAAAGAAAACATTTCTGGGCCGGGCTTGGTGGCTTATGCCTGTAATCCCTGCACTTTGGGTGGCAAAGGCACATGGATCACTTGAGGCCAGGAGTTCAAGACCAACCTGGGCAACACAGAGAAACCCATCTCTACCCAAAAATACAAAAATTATCTGGGCGTGGTGGCGCATGCCCGTACTCCCAGCTACTCGGGAGGCTGAGGCAGGAGAATCGCTTGAACCCAGGGGTCGGATGTTGCAGTGAGCCGAGATCGCGCTACTGCACTCCAGCCTGGGCAACAGAGTGAGACTTCATCTCAAAAAAAAAGATAGAAAACACTTGAAGCTGGTGATCAGCAGCTTCCCGATAAGATCTCAGGAGTTGGGCAAGCAGGCTCATGCATACATAGTAAGAGGCAAGATGGCAGATTTTAACTGGTATATAACCTTCCTCTGGGAAGGCTCGACTGGTAAAGGAAAATGCCTCAAATGAGCATGCGCACAACTTCAGTAAACACACTGCACATGCGGCCCCTCCCAAGTGCTGGCAGGCCACTGACATGCAGACAGCCCACCCCAAGGAAAAATCAAGGGAGGGCACAAACCTCAGAACCATGCTAATGTATAGAAACCCCCAGTGAAGGGTCGGACGGGGCACTTGAATCTCTCAAGTCGCCCGCTTGGCCCTCTTCCAAGTGTACTTTACTTCCTTTCATTCCTGCTCTAAAACTTTTTAATAAACGTTTACCCCTGCTTTAAACTTTGCCTTGGTCTCTCACTCTGCCTTATGCTGCTTGGCCAAATTCTTTCCTCTGAGGAGGCAAGAATCGAGTTGCTGCAGACCTGTACAGACTCGTCACTGCTAACGGTGATCCAGGGAATTCTCCAAGATCGTACCCAAGATCACCAAGGTGGCACCTCTACAAATATGTAAACTATTCATATCTTGAGTAGTAGACTAAAAGGCAAACCTATCAAAAATAATAACTACAGCTTTTTAAGACATAGTATAATAAGATATAAATATTGTAGAAACAAAAAGTTAAAAATCAGAGGGATGAAGTTAGAGTATTAGTTTTCTCTGCTTGTTTTTGCAATCAGAGTTGTCATCAGTTTAAAATAATGGGTTATAAGATGGTATTTGCAAGCCTCATGCTAAACTCATATCAAAAAGCCTACAACAGATACACAAAAATATAAAGCAAGAAATTAAAACATACCACCAGAGAAAATCACTTTCATAAAAAGGAAGATGGAAGGAAGGGAGGAAGGGAAGATCAGAAAACAAATTTAAAAATGGCAGTAGTAAGTCCTTACTTATAAATAATAACATTGAATGTAAATGGACTAAACTCTCCAATCAAAAGACATAGAGTGGCTGAATAGATTTAAAAAAAAAAGACCTAATGATTAGCTGCCTATAAAAACTCTTCACCTATAAAGACACACATAGACTAAAAATAAAGGGATGGAAAAAGATATTCTAATGGAAACCAAAAAAGAGCAAAAGTAGCTATATACTTATATCAGATAAAATAGATTTTAAGACTAGGTGTGATGGCTCATGCCTGTAATCCCAACACTTTGGGAGGCCGAGGCAAGAGGAACCCAGGAGTTGCTTGAGCCCAGGAGTTCAAGACCAGCCTGGACAATACAGCAAGATGCTATCTCCACAGAAAAAGAAAAAAAAGAGGCCAGGCGCAGTGGCTCACACCTGCAATCCGAGCACTTCGGGAGGCCAAGGTGAGTGGATCATCTGAGGTCAGGAGTTCAAGACAAGCCTAGCCAACATGGCGAAAACCCATCTCTATTAAAAATACAAATATTAGGCTGGGCTCGGTGGCTCATGCCTGTAATCCCAGCACTTTGGGAGGCCGAGGTGGGAGGATCACGAGGTCAGGAAACTGAGACCATCCTGGCTAACATGGTGAAACCTCATCTTTACTAAAAATACAAAAAAATTAGCTGGGCATGGTGGCAGGTGCCTGTAGTCCCAGCTACTTGGGAGGCTGAGGCAGGAGAATGGCGTGAACCCGGGAGGCAGAGCTTGCAGTGAGCTGAGAACACACCACTGCACTCCAGCCTGGGCGACAGAGCGAGACTCTGCCTAAAAAAAAAAAAAAAAAAAAATTAGCTGGTCGTGGTGGCAGGTGCCTGTAATTGCAGCTACTCGGGAGACTGAGGTGGGAGAATCACTTGAACCCGGGAGGTGGAGGTTGCAATGAGCTGAGATCATGCCACTGCACTCCATCCTGGGTGACAGAGTGAGACTCTGTCTCAAAAAAAAAAAAAAAAAGTGGTAAAGAAGGTCATTATATAATAAGAGGCTCAGCAAGAGAATATAACTATTGTAAACATATATGCAGCCAATACTGAAGCATTCAGATATATAAAGCAAATATTATTAGGGCTAAAGAAAGAGATAGACCCCAGTACAATAACAGTTGGAGACTTCAACCTCCCACTTTCAGCATTGGACAGATTATCCAGACAGAAAATCAACAAGGAAACATCAGACCTAATTTGCACTATAGACCAAATGGACCTAATAGATATTTATGGAACATTTCATCTAATGGCTATAGAATACATTCTTCTAAGCACATGAATCATCGTCAAGAATAGATCATATGTTAGGTCACAAGTCTTTACAAAAAAAAAATAATAATAAGAACAAGCATCTCTCTCTTTTTTTTTTTTCTTGAGATGGAGTCTCACTCTTGTCCCCCAGGCTGGAGTCCAATGGCACGGTCTTGGCTCACTGCAACCTCCGCCTCCCAGGTTCAAGCGACTCTCCTGCCTCAGCCTCCTGAGTAGCTAGGATTACAGGTGTGCACCACCACGCCCAGCTAATCTTTATATTTTTAGTAGAGACAGGGTTTCACCATGTTGGGCAGGCTGGTCTTGAACTCCTGACCTCAGGTGATCCACCCACCCGGTTTCCCAAAGTGCAGGGATTACAGGCATGAGCCACCATGCCCAGCCCCAGATCAAGCATCTTCTCTGATCACAATGGAATAAAATCAGAAATCAATAACAAGAGGAACTTTGGAAAGTATACAAACACAAGGAAATTAAACAGCATGCTGCTGAATGATCAGTAGGTCAATGAAGAAATTAAGAGTTGGATTTTTTTTTTTTTTTTTTTTGAGACAGAGTCTTGCTCTGTCACCAGGCTGGAGTGCAGTGACACGATCTCAGCTCACTGCAACCTCCGCCTCCCGGGTTCAAGCAATTCTCCTGCCTCAGCCTCCTGAGTAGCTGGGACTACAGGTACCCGCTACCACGCCCAGCTAATTTTTTGTATTTTTACTAGAGATGGGGTTTCACCATGTTGGCCAGGATGGTCTCATTTTCTTGACCTTGTGATCCGCCCACCTCGACCTCCCGAAGTGCTGGGATTATAGGCACGAGCCACTGCGCCCGGCCATTAAGAGGGAAAATTTAAAAACTCCTTGAAACACACGAAAATGGAAAAACATACCAAAACCTATGGAATACAGCAAAAGCAGTACTAAGAGGAGACCTTATAGCAGTAAGTACCTTTATCAAAAAAGTAGAAAAACTTCAAATAAACAACCTAATGATGCTTCTTAAAGAACTAGAAAAGAGTAAACCAAATCCAAAGTTAATATTAGAAAAGAAATAATATGGTGGCTCACGTCTATAATCCCAGCACTTTGGGAGACCAAGGCAGGTGGATCACCTGAGGTCAGGAGTTCATAACCAGCCTGGCCAACATGGTGAAACCCCATCTCTACTAAAAATACAAAAATTAGCCAGACATGGTGGCACATGCCTGTAGTTCCAGCTACTTGGGAGGCTGAGGCAGGAGAATCGCTTGAACCCAGGAGGCAGAGGTTGCAGTGAGCCGAGATTGTGCCACTCCACTCCAGCCTGGGGGACAGCGCCAAGACTCCGTCACAAAAAAGAAAAGAAAAGAAATAATAAAGAGCAAGAGCAGAAATAAATGAAACTACAAGTTAAAAAATTCAGAAGATCAACAAAATGAAAAGCTGGTTTTTTGAAAAGAAGAAAATTGACAAACCTTTAGCCAGACTAAGAAAAAAAAGACCCAAATAAGTAAAATCAGAGATGAAGAAGACATTACAACTGATATCACAGAAATTCAAAGGATCATTAGAGACTACTATGAGCAACTATATGCCAATAAATTGGAAAACCAGCAGGGCGCAGTGGCTCACGCCTGTAATCCTGACACTTTGGGAGGCTGAGGTAGTGGACACTTGAGGTCAGGAGTTCGGGACCAGCCTGGCCAACATGGCAAAACCCCGTCTCTACTAAAAATACAAAAATTAGCCGAGTGTGGTGGCGCATGCTTGTACTCCCAGCTACTTGGGAGGCTGAGGCGGGAGGATCACTTAAATCTGGGAGGCAGAGGTTACAGTGAGTGGAGATCGTGCCACTGTACTCCAGCCTGGGTAACAGAGTAAGACTCTGTCTCAAAAAAAAAACAACAACAACAACAAAAGAACTACAGACCAATATCTCCGATGAACATTGATGCAAAATCCTCAACAAAACACCAGCAAACCAACTTCAACAACACATTAAAAAGATCATTCAGGCCGGGCATGGTGGCTCACACCTGTAATCCCAGCACTTTGGGAGGCCAAGGTGGGTGGATCACTTGAGGTCAGGAGTTCGAGACCAGCATGGCCAACATGGTGAAACCCCGTCTCTACTAATAATACAAAAAAATTAGCCGGGCATGGTGGCGCATACCTATAATCTCAGATACGCAGGAGGCTGAGGCAGGAGAATCGCTGGAACCCAGGTGGCAGAGGTTGCAGTGAACCGTGATCAGGCCACTGCACTCCAGCATGAGTGACAGAGCAAGACTCCATCTCAATACAAAAAAAAAACAAACCAAAAAAAAAACAGATAATTCAATCAGGTGTGGTGGCTCATGCCTGTAATCCCAGCACTTGTGGAGGCCAAAGCAGGTGGATCACCTGAGGTCAGGAGTTCAAGACCAGCCTGGCCAACATGGTGAAACCCAGTCTCTACTAAAAATCCAAAAAAATTAGCTGGGCATGGTGGCAGGCACCTGTAATCCCCGCTACTTGGGAGGCTGAGGCAGGGAAATCGTTTGAACCAGGAAGGCAGAGGTTGCAGTGAGCTGATATCACACCATTGCACACCAGCCTGGGTGACAAGAGCGAAACTCCATCTCGAAAAAAAAAAAAAAAAATCATTCATCATGACCCAGTAGGATTCATCCCAGGGATGCAAGGATGGTTCAACAGGATGGTTCAACATAGGCAACTCAATCAATGTGATACATCGTGTCAACCGAAGGAAGAACAAAAGCCATCTGATCATTTCAATGGATGCTCAAAAAGCATTTGATAAAATTCAACATCCTTTCATGATAAAAACCCTCAAAAAACTGGGCAAAGAAGGAACATACTTCAACACACACACACAAAAGCCACATATAACAGACCCACAGCTAGTATCGTACTGAACAGGAAAAAAACTGAAAACCGTTCCTCTGAAATCTGGAACATGGTAAGGATGCCCACTTTCACCACTGGTATTCAACATAGTGTTGAAAGTCCTAGCTAGAGCAATAAGTCCTGAGAAAGAGATAAAAGGTATTCAAATTAAAAAGGAAAAAGTAAAATTATCCTTGTTTGCAGATGATACGATCTTATATCCGAAAAAACCTAGACACCACCAAAAAACTATTAGAACTGATGAAATAAGTAAAGTGGCAGGATACAAAATCAACATACAAAAACCAGGAGCATTTATTTATTTAGAGACAGGGTCTCACTCTGTCACCCAGGCTGGAGTTCAGTGGCATGATCATGACTCATTGTAACCTGCGCCTCTTGGGCTCAAGCGATCCTCCCACCTTAGCCTCTGGAGTAGCTGGGACTACAGGCATGAACCACCTCACCTGGCTAATTTTTATATTTTTTTTAGAGACAGGGTTTTGCCATGCTGCCCGGGCTGGTCTTGAACTCCTAGGCTTAAGTGATCCTCCTGCCTCAGCCTCCCAAAGTGTTGGGATTACAGGCGTGAGCCACTGCACGCAGACCAAGATTTGAAATTAAAGTACTTCGGAGTTGAATAAAAAATTGTCTGGCATTTGACCAAATGCAGTTTAAAAGTACACATTTGAAGAAGAGTTGAATGAGCATGAGATAAACAATGAATGAAAGGAAATAATTCAACCAAATATGAAAATCAAATTATTTTATTGTAAAAATTTATATAAAATAACTCATAAGGGCAACAGTTAAAAACAAGTTAAACAGAACTAACCAAATATATAAGATATTTCAAATAAAAAAGTAATAATAAAAGCCTTGCTAGCTTGTTTGAAAGTATATATAATACTTTATTTCCTAGACTTAAAATTGTGATTTCCATTACACTTAATTAGTATACAAAATATTATTTTTAAAAGACAGGTTCTCAAACTCAAGGATTAACAAATATTTGCAAAGTGATCACCAAAGTCTTTGTATATTTGTTAACAAAAACACAAATCCAGAATATAAAATCTATCTGAAATTATCTAAGCCAACATCAAATTATTTAAATATGACTCAGCTTGTATAAAGAGAAAATTAAAATCTTCCTTACATACAAAGTTTTGTACACAATGGGTTTTATCAGTACAGACTTTTTTTTTTTTTTTTTTTTTGAGACAGAGTTTTGTTCTTGTCGCCCAGGCTGGAGTGCAATGGCGCAATCTTGATCTTGGCTCACTGCAACCTCCACCTCCTGGGTTCAAGCAATTCTCCTGCCTCAGTCTCCTGAGTAGCTGGGATTACAGGCACCTGCCACCACGCCCAGCTAATTTTTGTATTTTTAGTAGAGACAGGGTTTCACCATGTTTTCACCACGTTGGGCAGGATGGTCTCAAATTTCTGCCTCATGGGTTCAGTAGAGTAGTAATCCCAGCTACTTGGGAGGCTGAGGCAGGAGAATGGCGTGAACCCAGGAGACAGAGCTTGCAGAGAGCCGAGCTTGCACCACTGCACCCCAGCCTGGGCAACAGAGCGAGACTCTGTCTCACAAAACAAAACAAAACAGAAACCCAGCCTGATCACTCCTGACCTCGTGATCCACCCACCTTGGCCTCCCAAAGTGCTGGGATTACAGGCGTGAGCCAACGTGCCCGATCTTTTTTTTTTTTGATACAGAGTCTCGCTCTGTCACCCAGGCTGGAGTACAGAGGCGCTATCTTGGCTCACTGCAACCTCTGCCTCCTGGATTCAAGCAATTCTCTTGCCTCAGCCTCCCGAGTAGCTGGAACTACAGGCACCTGCTACTTCGCATGGCTAATTTTTCTATTTTTAGTAGAGACAGGGTTTCACCATACTGGCCAGGCTGATCTTGAACTCCTGACCTTGTGATCTGCCTGCCTCGGCCTCCCAAAGTGCTGGGATTGCAGGGGTGAGCCACCACGCCCGGCCTCGTCAGTAAACATTTTTAAAAAACAAACCAAACCAGCCACCATTCCTTAAACTCTTTGTACAAATATGTGCTAGAAGCTAAAAGGACTTTTAATAATTTCAAGATTACATAAAGAAATACATTTTTTGTTGTTGAAATTACAAATACTTTTGCTTTTGAACTTATAAACACTTTTGGGATTCAGTCCAAAGCTTCTAGAGAACAGTTTTAATAAATACATTTAAATTTTTAGTAGAGATGGGGTCTCACTTTGCTGCCCAGGCTGCTCTCGAACTCCTGGGCTCAAGCAATCCTCTGTCCTCAGCCTCCCAAAGTGCTGGGATTACAGGTGCAGTTTCAATATTAATGTGGATTTTTTTTCCTCATTAAAAAAGGAAAGAATTCTATCTGAAAACCATACTTAACATAGAGTCCATTTTCTCCAGTAAGTTCTCCCTCAAAACCAGTCATAAGCTTTCACATATAAGCTCTTCCCACAACTATTTTGAAGAAAATTTGCTTCTGTACACGTTCTCCTTACTCATTTAAAATGAGATTTTGTAGTTATTTGGTGACAAACTATTATTTAGATGACTTTGTCCAAATATGTACTGATATCAGACAAAAAGTAAATATCTGCAAATATCTGAGGCTGTCTCAATTTAGACAATAAGAATTTTATTCACATGACTACTGAAGTTAACTGTTGATTCAAATAAGATGTTCTATGTTGATTAATGCCATTACTCCACAAATAGTCCCTTTTTCCAAAGCTACGTTCAAATTTCGTATGGCATGCATTTCACAATGAGGACCCGGATTCAGGGAGTAGGTTAGAAAGCCTATGATGAGTCATGACAAGCTGACTTTGACTAATAGTCATCCCATTAAAAAAATGAAAGCCACAAACATGGACAGAAACCAGTCATAGAATATTTTAGGATATAATGCATAGAATGATTCCCTCAAACAAATCAGTCCTCCAGAAGCACAGGATGAAAAGGATGTTTGGGAAATATTTTCTGTAAGGTCACCATATTAAAAATTATCCTATACCTATCTTTATTTTTTTCAGTCTTCCCAACAAAGAATCTGCTATATAATTTCTATTAACAGCTCTAAAAGATGGGGAAAATATTTTATCCTCAGGCAGACACTTTCAGTTTCTTTTTCTTGGCTTTCAGCACTGGAGGCAGAGAAATTTTAAAGGCTGTCCTGAAATTACAGAGAGGAAAACATTTTTTAATGTTCTAGAGCTGTGAAGTATTAGCCACCCACACAATCTCAAAGATACTTACTCGCACGTAGTACAAATGGGGCTGAAATTGCAGAATACTGTAAATTAAAAAAAAAAAGAAACAATAGGGTGGCTGAAAAACAACACAGCTGAGAAACTGTTTTCCTGCCCCCCAACATAGAAAAAAAAGAAAAACTAGGTACATTAACTTACTTGACAAACACACAGAACAGACATAACCAATTTCAATGAGATTTCGATGACAGAAGCAAGCAGCCCTGTAGTCAACATGAACTGGGGGTGGGAGGATTAACTGAGATCTCTGATCTTGATCGGGAAGAAACACCCACTGTAAAACAAACAAACAAAAGAAACTTTTATTTAAAACATGGGAAAAAAATAACATGAAGCCCACCCTTCTAGGCCTTGGAACTCCAAGGCCTCCATTTATTCCCTTCTCCTGAGTACTAGCACCAGCCATCTTGCTTCCATTCCTTTCCCAGGACACAGAGGTCATCCTTCCCTCCAGGCATCAGGGTCGCCGCTGCTGTCTCCTTACCAGCAAATACTGCAGAAGAGAAGGCATCTGAGGCACCTTCAGGTACAGTCCTCCCGTGATGTCACAAGCCTGCAAGACACAGGCGGCTTGCTGCCAAACTCGCACTTACCTAGGGTTTCCAGAGGAATGAGGTTCTCATGAGCAATGCCTTGGGCCTACAAAATCAGAGGAGGATATGACACTGCAGATTATTATTATTTTATTTTTATTTTTATATTTTGACAGAGTCTTGCTCTGTCGCCCAGGCTGGAGTGCAGTGGCACAATCTCGGCTTACTCCAACCTCTGCCTCCTGGGTTCAAGTGATTCTCCTGCCTCAGCTTCCCCAGTAACTGGGATTACAGGCATGCGCCACCATGCCTGGCTAATTTTTGTATTTTTAGTAGAGACGGGGTTTCCCCAGTCACATGGTAATTCTATGCTTAACTTTTCGAGGAAGTTCTGAACTGTTTCCTGAAGTGGCTATACCATTTTACATTTCCAGCAGCAATGTAGGAGGGATCCAATTTCTCTATATCCTCACCAATATTTATTATTAGCTGACTTTTTGATTACATGTGTCCTAGTGGAGTGAAGTAATAGCTCATTGTGGTTTTGATTTGCACTTCCCTGGTCGGTAATGATATTAAGCATCTTTTCATGTGCTTCTTGGCCATTTGCAGATCTTTGGAGAAATAGCTGTTCAATCCTTGGCCCACTTTGAAATGAGTTATTTGTCTTATTTTTGAATTTTAAGAGTTCTTTATATAATCAGAATACTAGTCCCTTTATCAGATACATCATTTGCAAATATCTCTCCCAGTTGTCTTTTTACTTTCTTGATAGTGCCCTTGGAAGCACAAAAATTTTTAATTTTTATGAGATTTGTTTTCATTGTATTTTGTTAATTTTATTATGTAAAAAGAAACTGTGAGATGGCTTTATTCTGTTCTCTTTAAGAAATAACACTTTTTTGTCCAGGTGCAGTGGCTCATGCCTGTAATCCCAGCACTTTGGGAGGCCAAGGCTTCAGGACTGTTTGAGCCCAGGAATTCAAGACCAGCCTGAGCAACATAGTGAAACCCTGTCTCTACAATAAATTTAAAAAATTAGGCCGGGCGCGGTGGCTCACGCCTGTAATCGCGGATCACTTGAGGTCAGGAGTTCGATACCAGCCTAACCAATAGAGTATAAAACCCTGTCTCTACTAAAAATACAAAAATTAGCTGGGCGTAGTGGCGGGCACCTGTAATCCCAGCCGCTTGGGAGGCTGAGGCAGGAGAATCGCTTGAACCCAGGAGTTGGGGTTTCAGTGCACCGAGATCGTACCATTGCACTCCAGCCTGGGCAACAAGAGTGAAACTGTCTCAAAAAATTAAAAAATTAGCCAGGCATTGTAGTGCATGCCAGTGGTCCCAGATACTTGGGAGACTGAGTGGGAAGATCATTTGAGCTGGGGAGGATAAGGCTGCAGTGAGCCATGATCATGCCACTGCATTCCAGCCTGGGCAAGAGCAAGACTCTGTCTAAAAATAAAATAAAATAAAATAAAAATAAAACTCTTTTGAATTTGGTCCTCTTTTTCCAAACTTTTGCTATCTTCAGAGTTTTCCAAAGACACAAAACACTCAAGCTCTCCTGGTTGCTGACACTAAGGTTTCCTGTCCATGTTAATAGTTTTTCCCAACAATCATTCATCTATTCATTTCATAAACACAGCTTTCTCGCTTTAACACAGCAGTGCTTCCATTTACACTGAAAACCCTAGCTCCGATCCTAGGACCCTGAGGCTCCTCTGATAGTACAGTCCTGGTTCAGTTGGTCCGTTAGATTCATTTACACATTTAACAACTGTTTTAGAGCACTGTGCAGGGTTACAGCAGTAAACATCACAGTGTCCATCCTCATGAAGTTAAGGTTCTAGTGGAGAAGGCAGAGAGTAAATCAGGTAAGTAAATGCAAAAATAATGTTATAGGTTATGATCATTTCTATGAAGAAAAATAAAGTAGGCTAAGGGGAGAGGGAGTAACACTAACAATGGTGGTCAGGGAAGGCTTCTCTGAGGAGGTGGCACAGAAGTAGAGACGTGAAGGCAGGCAGGGAGTAGGCCATGCAAACACCTGCGGGAAGAGCTTGCGAGCAGAGAGAACAGAAAGTGCAGCGCCCCTCTGGCCGAAGCAGGCCTGTTTCAGGCAATAGCAAGGGGGCGGTGGGGCCGGACTGAAGAGGGAGAGTGTGGAAGATGCGGGGCAAAAGGTTCCCAGGAGCCTCAGCAAGCAGCATCTGGAAGGCCCTGGCAGGCCCTGACTCTGGGTTTTAGTCAACGTATGATGCTAGGCTATGGGAGGGTTTTAAGCAAGTGAGCAACAGGTTCTAATTTATATTAGGTTGGTGCAAAAGTAATTGCAGTGTTTACTGTTAAAAAAAAAAAAGGCAAAAACCACAATTACTTTTGCACCAATCTTGTATTTTGAAAGCTTCATTCTGACAGCTGTTCTGAGAACCAACTTTCACATTTTTTTTTCTTAAGAGGGAGACAGGGTTTCCCTGGAGTGCAGTGGCATGATCGTAGCTGACTGCAGCTTCGAACTCCTGGCTCAAGCAATCCTCCTGCCTCCACCTCCCGAACAGCTGAGACTACAGGCGTGCACCACCATGATAGGCTAATTTTTTTGTATTGTTTATAGAGATGGTGTCTCGCCATGTTGCCCAGGCTGGTCTTAAACTTCTGAGCTCAAGCCATCCACCCGCCTGAGCCTCCCAAGTGCTGAGATTATAGGCATGAGCCACTGAGCTCAGCCAGGATATATTTTAAAGGCAGAATCAACAGGATTTGCTCATGGTTATGAAAGGAGGGAAGAGAAGAGACAAGGAAGAGTCAGGTTTTTGCTTGAGTTGCTGAGTGAACTGCACTGCCACTTAGGGAGATGGGGCTACCAGTGGAGCAGGAAGAGGCTGAGAGGACAAACCAAGAGCTCTCTGCTTTTGACACATGACACTGAAGATGCCTGCCAGACGTCCAAGAGGAGGTACTACGTACACGGCTGATTCTGCAAGTCTGGAACTCAGGAGAGTCTGGGACTGGACTAGAAAAATGAATGTGAGGGCTGAGGAGGTAGAGCTGGTATGTGAATTCATGGCAGAGACAAGATCGTCTTGGAGTTAATAGACAATGTGTAGACTGAAATGTGTTGCTAAAAAATGAATTCAAACTTTTTGAATTTTTACTACTGAAATATAATATGTACAAGAGTCTGTATACATAATGTGTAAGTATGGTTTAAATAATAAAATGAACATCATATACCTACGATCAAGCTGAAGAAACAGTACAATCTCAGAGCCTTTGAAGCATGTAAATTTTCCCATTGGACCTCGCTCTCCCCATCCTTCATCCCCAGCAGTAACCTAAATTCAGGGTTTGTCATAGTTTTGTGCTTGTAACTGATCCTTTAGGAAACAACATTTGTGGCCAAAAAACATCTAACAAAAACTCAGTAATTTCTTCAGACTTACTTTAGGGTTTTGTTTCCCTTTCGGGTTAAAGTAAAATTCAGTTTTTGTCTTTTAGTGCTGCCCAACGGAAATATAACGCAAGCAATATGTAATTTAAAATTTTCCAGTAGCTCCATACGTAAGGGGGAAAGACATAGATAAAATTAGGCTGAATAACATATTTTATTTAACCCAATATACCCAAAGCTTTCATTTTAAATTGTAATCAATATAAAAATCACTAATTGTCATAACCACCGACACAAAGCATGGTTTTAAAACATACCTGTTGGAGGAGCCCTGAGTCGGAGTCTAAAACACAGGCATCAATCAAAATATTCTAAAAGAAACATTTTGAAAATATTACAGGAATAATAACAATAATGATTACCCTATACTGAGAACCTACTACATGCCATACTCTATGCTTAAAATAGCTCACTCAATATGCAACGTGACTCTGCACGGCAGATATTTGCATTTGGCAGCTGAAGCACCCAGGACATGGCTGGGCTGTGGTCACAGAGCCAGCGGGTGAGAAAGCTGTCACCCCACTCGGCATGTCTCCAAAGTCCAGGCTCTTTTCACTACATCATGCTGCCACTCCACAACAGAGAACATTATGCATGGCTATAGCAGCATTTTACATTAAAACTGAAATTTTAAGGAGGTTTTCTTTCTTCATAAACACACCAAAGAAGAAAATGTATTATACTTCATCTGAACATTTCAGCTCTTTGCAAAGTAAAAATACTGAATTTTTACAGCTTCGCCACAGCAACAAGATAA
The DNA here is from genome assembly GCF_000001405.40 of Homo sapiens. NCBI lineage: Eukaryota > Metazoa > Chordata > Mammalia > Primates > Hominidae > Homo > Homo sapiens. The sequence continues at coordinate 123,655,321 of NC_000012.12, read as the reverse complement.
AGAAACTGATGCAAGGTTTATACAGCAAACTGTCAAACCAGGGATTCTTGGCATGGGGTCCAAGGATGGGCTAAAGGTTACCTGAATACCATGAAACTCTATGCAAAACTGTGGTTGAGTGCATATTGTTTTGGGAATGCATCAGATTCTCAAGTGGTCCAGGACCCAAAATAGAGAAAAGACTAGAACATAATACAGATTCTGGATTCCTTGCCCATTCATAAGCCTACGTAGTCAGAATACCTCAGAGTAGAGCATTCAAAAAATGAAATTGACTCCTTCGTTATGAAACAAATACTTTAAACGGCAGGCTCTCAGTTCACCTGTTTCTGTGCTGCAAAGATGACATTCATGAAGTTCATATACTGCAACGCACTGTCTTCTGCAGCCTTAATCACCTAAAAATCACAGTCATGTTAATTCCACCCAGGCACATGCCAGTCCTCTCACACCAATGTCACACAATATACTGCGAACCACAACCAACATTATTCCAGTTTGTCTTCCCATTTATCATTGTTAAATGATACCTAAAGTATAAAGATGACAGTAACATTTCCCCCGAAATCCCGCTCCACGTAACGGTTTGATGAACTCATTCTGGAGAGCACCTACATGGGCAGGTATATACATGCACACCCAAAACACAAACACACACATACACAAAATAAACACATACGCACATATACCCAAAATACACACACGCCCCCAAAATACACACACCTACCCACCCAAAATACACACATGCACCCCCAAAATACACACACACACCCAAAAATACACACACTCCAAAATACACACCCAAAATACACCCATACCCCAAATACACACACCCCAAATACACATACACCCAAAACACACACATATACAAAATACACACACGGACATACACCCAAAATACACAGGTAAGTACACCCAAAATACACACACACACAACCAAAATACACGTACCCCAAAAGTACACACACCACTAAATACACACACCCAACACACACACACAACCAAATACACAGCCCCAAAAAATACACATCCAAAACATACCCCCCAAAATACACCCCCCCAAAATATACACACCCCAAATACACACATAAAACAAACACAAACCCAAAATACACCCAAAACACACAAACACACCCCAAATACATACACACACCCAAAACACACACACATCCAAAATATACACACATACACACATCCAGAATACACACACATCCAAAATACACACACTCACACGTATCAAGATGATTACTTAGCATTCTGCAACCTGCTTTTTCAGTCCACAATATATGTGGGAAAAAATATTCTAATGTCAATGAATTATAATATATACTATGCTCCTTGCGGACTTCATAAATTTCCACTATTTAAGCAGTTTCCAGTTCTCAGTTTTAAACAATACCCTGATGATACCCTCATATACCATCTGCACAGCTCTCTAATTACCTCCGGAAAATAAGCAGTGATTACTAAAGTATATGAACATTTAATTTTGACACAGATTACCAAAATGCACCCCAGAAAAGATTTTTACCAATTTATCCTCCTATCAGCAACCCATGAGAATAAGCAATCCCCAACATCACCATCAACCCTGGGAACTGCCAGCTTTTTCATTTGTGCTAAGCAACAAACAATGAATATCTCGTTACTTGGCACTTCTTTTTTTTTTTTTTGAGACAGAGTCTCGCTCTGTTGCCCAGGCTGGAGTGCAGTGGCGCAATCTCGGCTCACTGCAACCTCTGCCTCCTGGGTTCACGCCATTCTCCTGCCTCAGCCTCCCGAGTAGCTGGGACTACAGGCGCCCACGACATTTTTTGTATTTGTACTAGAGACGGGGTTTCACCATGTTAGCCAGGTTGGTTTCGATCTCCTGACCTCGTGATCCACCCGCCTTGGCCTCCCAAAGTGTTGGGATTACAGGAGTGAGCCACCGTGCTCAGCCTTGAATTTCTTTTTTAAATCTCCCCACCCTGCCAGGAAAAAAAAAAACCTCCCTGATATTCTGACTGAGATTGTAAATTGAATTTACAGTGTGATTTTGGGAAAACTGACATCCAAGAACAAAATATGGCTCTCCACTTATTCTTCTATCGCTCTCAGAATTTTAGTTTTCCTTATCATCAGTTTTACACATTGCTTGTTAAATGAATCCTGGATAGTTAACATTTTTTGCTCCTACTATAAATGCGTTTTATTTCCCATTATGTTTTCTTTTTTTTTTCTTTTTGAGACGGAGTCTCACTCTGTCACCCAGGCTAGAGTGCAGTGGTGTGATCTCGGCTCACTGCAACCTCCAGCTCACTGCAACCTCTGCCTCCCAGGTTCAAACGATTCTCCTGCCTCGGGATCCCAAGTAGCTGGGACTATAGGCATGCACCACCACGCCCAGCTAATTTTTGTATTTTGAGTAGAGACGGGGTTTCACCATGTTGGCCAGGCTGGTCCCGAACTCCTGACCTCAAGTGATCTGCCCACCTCGGCCTCCCAAAGTGCTGGGATAACAGGTGTGAGCCACCACACCTGGTCTCCCGTTATGTTTTCTAATTATAGTTGTCATATAAAAAAGTAATGATTTTTTTATCTTACCAATATCCTTGATTTCATTTCCTGATTGTCTACAAAGAGAAAAAAGCAGAAAAAAATTTAACTAAATCTTACTAATCATATATGGTTTCCTAACCAATTTTTAAACAGTCTAGTAAAGAAATACTAGTAAAATAAGTAGGATTACAGTTCTCATAGGAAAACGTAGGCTCTTACCTTTAACTTCCTTGTTCATTCTATGAATGTCTTAATTTCTTAACATTAAGGAATACAAAAATATTATTTTGCTTCATAAATATTTATAGTAAAAAGAAAAATAACCTCCAATTTTAAATAAACCCAGCATCTACCTAGCTAAGAAGGGAAATGCTCCACTCACCAAGATAAATACACAAGAGTGATTGGGGGTTTTCAGTTCCTAACTCTGCAGTCAACTGGACTTTGTAATCTCACCAAAATATAATCTCTGTCCCAGAAAATTAAAATTCCCAACACTTGACTGTCCTATTCTTACCTACCATGTCCTAAATTTGAATCCTGGGACAAGTACTGATTTACAAATATGTTCAGGCAACCCACATCAAACTCCAGGACAAAATAATCACTCAATACTGCCCCTCCTCCAAAAAATTAATGCCATAAGACTGAGAAAACGTCACACAGATAAAATGAAAAGGTATTGCCCTATGCAAAACAACCCGTTCACCTATGGAGAAGGAGCCACTCATTTATTAAGCTTCAGGGCTCCTAAATGGCTTTTAAAAATCAAACACTGTTCCCAAGTCAAGAAGAAAATGAAAATGTTTAAAAAGTCTGAATTTATCAAAATAAGAAACAAGAAAGCACCCTGAAGCAGTGTTTCCTGAAGGCAGAAAGACATAATGGAGAAGCTAGAGTTTTCTCACTCTTCCCCACTTCCAGTTTTTACAGCTTATCTTTTTTTCTTTTTTTTTTTTTTGAGATGTAGTCTCGCTTTGTCGCCCAGGCTGGAGTGCAGTGGTGCGATTTCAGCTCACTGCAAGCTCTGCCTCCCAGGTTCACGCTATTCTCCTGCCTCAGCCTCCCTAGTAGCTGGGACTACAAGTGTCCGCCACCACGCCCAGCTAATTTTTTTGTATTTTTAGTAGAGACGGGGTTTCACTGTGTCAGCCAGGATGGTCTTGATTTCCTGACCTCATGATCCGCCTGCCTCGGCCTCCCAAAGTGCTGGGATTACAGGCATGAGCCACCACGCCCGGCCTTTACAGCTTGTCTTAATAAACATTTCAAAGCCAGCCACACACTGTGGCCTGTAATCCCAGCACTTTGAGAGGCCGAGGTGGGTGGATCACTTGAAGTCAGGAGTTAGAGACCAGCCTGGCTAACTTGGTGAAACTACATCTCTACTAAAAATACAAAAAAAATTAGCCGGGAGTGATGGCGGGTGCCTGTACCAGCTACTTGGGAGGCTGAAGCAAGAGAACTGCTTGAATCTGGGAGGCGAAGGTTGCAGTGAGCCGAGATTGTGCCACTGCACTCCAACTTGGGCGACAGAGTGAGACTGTCTCAAAAAAAGAAAAAAAAATTCAAAGCCAATGTAAACTATTTTTTAAAAAATTACCCTCCACTTCAGAGTACTCACATGTCCCAGTAATGGGCACCCAAGGTCCTAAGAAATGTCACAAGTTAAGATATGTTTATTACAGAAGACACCTTCTAAATGATTCAGACACCAAGGATACAGCAAAGGGCTTTGGCCAGGGATCCTGCCAGCAAAGTTTCTGTATGTTGACCCTTTATGTCACCTGCAAATAACAGAAAACATTAAAAGGGAATTTTTAAGTACTTTCTTGAACTAAAATCATTGGGTGCTTTATTGAACTAAGTATGCTTTCACACCAAAGCATTCTTCATAAATGAAATCAAACAAGACATTTTCAAACTAGGTTTAAAAACATAGCAATGTGTTCTTGGTAATGGTTAACTAAGCAACTTTTTAACCTTTTCTCAATGTAAAACATCCTGGTGGTTGTTCAGGGGCTAGCCAGAGGGCAGGGGGAACAGGGAGTTAGTGTCTAATGGGTACAGAATTTCAGTTTGTAAAGATGAAAAAGTTCTGGCGATGGATGGCGGTGATGATTGCAAAAGAAGGCGAATATACTCAACATTACTGAACTGTACACTTAAATATTGTCAAAATGGTAAATTTTATGGTAAGTAAATTTTACATTAAAAATTCTAAAAATCGGTAAAATGGCAAATTTTGTTATTTGTACTTTACCATACATACACACACAAAAAGATCCCGTTTTTACTTGGAAAGGTTCCAGTTTATTCATGATCTATGTGGTACAAAATGTCACGCATAAGTCTAGCAGCCTGGACAGGGTACAAGGCTCTGAGGCCCCCTTGCCCTCCCTCTCCCACCATCCCCTCCTTCCCATCACTCTCCGTGCTCAGCCAGTGCGGGGAAGACTGGAGAAGCTCTTTCCTCGAGCCATGAGAAGCAGGGAGGAGTTTGCCACTTGTTTGGTGCCTTGGGTGAAAAAAGTCACTCAAGATATCAAAACCCTAAAACTGCAGTTCAAGAGGGCAAGGAGCTCAGATTGACACTCTGTGCAAGCCAGCTTAGAGCTGGTCCAGGAGAACTGACACCTCATGGGTGAGGTCAGACCAGAAAAGGTCTTGAGCACTATACTGTGAAGCTGAGCTGAGACTTAATCCTGGAGGCCAGTGACTCTCAAGGTGAGATTCTGGAACCAGCTATAGGGGCACCACCTGGCACTGTAATAGAAATAGAAATTCTCAGGACCTCCCTAGATCCAGTGAATCAGAAACTGAGTGGGGCCTGACACTGTTTCAACAAGCCTTCCAGCTGATTTTTTAACAGGTTTATAATGTACAAACCATAAATTCTGGTCTAAAAGTACTTTTGGGTATGCAATTCAATTATTTTTAGTAAATTTACAATTATGCAATCATCATCACAATCCAATTTTAGAACAGTCTCCATTACCCTAAAAGATCATTTGGGCCCATTTGCAATCACTCCCCAGTCTCTGCCCAGCTCTGGGCAACCACTAACCAACTTTCTGTCTCCACAGAATTGTCTTTTCCCCCAGGTGATTCTGATTCAGGCTAAGGTTTGGAAACCATCACCTGCAGGCAGCAGGGAGCCAGGAAAGGCCTATAAGCCCAGGAATGGCAGCTTTGATTTTTAAGATGATAACTCTGGAGGCTGAGTGCAAAGGCTTGACTGGGGAGACAGGAGTCAGAAAACCAGTTAGAGGCTATAACAATCTAGAGCAGTGGCTCTAAACGTGGGGTGAATGTGCCCTACAGGGGGCATCTGGCTATGTCTACAGACATATCTGGTTGTCACAACTGGGGGATATTATGGTGTCTAATGGCCCAAGGCCAGAAATGCTGCTAAACATCCTACAACGCATAGGACAGCTGCCACAACAAAGAATTATCCAGACCAAAATGTCAATAATGCTGAGGCCGATCAAGATGACAATAAGGGATGGGGCCTGGGTGTGGTGGCTCACACCTGTAATTCCAGCCCTTTGGAAGGCCGAGTTGGGTGGATCAACTGAGGTCAGGAGTTGGAGACAAGCCTGGCCAACATGGTGAAACCCCATCTCTACTAAAAATATTAAAAATTAGTCAGGCATGGTGGTACGTGCCTATAATCCCAGCTACTTGGGAGGCTGAGGCAGGAGAATCTCTTGAACCCGGGAGGCGGAGGTTGCAGTGAGCTGAGATCACGTGCCATTGCACTCCAGCCTGGGCAACAAGAGCAAAACTCCATCTCAAAAAAAAGAGATGACAATAGGGATGGGGGCTGGGTGTGGTGGCTCCTGCCTGTAATCCCAGCACTCTGGGAGGCAGAAGCAGGAGGATAGCTTGAGCCCAGGAGTTCAAGACCAGCCTGGGCAACATAGTGAGACCCCGTCCCTATAAAAATTTTAAAAATGAAAAATAAAAAGATGACAATAAGGAGCGGGATTCTGGAGACACTTCTGAGGCTAAACGACTAGGATTTTGTAGCTGATTAGATGTCGGATGTGAGCAGGAGTTAAAAATGAAAGCTTTAAGTTTAGAAAACTACTTGGATGGGAGCTGACAGAAATAGGGAATGGAAATGGTGGTGTGAGTGAGAGCAAAGATAATGAGACTAGCCTGGGCCATGTCCAGAGACTGTGGGACGCTGAAATGGAGGCATTTGAGCATGAAAGAAAGTCTGGGTTAGAAACAAAGTTGGAAAGTGTCCATATGTAAAAGATAATTAAAGGCAAAAGTGGATGAGAACATATAGAGGGAGAAAAGATGAAAATCATGTGCCGAATTAAAAACATATTTTAAGAGACAAGATGAAGGAAAAGCCAGAAATAGAGACTATGAAATAATGTTTCAAGAAAAGAGGAAAAACAGGTCACAGGGCATTCGTAGAAGCCAAAAGTCGTGTTTCCAGAAGTAAAGGCTGCTCAGCAGCGTCAAATGCTGTAGAGGCTAGGCAAATAATGAACCAACTTTGACGAAAATGATTTTTAAAAAGTGAGAACGTGCAGGCATACAACATAAAGAACCTCACATCTTTGAACTTAAAGCCTAAAGGACCTCCAAAATCAACACTATTTGCAAAATAACAATGTTTAAAAGTTGTTACTTTTGGTCATTAGATCTTTAATCTCTTCAACAATAACTTCATTTGCTGAGGTTAAAAGTTCGTATTTTCCATCTTTACTCCCAGAGGGATTAAATTCAGGAGGGTTGCCAGGGTCTCCGAAGAAGTCTCCAAGTCTGCCATTCTTTCCAGGATATAAGAATCGGCTGAAACAGCAGGGGAAAAAACCTGGTTACACCAGGCCTCACCGCCCAGGCTCACTCATGATCAGAATGAAATTCAGCAGAGGCAACAAACAAAATTACAACAATGTGGGACTCACAAGATTCCACGGTAAATTTCATTTTTTAAAAAAAATGTGTAAGATAAAATTAGAAAAAGCGTATAAAAACAAAGAAAAAATGTATAAAATAGGCAAACTGGCCAACATTTGTCTATCACCACAGAATGTTTTACTGATTCCAGTGTTTTCTGAAAAGTGTGGGGAAATACAGAGGGCGTTGGGTTATAATCTCAGAAATGCTGCAGAGGGGTGCCCGTGCCTTCCTTTCTCAAATGACAACCACAACAGGTTCATACCAAATTCTAACTCACTACTAGTTTATTATTTGAGGTACATATCTATCCCAGTAATAAAAATCTGGCCCAAAGGTCCCTGAAAAGATTCTCCCAGTGATTCATGACTCTTTTTTTTTTTGAGACACAGTCTCGCTGTGTCGCCCAGGCTGGAGTGCAGTGGTGCAGTCTCAGCTCACTGCAACTTCCACCTCCCGGGCTCAAGTGATTCTCGTGCCTCAGCCTCCCAAGTAGCTGGAATTACAGGAGTGTACCACCACGTCCAGCTAATTTTTTGTATTTTTAGTAGAGATGGGGTTTCACTATGTTGGCTGCTATGTATGGCTGGTCTCAAACTGACCTCAAGTAATCTGCCTCAGCTTCCTGAAGTGCTGGGATTACAGGCGTGAGCCACCGAGCCCGGCCTCGTGACTTCGTGACTTTTTTTTTTTTTTTTTTTTGAGACAGGGTCTTGCTCTGTCGCCCAGGCTGCAGTGCAGTGGCACGACCTCGGCTCACTGCAAGCTCCACCTCCCGGGTTCACGACATTCTCCTGCCTCAGCCTAACGAGTAGCTGGGACTACAGGTGCCCGCCACCATGCCCGGCTAATTTTTTTTGTATTTTTAGTAGAAACGGGGTTTCACCATGTTAGCCAGGATGGTCCTGATCTCCTGATCTCGTGATCCGCCCGCCTCGGCCTCCCAAAGTGCTGGGATTACAGACATGAGCCACCGCACCCAGCCATGGCCTTGTGACTTTTAAGATAATCAGGTAGAGGATACCTTTGATTAAAAAAAAAAAAAAAAACTTTGACAGGTATAGTTTTTACTGGTATTTTAACCAAACTAATATCATCTTTTCATCCAATTCTGAGAAAAAATATGCAGCGAGGATGGGAGTAAGAGTATGTGTTTGGTGGCCCATGGGCTCTCTCACCTCACCAGAGGAAGCAGGCAGCCCTAAGAACCAAGAAAATCTGACAGCTACCATATGAAATATGTTGGTGAGCAAGAGTCACTTCTATTGTAATGTGGTGATTAAGACATAGAAGAGCCAGGTGTAGTGGCTCATCCCTGCAGTCCCAGCACTTGGGGAGGCTGGGGTGAAAGGACTGCTTGAGCCCAGGAGAGCAAGGCCAGCCTGGGCAACATAGTGAGACCCCATCTCTACAAAAAATACAAAAATTAGCTGAGTGTGGTGGTGCACACCTGTAGTCCCAGCTACTTGGGAGACTGAGGCAGGAGGTCCAGTCACTTATGTCCAGAAGGTCAGACGCTACAGTGACCCATGATAGTGCCACTGCACTCTAGCCTGGGTGACAGAGCAAGATCCTGTCTCCAAAAAAAAAAAAAAAAAAGACATAGAAGAGCTGTGTCTTACATGGTAATTCAACTCTTCTGTCAGTGCATAATGTGAGAAGTAAATATGGCCCAAATTATTCACAAAAACTTTGCTGTATCTGCGGTCACATTTACACATCAGCTGCAGGCTATGCACCATCTTGCAGTGAGTCTAACACAGCCAGTTTTCACACTAGTGTTAGAAGCGACCACTGTTTCTTCTGCCAAGCACCAGATGGAGTAGTTGGCTTGGGTTTAGAAGCCAACGTTATAAGAAAAATCCTTATTTCAAAGCACCAGGTTCACTCACAGAGCAGGGAAACAGGCCATGAGAACTACGCAGAGCTAAAGGAAAACAGAATCACATCTCCCATCTAACTTGCACGCTGGGGCAGACACAAAATGGGAAGACAGGTGAGGGAAAGTAGCTGTCCGATTTGATAGCTCTCTTTCCCTTTTTGCCTAAATAATATAGTTCAATCTGTGCAAATTACATGGGCCATTGTGTAACTCTACTATCTACTAATAATAAGGTTTGCAAATTTCATGGATATCACAATGTACATGTACTGGCTCTTGGTGCTGTGGCTGTTCACTGGTACAGAAAACATTTTCTTTTGCAACATGGAGTAGGAACAATACATGCCAACTGGCACAGAAAACTCATGAATATTAAGCACTGAAGAGCAAAAGCAATCACAATGGTCATACCTTTCTTGAATGTGACTTGCTATCACAGCAAGTTTGTTGGAACGATTCATGAATAAATGCGAATTTCCCAGCACCATCACGGCATCTATGCATTTGGATAAAGTGAACTGTTGGAAAAAAAAAGACATTAGAAAAACAAATTAGCTATCCAAATAACCATGTCAGGTCTTGACATAATTAAGATGTCGTTTAGGCTGGGTGCAGTGGCTCAAGCCTGTAATCCCAGCACCCTGAGAGGCCAAGGTGGGAGGACTGCTTGAGTTCAGGAGTTTGAGACCAGCCTAGGCAACATAATGAAACCTTAGCTCTATAAAAAAAACAAAACTAGCTAGGCATGGTGGTGTGCACCTGTAGTCTTAGCTACTCTGAAGGCTGAGGTGGCAGGATCGCTTAAGCCCTGGAGAGCCAGGCTGCAGTGAGCCAAGATTGTACCACTGTACTGCAGCCTGGACAACAGAGCTAGACCCTGTAACAAACAAACAAAAAAAAGACTTCATTTAAATTTTAGACAATTATTCACTGTTAAAAATTTGCTCAGGAGCTCCCCTCCTCCAAAGCCATAAACAAAAACACTTGAAAACTATAGTTTTCTAATTGTACTTATATGAGATCATTTCTACATCAGTACAATATTCCACAAATATTTGCAGTGTAACATTTAAAGAATAACAAACATGTCACATGTTCTGTGATAAAATTTCCAGCAAACTATTACTATATGTGGAGTAGATAATGAATACATACTGAAAACACTGGAGACCTTTACAATTTTTTAATTCATTTGTTCACTAACTATACTGAGCCACTACTGTACGTCTGGTATATACTTAGTGAACAATATAGTTGTTGCTCAGTATACTTAGTGGGTAAATGAATTAAAAACTTTTTTTTTTTTTTGAGATGGAGTCTCACTCTGTCGCCAGGCTGGAGTGCAGTGGCCTGATCTCGGCTCACTGCAACCTCCAACTCCCGGGTTCAAGCAATTCTCCTGCCTCAGCCTCCCCAGCAGCTGGGACTACAGGCCTGTGCTACCTCGCCCAGCTAATTTTTGTATTTTTAGTAGGGATGGGGTTTCACCATATTGGCAAGGATGGTCTCGATCTCTTTACCTCATGATCCGCCCGCCTCGGCCTCCCAAAGTGCCGGGATTACAGGCGTGAGCCACCATGCCCAGCCTAAAAACTTTTAAAGTTTGAAAAAACAAATAAAGAATATCCCTTCTTTCCTCGAGCTCACCTTCCCACAAGAACTAATATTATTAAGAAACATAAGTCAGTATTTTTTTTTTGGTACTCATATGTTCAGAGAAACTTCTCTAGTAACAAACTAAACAAATGATCCTTGAAGTTTCAGTCTTCATAAGTAGATATTTTCATAATCCTGGAATATGGCCTGTTTCTCTTAAATAAATACTTCAGGTAGAAAACAGAACACTGGTGGCTGGGCGTGGTGGCTCACGTCCCAGCACTTTGGGAGGCCGAGGCAGGCAGATCACCTGTGGTCAGGAGTTTGAGACCAGCCTGGCTTACGTGGCAAAACCCTATCTCTACTTAAAATACAAAAATTAGCTGGGCGTGTTGGCACGTGCCTGCAGTCCCAGCTTCTCGGGATGCTGAGGTGGGAGGACTGCTTGAGCCCAGGAGGTGGAGGCTGCAGTGAGCTGAGATCGTGCCACTGCACTCTAGCCTGGGTGACAAAGACTCCATCTCAAAAAATAGACCAACACACTGGTAAATTTCACCCTACTGGAAAAAAAACTTAAATCTATTAAAATTTCTAATTGGCGAAAAGTGACAATATAAATAAAAGTGAAAGAAAACAAGTTACAAACTGGAAAAAACCAGTTGCAACACATGGCAAGTAATGGGTTAATCCTTTAATATAAAAGACTGTCCATAAATCATTAATTTAAAAAAAACCACACACTATGAATATCCAAAGAAAGAAGTGGGTGATGTCCCAAGAGAGAAATACAAATGGCCACGAAATACACTGGAAGCAAATTGAGATTACGTTGTTTTTTGCCTCATATTGACAAAAGATGAAATAAGGAGAATGAACATTTTGTGTTGGTACAAGAAAAAAGGAACTCTCATACAGCACTGATGAGTGCAAACGCAGCCTTTCTGGAGTAACAGGGCAGCATGCAGTGATGTGCTGGCGGATGTTTAACCATTCGCTCCCCAAAACCGAGGTACCCATGTACACAAGTACATACGAATATTACTGATACAGCAGTATGTAGCACACAATTTACAAATAACAGTAAAATGCACAATACTCTTTATAGTAAATTGCATAAGTCAATGGATTCTCACAGAATGCCTATGTTGATTTTTGCTGAATTCTTGTATCCATAGCTAATTGAAAAATGAGTATGGTTGGGCCGGGCGTAGTAGCTCACACCTGTAATCCCAGCACTTTGGGAGGCCAAGGCGGGCAGACTGCCTGAGCTCAGGAGTTTGCAACCAGCCTGGGCAACATGGTGAAACCCCATCTCTACTAAAATACACACACAAAAAATTAGCTGGGCATGGTGACGTGTGCCTGTAGTCCCAGCTACTCGGGAGGCTGAGGCAGAATTGCTTGAACCCGGGAGGTGGAGATTGCGGTAAGCCGAGATTGCACCACTGCACTCCAGCCTGGGCGACAGAGCAAGACGCCATCTCAAAAAAAGAAAAAAGAGTATGGTTTCAGCTGAAAAATGAGTGTAGTTCTAACATGAATATTGTCTGATATTTTTATTTTTTGTTAACAAGAGAAAAGATGCTTATACTTGGTGTAAGCAACTGTGTAAGTAACAATTATAACACTGCGTTATCAGATTTATAACATGCGCAGGTGTAATATGTATGACAATAAGAACATGGGGAAGGGGTGGAAGTGGATCTATATTGGAGCAAAGCCTCTATATTTTACTGGAATTAAATGAGTATTAATCTAAAGTACACAATGATAAGATACATACAGTAATCCCTACAGCAACTGTTGTGGGTCGAATTATGTCCCCCCAAAAGATATGTTCAAGTCCTAACTTCTGGTACATGTGTACATGATCTTTTTTGGAAATAGAATCACAAGTAAGAAGAGATTGACCAGGTGTGGTGGCTCATGCCTGTAATCCCAACACTTTGGGAGGCTGAGGTGGGCGGATCACGAGGTCAAGAGATCGAGACCAGCCTGGCCAACACGGCGAAACCCCGTCTCTACTGAAAATACAAAAATTAGCTGGGTGTGGTGGTGCATGCCTGAAATACCAGCTACTCGGGAGGCTGAGGCAGGAGAATTGCTTGAACTCGGGAGAGAGAGGTTGCAGTAAGCCAAAATCATGTCAATGCACTCCAGCCTGGGCGACAAAACTAGACTCTGTCTCAAAAAAAAAAAGAAAAGAAAAAGAAAATAACTGAAGGCTGGGTGCAGTGGCTCATGCCTGTAATCCTAGCACTTTGGGAGGCCGAGGCGGGAGGATCACTTGAGGTCAGGAATTAGAGATCAGCCTGACCAATATGGTGAAACCCTGTCACTACCAAAAATACAAAAATTAGCCAGGTATGGTGGCACGCGCCTGTGATCCCAGCTACTCGGGAGGCTGAGGCAGGAGAATTGCTTGAACCAGGGAGATGGAGGTTGCAGGGAGCCGAGATCGTGCCATTGCACTCTAGCCTGGGCGACAAGAGCAAAACTCCATCTCAAAAAACAAACAAACAAACAAAAAAACTAAAAATATACAGAAGAATTAATCAAATCAACAGAAGAATTAATATAGTACGTAAAAAATATTTATTTAACACAAAAGACAGTAAAGGAGGACAAAGAACCAAAAAATTCATGATACATACAGAAAACAAATAACAAAATAGCAGATATGAACGCAACCACACTAATAATTATATTAAATGTGAGTACACTAACTGCTGCTATCAAAATATGGGGAAATGGGCATGGTGGCTCACACTTGTAATCCTAGCACTGCTATCCAGCCTGGGTGACAGAGTGAGACTCTGTCTCAAAAAAAAAACACACAAAAAAAAAAACGGGGGCAGACACGTGGCTCATGCCTGTAACCCCAGCACTTTGGGAGGTCGAGGCAGGCAGATCACTTGAGGTCAGGAGTTCAAGATCAGCCTGGCCAACATGGCGAAGCCCCGTCTCTACTAACAATACAAAAATTAGCCAGGCGTGGTGGTACACGCCTGTGGTCCCAGCTACTTGGGAGACTGAGGCAGAAGAATCGCTTGAACCGGGAGGCAGAGGTTGCAGTGAGCAGAGATCACACCACTGCACTCCGACCTGGGTGACAGAGCGAAACTCCATTTCAAAAAAAAAAAAGAAATACACAATTCAACAACAATACTTCATTTCAATATTCCATTCTCGATAATTTTTTTATTTTTTTATTTTATATTTTTTGAGACGGGGTCTTGCTCTGTCTCCCAGGCTGGAGTGCAGTGGCATAGTTATGGCTCACTGCAGACTCAACCGCCTGGGCACCAGTGATCCTCCCACCTCAGCGCCTCAAGTAGCTGGGACTATAGGTGCGCTATCACGCAACTTAAACTAATAGACATTTATAGAACACTTCACTAGAAACAAAAGAATGCACATTCTTTTCAAGTAGACATGCAACATTCTCCAGAACAGACCACACAATCGGCCAGAGGTCAGTAAACTTGTTTTGTGAAGGGCCAGATAGTAAATATTTTAGGCTTTTTGAGCCATGCAATCTTTATTGCTACCCACCTCTGCTTTTGTAATGCAAAAGCTGCCACAGAAAATACATAAATTTATGAGTGAGGCTTATTTATAGACCCAGAAATTTGAATTTCATATAATTTTCAAGTCACAAAAATGTTATTCTTCTGATTTTATTTTAAACCATTTAAAAGTGGAAAACAGCTAACCTGTCATTAAAAAGAACAGACAAGGCCAGGCACAGTGGCTCATGCCTGTAATCCCAGTACTTTGGGAGGCCGAGGTAGGCAGATCACCTGAGTTTAGGAGTTCGAGATCAGCCTGGCCAACATGGTGAAACTCCAACTCTACTAAAAATACAAAAAATTAGCTGGGCGTGGTGACGGATGCCTGTAATCCCAGCTACTCGGAAGGCTGAGGAAGGAGAATCACTTGAACCCAGGAGGCAAAGGTTGCAGTGAGCCGAGATCGCGCCATTGCACTCTAGCCTGGGCAACAAGAGCAAAACTCCGTCTCAAAAAAAAAAAAAAAAGGCCACAAAAACCTCCCCACTATAACCTGTTTGATTCCATTTACATGAAAAAAATCTAGAAAATCCAAACTAATCTACAGTGACACAAAGAGATCAAGAGTTGCCTGGGAGTACAGACAGGCAAAGAAGGTGTGGTCGAGAGTGGGACCAGATTACAAACGAACAAACATGAAGAATCAGCCAGGTGCGGTGGCTCACTCCCATAATCCCAACACTTTAGGAAGCCAAAGCGGGCAGATCACATGAGGCCAGGAGTTCGAGACCAGCCTGGCCAACATGGCAAAACCCCATCTCTACTAAAAATACAAACAATTAGCTGAGCATGGTGGTACGCACCTGTAGTCCCAAGTACTCGGGAGGCTGAGGCATGAGATGGTGGTGCTGATGGACACACAAATCAATGAATGTGGTAAAACTGCACAGAACCACACACATACACGCACGCACGCATACACACAAGTGAGCACATGTAAAACCTGCAATCTGCTTAGGTCTGTAGATTGCACTGATAGTTTCAAAATTGTACTATCATTATGTAAAATGTCACCACTGAAAGAACTTGAGTGATGGGTACACAGGACCTCTCTGTATCTTTTCTGGTTTCCTATGTCTATATTATTTAAAAATAAAATATTTCAAAATAGAAAGTATTTTTTAAGACCACATATTGTATGAAATCAATACATGAAATGTCCAGAAAAGGGAATTTAGAGATAGAGGGCAGATCAGTGGTTGCTTGCAGCTTGGAGATAGAAGCAGGGATTGACTGCAAGCAGGCATGAGGGAACGCTACGCAGTCAAAGAAATATTCTAAAGCAGAAATGTGGGGCTGGTTACACAACTTCGCAAATTTACTTAAAAAAAATCACTGAATTGTACAGTGGCTGAATATTACAGTATGTAAATTATACTTTAATAAAGCCATTTTTTAAAAAAGCAATATAAACACTCAGTTAAACCAGAATTCTCCAAAGGCCTCCTCAAGCAGTCTTACCTGAGATTCCTTTAATGCTTGCTTTCCCCACCAAATTGGGTTGGCATCAACTACAATAACCAGAAGATTCAATTCATCTTCTGAAAATATTAACAAGAAATAAAATTTAAAACATTAGCTCCATAAAAATGAATCAAAGCTAACATTCCCAATTCATAAATTAAATCCAGAGCACCACTATATGCCTTAAATGTTTATCACCTTATAATTATGAGATTAACAGAAGACCCAGTTAAAGCTTTAAAGCTGGGCAGGGCGTGGTGGCTCACGCCTGTAACCCCAGCACTTTGGGAGGCCGAGGCAGGCAGATCACGAGGTCAGGAGATCGAGACCATCCTGGCTAACACGGTGAAACCCCGTCTCTACTAAAAATACAAAAAATTAGATGGGCGTGGTGGTGGGCGCCTGTAGTCCCAGCTACTCGGGAGGCTGAGCCAGGAGAATGGCGTGAACCCAGGAGGCGGAGCTTGCAGTGAGCCGAGATCACGCCACTGCACTCCAGCCTGGGCCACAGAACAAGACTCTGTCTCAAAAAAAAAAAAAAAAAAAAAGCTTTAAAGCACAGTGGGCCCTTAGCAAGTTCTTGTCTACGTCCTGAACCACTATATCTCCAATGCACTAAATGTAAACTCTGTGAGGGTAGGAATTTTTGTCTCTTTTGTTCACTGCTTATCCTCACTCCTACCACACTGCCTAGCACATTGCAGCTGCTCAATAAATATCTACTGAACGAGGGCCAGGTGTGGTGGCACAGGCCTGTAGTCCTAGCACTTTGGGAGGCCAAGACAGGCAGATGGCTTGAGCTCAGAAGTTCCCAAGACCAGCCTGGGCAATATCGCAAAACCTTTTCTCTACTAAAAATATAAAAATTAGGGCCGGGCGCGGTGGCTCATGCCTGTGATCCCAGCATTTTGGAAGGCCAAGGAGGGGGGATCACTTGAGGTCATAAGTTCAAGACCAGCCCGGCCAACATGTTGAGCCACCCCATCTCTACTAAAAATACAAAAAAAAAAAAAAATTAGCTGGGTTTGGTGGCAAGCACCTGTAATCCCAGCTACTCGGGAGACTGAGGCAGGAGAATCACTTGAACCCGGGAGGCGGAGGCTGCAGTGAGCCAAGATTGCACCACTGCACTCCAGCCTGGGTAACAGAGCAAGACTTCATCTCGGGGAAAAAAAAATAGCCGGGCATGGTGGCACATGCCTGTAGTCCCAGCTACTCAGGAGGGTGAGGAGAGAGGATCGCTTGAGACCGGGAAGTCGAGGCTACAGTGAGCCATGTTCCTGCCAATGCACTCCAGCCTGGGAGACAGAATGAGACCCCGTCTGGAAACAAACAAACAAACAAACAAACAAACAAAACCACCTACTGCATTCTGAATGCCTGGTCAAGGACAGAAGGCACTGGTTAACTAGTAGTAGGAATCCCAGTGGTAGAATTTCAGGAGCAAAAAATTAAAGGGAGGCGTAGCTGTCAATTTGGCCCGTACTCATCAAATCATGTAGCAGCAAGGCCAATCGTAATTAAGAGTCACTTTTTAAAAGGTAAAAAAACCAGGCTGGGCGCCCATCCCAGCCCTTTGGGAGGCTGAGGTGGGCAGATCACTGAGGTCAGGAGTTCAAGACCAGCCTAGCCAATATGGCAAAACCCCGTCCCTACTAAAAATACAAAATATTAGCCGGGCATGGTGGTGCACACCTGTAATTCCAGCTACTCGGGAGGCTGAGGCAGGAGAATCACTTGAACCTGGCAGGCAGAGGTTGCAGTGAGCTGAGATCTTGCCACTGCACTCCAGCCTGGGTGACAGAGTGGGACTCTGTCTCAAAAAAAAAAAAAAAAGTTAAAAAACAGAGGGAAAAGCAATTCCTACGTCAAGATTTTACTGTTAAGAGGAATTCTATTCTCTAAACTAAACAGGCTACCACAACACATTAATCATTCATTTGGATTTTTGTTTTTTGGGTTTTTTTTAAGAGATGGGGGGGTCTCAATAAATTGCCCAGGCTGGTCTTGAAATCCTGGGCTTGTGATCCTCCTGCATCAGCCTCCCCAGTAGTAAGGACTACATGCACGCACCACCCCAAACACATTAATCCTTCAACAAACTTTCACACTACCAGTGTTAGGTGTTGGGGATACTGGGTCCAACCCCTCAAAGAGACTATACTCTAATTGAGGTGACAGACAGACATACAAACCTGTGAGTATACACTGTTATGAAAGGCCCAGGATGCTCATTTATTTATTTATGTATTTTTAAACAAATTTTTGAGACAAGGTCTCAAGGTTGGAGTACAGTGCCACGAATATAGCTCACTGCAGCCTTGACCTCCTGGGCTCAAGTGATCTTCCTGTCTCAGTCTCCCACACAGCTGGGACAACAGGCGTGCACTACCACATCCAGCTAATTATTATTTTTTTTTTTTGAGACGGAGTTTTGCTCTTGTTGCCCAGGGTGGAGTGTAATGGCGCGATCTCGGCTCACCGCAACCTCCGCCTCCCGGGATCAAGCGATTCTCCTGCCTCAGCCTCCTGAGTAGCCGGGATTACAGGCATGCACCACCACGCCCAGCTAATTTTGTATTTTCAGTAGAGACAGAGTTTCTCCACGTTGGTTAGGCTGGTCTCGAACTCCCGACCTCAGGTGATCTGCCCGCCTTGGCCTCCCAAAGTGCTGGGATTACAGGCATGAGCCACCACACCCAGCCACTTGGCTAATTTTTAAATTTTTGTAGAGACAGGGTCTCACTTTGTTGCCTAGGCTGGTCTCGAACTCCTGGGCTCAAGTGATCCTCCCACCTCAGCCTCCTAAAGTGTTGGGATTACAGGCATGTGCCGCCGTGCCCGGCTCTAGGATGCTCATTTAATAGCAAAGAGCAGTAATGCCTTTCCTCCCTCCGTACTTTGCTTCCTGCAGTCCTGTCTTCTACATTAGGAGAATCTCTACCCCATCTTTGATTTCTGTGTATTCAAATCCCAATTACTCCTCAAAGCCCCAAACCAGCGCAAACTCTTTCTTCTTCATGACTCCCCTATCTCAGAGCAGAAGGAATGCCAGCCTCCTCTGCACTAAGCACCGGAATCTGCAATCCCAAAATCCCATTCCACCCTGACAACCACCCAGCAAAGGACATTTTCCTGCCATTTTTCATCAATTATAAGATGACCCCCACCCCTTGTTTTTTACATTGAATAGTTGTTGACATCTGGATGGTATCTTTATCATTAAGATTAGCAGCATTTTTTCTTTCTTAATGGTATATTAAATAAGGGCACATCTCATAATCAATATTATCTTAGATTAGCTGAAATATGATATATGGTATTCGTATTCTGCAAATGAAAGTAACTTGTCCTAAGTCACATATGGCCTGCTAACAAGTGGCAAGGCCAAAGCCCTGTTCTAAAGACAGATCTGCTTGACTATAAAGACTGTGGCTCTTCACTGCCCCACTGCCCACCTCTGACAACCCACAGCTCTCTCTTCTAATGACACTTAGCACTTACTATTTTATTTTACAGTTAGTTGTGCTTCTGATCTCTCGTCCCAGTCCTGCCCACTTAAGACTGTGGACTTCTTAAAAAATGATGGAATTTGCTAATCCTAGGATAAAATAATGTGTGTAAATCAGAACTGGTGTAGTGGCTCACGCCTGTAATCCCAACACTTTGGGAGGTCGAGGCAGGAAGATTGCTTCAGCCCAGGAGTTTGAGACCAGCCTGGGCAAAACAGTGAGACCTTATCTCTACCTTTTTTTTTTTTTTTTTTTTGCGACGGAGACTTGCTCTGTCGCCCAAGCTGGAGTGCAGTGGCACGATCTTGGCTCACTGCAACCTCTGCCTCCTGGGTTCAAGCAATTTTCCTGCCTCAGCCTCCTGAGTAGCTGGGATTATAGGTGTGCGCCACCTTGTCCGGTTAATTTTTTTGTATTTTGAGCAGAGACGGGGTTTCACCATGTTGGCCAGGCTGGTCTCGAACTCCCGACCTCAAGTGATCCACCCACCTTGGCCTTCCAAAATGCTGGGATTACAGGCGTGAGCCACTGTGCCCAGCCACTTTTTTTCTTTTTTAATAGAAAAACAAAACAAAAAAATGTGTAAATCACACAACAAAGCACCTAGGACAGAAGCACTTAATACAACTGTGTCTGCCAGACAGAAAAAGCGTTGCCTGTAAAGAAAGGTGTGCATCTATACACATGCAATGACCCTGTGAATTTCCTTCTTTAGTTCGCTACCTCATTTGTAGACAGGAGCAATGCCAGGCCTGCCTCCCTCACAGGGTTGTGGTATGGTTTCACATCAATTAAGAGAGGATGGACAATTATTACAGTTCCTGAAAGGACTCCCCTATCTCTATTCTTGCTCCCCACAGTCCATTTTCCACACAACAGCCACAGTGATCTTTTAAAATTGCAAACCAGATCATAACACTTTCTGGCTTAAAACTCTACAATGTCTTTGTATTGCACCTAAAAATAAAGGCCAACTTCTCTATCACGGCCAATAAGGCCCTGCATGACCTGAAACTGGCTGGTTCTCTGATCTCATCCCTCTAGCCTCCTTTTAAATCTTCAAGACATCTGACTCTGTATGTGGTAGTTTAATGTATGAATGAGTCTCCCCACCATCCTCTACCCGCAAGCTCTCCATTTCTCCCTTCTCAGTGTAACTTGGTGGCTCAATCTGCCACAGGGCCCATGCACTTAAAGTGCACTTCCCCCAGAACTTCACATAATCATTCAAGTCGGTTTCAATATCCTGCACTTTTCCTAGGCCCCTATCTAAAACAGCTCCTCCTCAATCCTAGTCACAATGTACTATTGTAACTAGGACCGTACTGTTACATCATCTTCATAGCTCTTTTCATCCTTTGAAAAATAATTTATTTTTTAATTTTTTATTGACGAGGTCATGCCCTGTCGGCCATGCTGGGTGCAGTACTGCCATAATAGCTCACTGAAGCCTCGAATTCCTGGGCTCAAGTGATTCTCCCGCCTCAGCCTCCCGCGTAGCTGGGACCACAGACACGCGCTACCACGCCCGGCTAATATTTCATTTTTTTTGTAGAGATGGGGTCTGGCTGTGTTGCCCAGGCAGGTCTCGAACTCCCGGCTTCAAGCGATTCTCCCTCCTCGGCCTCCCAAAGTGCTGGGATTACAGGCCTAATCCACCGGGGTGCGACCCGGCCGAAATTATTTTTATTTATTGTCATCTGTTTCACCCAGTAGACTGTAACCTCCACTAAGGCCCCTGTCTGTCACGATCTCTGCTAAAATCCAGAAAATAATGCCTGTACACAGGAGGCGATCCAAAACTATTTACTGAATGAATGACTGAATGCCTTGGCTACTCCTCTAAAGACCAAACGGATTCTATCCAGCCCAAAAGACACATTCCATCTGGCCAGTCGTAGCCGGACCGAGACAGCCGAGCCCCGGAGTCGAAGTCCCGCCCTGCAGGGTCCTCACCGTCTGAAACCATGGCTGTCCCAGCACCTCAGCGCAGAGCAAGTGGTGGTCAGGGGAGCGTCTCAAATCCTGCGCAGCCCAACGTCCGGCGCCGCCAAGTGACGCACGAGGTGCTGTGACTCGTGCCAGCCCCCTAATCTGCGGAAGTGGAGTGCGGGGAGTGCGCCGGAAGAGGGGTACGGAAGTGCGCCGGAAGTGGGGTGCGGAGGTGTGCAGCGCGCTGTCAGACTGGCTCGCAGGCGGCGCGGCCGGCGGACCCGTTCGAGACAGCGCGGGCGGCTCGGGTCCCCTGGGGCTCCGCAGCAGGAGGACGCCATGGACGACAAGGGTAAATCAAGACAGGCCAGGGCTGCTAGGCTACAGCAGCGCCGTTCAGGGGTCCCCCCAACCTCTCACATCCAGGCTGAGCTCCCGAAGAGATTTCTTTTGAATTTCAGGCTGCTCCGCTGGTTGTGTTTCCAGAGTCACAACTAAATCCCTCGCGCTGCTCTTGTTTTCAGGGATGCGCCCTGGCAGTATCTGCAGGCATCCCTCCCACACATACGCTCCTTCCCAGTGCCAGTCTCCTTCCTGCCTTGTTGGATCTGTCATTAAAATTAGAATGAATAAGGCATATTTGATGTGCTCATCTAGTATGGTTATTAAGTGAAAAACAAGGGCAAACTAATACACTTTTCATGTAAAGAAATAAAGGGGAGTGGGTGGAACTCCATGTATAATATTTGTAACATATATGTGTATGTGAATAGACATGTATTAGCATAGACTGTCTGGAGGGGTGCAGGAGAAATTGGCAAGATGGTTGACTCTGGGATCCTCTCAGATTTTAGGACCAAAGAGGCTGAAGAGAGAATGACTTTTCATCATCATTTACTCGGGCTTAATTTTTAGGCCTTGCACACCAGTAGCTTTTTTTTTTTTTTTTTTGAGACGGAGTCTCGCTCTGTCACCCAGGCTGGAGTGCAGTGGCGCAGTCTCGGCTCACTGCAAGCTCCGCCTCCCGGGTTCACGCCATTCTCCTGCCTCAGCCTCCCAAGTAGCTGGGACTACAGGCGCCCGCCACTACGCCCGGCTAATTTTTTGTATTTTTAGTAGAGACGGGGTTTCACCGTTTTAGCCGGGATGGTCTCGATCTCCTGACCTCGTGATCCGCCCGCCTCGGACTCCCAAAGTGCTGGGATTACAGGCGTGAGCCACCGCGCCCGGCCACCAGTAGCTTTTTCAAAATAAAAAAGAGCTCTTGCAAACAGCAAAGTGGTATTTTCTCTATTCCCATCAACATTTATTGCATCCCTGAAACCAAATACCCTAAAAAGAAAGTATTTTTTAAATTGTTTGCTTCTTAAAGTCAACAGTCATTAACAAGCTCTCTTGCCTTATAGGCTGCTAAATGAATTAGGTGAATCACTTTTTTCCCTTTTTCCAGAGTTAATTGAATACTTTAAGTCTCAGATGAAAGAAGATCCTGACATGGCCTCAGCAGTGGCTGCCATCCGGACGTTGCTGGAGTTCTTGAAGAGAGATAAAGGTATATAGAGAGTCATCTGTTAACACTCTGGGACTTAGGATAGTCTTTTTTTTCTTTTCTTTTTTTTTTTTTTTAAAGAGACGGAGCCTCACTCTGTCACCCAGGCTGGAGTGCAGTGGCGAGATCTTGGCTCACTGCAACCTCCGCCTCCTGGGTTCAAGCAATTCTCCTGCCTTGGCCTCCTGAGTAGCTGGGATTATAGGTGTGCACCACCTTGTCCGGCTAATTTTTTTGTATTTTAGAGACAGGGTTTCACCATGTTACCCAGGCTGGTCTCGAACTCCTGAGCTTAGGCAATCTGCCCGCTTTGGCCTCCCAAAGTGCTAGGATTACAGGTGTGAGCCACTGTGCCCGGCCGTTTGTTTTTTTTGAGACAGAGTTTTGCTCTTGTCTCCCAGGCTGGAGTGCAATGGCACAATCTCGGCTCACTGCAACCTCTGCCTCTCAAGTTCAAGCGATTCTCCTGCCTCAGCCTTCTGAGTAGCTGGGATTACAGGCATGCACCACCACGCCTGGCAAAATTTTTTTTTTTTTTTTTGAGACGGAGTCTCGCTCTGTCACCCGGGCTGGAGTGCAGTGGTGCCATCTTGGCTCACTGCAGGCTCCGCTTCCCAGGTTCATGCCATTCTCCTGCCTCAGCCTCCAGGTAGCTGGGACTACAGGCGCCCGCCACCATGCCTAGCTAATTTTTTGTATTTTTAGTAGAGACGGGGTTTCACTTTGTTAGCCAGAATGGTCTCGATCTCCTGACCTCGTGATCCGCCCATGTCGGCCTCCCAAAGTGCTGGGATTGCAGGCGTGAGCCACCGGGCCCGGCCAAATTTTTTTATTTTTAGTAGAGACAGGGTTTCACCATGTTGGCCACAGTGGTCTTAAACTCCTAGCCTCAGGTGATCCGTCCGCCTCGCCCTCCCAAAGTGCTGAGATTACAGGCGTGAGCCACCATGTTCGGCCAGGAAAGTCTTCTAATGACTCTTAGAAATGTAGAAAGTGAGAGATGCATGTTTGCCTGCATAAAGTAGTAATACAGCTCCAAGCTCAGCTTCTGCCTTCATTTCAGACCTTTCAATCTGGAGAGAGCTCTTACGTTGTCATGAAAAGGATCCCTTTCATAAGTGAAACAGACTTTGAATCGAGAGTGACTATGTTATATTGTGTTAACCATGATGCGTAAATTTCAGTAGCAGTTCAGCTTTATAAGTGTTTATTAGGCCTCCACCTTGTGCCAGATTCTGTACAGATGCTACAGGGAATATTCCAGAATAAATTCTGGTATTAGTATTATTTATTGTGATCCCCTAATTCAGCACCCTAAATGTAAGCATCTGGGTATAGCATGAAATCTTGTATAAGCAAAATAATAATGCAGCCTTTAATCTGAAGGGCTTGCCTAGAGACACATGTCTTTAAGGCAACCTCCAGTGTCTTCCCATTGTTCTTAAAATAACATCCAAACAACCTTAGCCTCACCCATACCACCTTGCAGACCTCATCTGCCGCTGCTACTTAATGTCTTTCCATGCCTCAGCCTCCCAAAGTGCTGAGATTACAGGCGTGAGCCACCATGCCCAGCCACCCAGCTTTATTTCTATGTGTGCTTGTTTACTATCCGCTTCCTCTATTACAATCAAAACTCCATCACAGCAGAACCCTACCTGTCTTGTTCACTGATGTATCCCTAGCATCTAGAATAGTGCCTGGTATATAGTATGTACCTAGTAAATATTCACTGAATGAATGAATGAATTGAAGATACAGGTCGGGGCTGTGGCCCTAATGTGAACATCACATTCCTTGTTGGATCATTCCAGGGGAGACAATCCAGGGTCTGAGGGCGAATCTCACCAGTGCCATAGAAACCCTGTGTGGTGTGGACTCCTCTGTGGCAGTGTCCTCTGGCGGGGAGCTCTTCCTCCGCTTCATCAGTCTTGCCTCCCTGGAATACTCCGTAAGTGCCTGTTCTCCCTGGGGTTACCTTTCCACTTCTCTGTTTAGTGACAGACATTCTCAGCATTAACTGGATCTTCCCTGTCCCCTCAGTTTGCTCTTTTCTTCCTAGGATTACTCCAAATGTAAAAAGATCATGATTGAGCGGGGAGAACTTTTTCTCAGGAGAATATCACTGTCAAGAAACAAAATTGCAGATCTGTGCCATACTTTCATCAAAGATGGAGCGGTGAGTGGATAATCATCATGGTGGTAAGGAGGAGCAACGGTTTCGAGTCCGACTGCCTGGGGTAAAATCCGGGCTCTGCCACTCACTTGCTGTGGAGACTTGAACAAGTAACTTAACCTGTCTGTGCAGCTTTCTCATCTGTTAAATAAGGATGACAATAGTACCTACCTCCTTGGGTTGTTGTGAGGATTAAATGAGGCAAGACATGTAAGGGGCAAGGGGTGTGAGGGCTTGGTATTGTGCCTGGCACTTAGTAAGTGCTGCATGAATGTAGGTCTTGTTATTAGAGATGGTTGTCATTGTAAACAGGCAGAGAGGGACAGTGGGACAGCACGTGTGATTCTTGATTTATTTTATTTATTTATTTATTTATTTTGAGACGGAGTCTTGCTCTGTCACCCAGGCTGGAGTGCAGTGGCGCGATCTCAGCTCACTGCAAGCTCCGCCTCCTGGGTTCACACCATTCTCCTGCCTCAGCCTCCCGAGTAGCTGGGACTACAGGTGCCCACCAGCAAGCCCAGCTAATTTTTTTTATTTTTAGTAGAGACGGGGTTTCACTGTGTTAGCCAGGATGGTCTCGATCTCCTGACCTTGTGATCCACCCGCTTCGGCCTCCCAAAGTGCTGGGATTACAGGCGTGAGCCACCGCACCTGGCCCTGATTCTTGATTTAATACAGTGTTTTACTAAAGAAGTATTTTTATGATTGTATGTGTAGTAAATCTGAATTAACAGAACAGCTCTTGTCACTGGTTAACACTGAGGACTTTCTTAGTGAAGGTTAGCAATAGAGGGAAATTGAGGGAAATTTTCTTTTTAACTTCATTTTAGATGCTATTACAGAGATGTAAAGCCACGCAGTGTTTATAAGTGAGGAAAGACAGGAGGTGCAAGTTGAACCATCTTCCAGTAAAGGTGTAATGAAACTATCATAATGCCCCTCCCACCAGCATACGTCCTTTTGCCACCTAGGCCTCCCCTGATCATAAAATCATTTACTTGCATTTTGACTCTTAAATCTTGTCCTCCATTTTATTAGCCCCTTCCCAACCTTTGAAGTATGTTATTAAATAAATGGCATAATAGATGTGAGTGAAACTTGTAGAAAAGCCAGTTGCAAACGAAGCCTTTTTTGGGCAAGTGGAGGCAAGGTTGTGACTTCCTCTCGCTGGGGCCTTCTCCTTCCACAGACCTGCTGTGCCGTCAGTATTGTGCGGGTTTCGTTTGCTCTAGTGTAGTGTGGTATGTATGTACTTTACCTGCAGTCACCTACTCAGGACTGATTTAGACAAAATTTATAGCAGAGCTGCTCAGATTTGCACATGCAGAGGAGTCAGCTGGGGTCTTATTAAATGCAGATCGGGATTCAGTGGGTTTGGGCTAGGGTCCACGAACCTGCCTTCCTAACGGGTTCTCAGGTGAGACCCAGAAAGGAGCTAGAGAGCTGGTTCTGCCCCCTTGTCTTATTCTGTCTTCTGCACTCTTCCATAGAAAAGAGGTTATGGAGGCTGGGCATGGTGGCTCATGCCTGTAATCCCAGCACTTTGGAAAGCCAAGACACGCAGATTGCTTGAGTCCAGGAGTTCAAGACCAGCCCGGGCAACATGGCAAAACTTCATCTCTACTAAAAATACAAAAAGTTAGCCAGGCGTGGTGGCACACTCCTGTGGTCCCAGCTACTTGGGAGGCTCAGGTGGGAGAATCACCTGAACCCAGGAAGTTGAGGCTGCAGTGAGCTGAGATCATACCACTGCACTTCAGCCTGGGCAATTGGAGTGAGATCCTGTCTCACCAAAAAAAAAAAAAAAAAAAAAAAAAGAGGTTATGGGCCTACTGTGGTGGCTTATGTGTATAATCCTAGCCGGAGGTTCCCTTGAGGCCAGGAATTCAACACTAGCCTGAGCAACATAGGGAGAGAGGCCCTGTCTCTACAAAAAATAAAATAAATTAGCTAGTCACAGTGGCGCACATCTGTAGTCCCAGCTACTGGGGTGGCTGAGGTGGGAGGATCGTTTGAGCCCAGGATGTCGAGGCTACAGTGAGCCATGAACACTGCACTGCACTCCAGCCTAGGCATCAGAGCAAGACCTTGGCTCAAGAAAGAAAAGAAAACAGATTATGTCTAAGTGTCTACACATTGCATCCACGCCACAGATAGGTTGTGATTACCCCAAACAGTGTTTATAAATTCAAAAAAATTAGTTAGCCATCATTTCAAAATTGGATTTTTGAAACATCACCTGGTCTGGCAATCTTGGGGCCACATGACGCCAGCTGGGGCTGAGGAGTCCTGGCCCTCCTTAGCCTTTTCTTTTTGAGACAGAGTCTCACTCTCTTGCCCAGACTAGAGTGCACTGGCATGATTATGGCTCACTGCAGCCTCAACCTCCCAGGCTCAAGTGATCCTCCCACCTCGGCCTCCCAAGTAGCTGGGACTATAGGCACATGCCACTGCATCCAGCTAATTTTTTTTGTTGTTATTTTTTGTAGAGATGAGGTCTTGCCAAGTTGCCCAGACTGGTTTTGAACTCCTGGGCTCAGGCAGTCCTCTCACCTTGGCCTCCCAAAATGCTGGGATTACAGGCGTGAGCCACCACACCCAGCCTTCTGTAGCCTTTCGCTTTGCTGCTGGCCCCACCCAACCTGCTGCAGTGACTTCTGCTACCTACTTGGTTCCTGTAGGCCTGCGTGTGCAAACCATGTCTTAGAAATAGGAAAACCAACCCAAGGGAACCTCATGGAGCCTTCAGCTATCCAGGCTTTTGTATCCTTTGGGTAACACTGTGTGGGAGTTCCATTTCTGCACCTGCTACAGGATGTGAGACCTGGCAGAAACTTTTTTAGCTTGCACATGGGATGGAAACTGTACCATCAGGTCTCCTTTCTGGTTGTGGTTGATTTGTGAGAAAGTGTACAGAGATGCTTAGGGTGTCGGGAACACGTGCCGCAGTGCAGAGGGTGTGAGTGAGCAGCAAGGAGCCTGCCCCTTTGACAAAGCTTTCTCGGTCCACAGACAATATTGACTCACGCCTACTCCAGAGTGGTCCTGAGAGTCCTGGAAGCAGCCGTGGCGGCCAAGAAGCGATTTAGTGTATACGTCACAGAGTCACAGCCTGATTTGTCAGGGCAAGTACCTTTCTGTTCAGTTATGTGCCCAGCCATAATTTTACAGAGCAAACTGCGGATTACAGTCCAACAGGATCAGAACCAGAATGTGCCCCCAGCTTGCCAGCAGTCAGCACTGCCTTTCATTGTACCTTTTCCTGCCTTTGGAAGAAAAATCACTGAATTTGCAGCAGGCCGCAGTATATGATCTAGGGGTTTCACTTAAGTAGTTAACTCCGTGGAAGAGCAGAGATTGTATTGATGAAGATTTTTATCAAGGAATAGGTAACTTATATCTCCCTCTCTCTAGACGATAATCAAAGCAAAACTTCCTCCTTTTTTCCTGAATTTACATCTCTTACCCAGAGTCTAAGAGTATAGTTTTCCAAAAATACTTCTTTCTAAAGAACTCAAATTCTTGTTTCCTTAGTCCAAAGTATTGGGATCTGCCCCTTAACCCATTAGTATTAATGTGAGTTTCAAGCAAACATCCACTGTCCACATTAGGTGACATACATCACTGTGGTACTGTCTTGTACTTTCTCTAACGTTCTCAAAATGTCATCTTCAGTAAGAAAATGGCCAAAGCCCTCTGCCACCTCAACGTCCCTGTCACTGTGGTGCTAGATGCTGCTGTCGGGTGAGTGCCCATCTTCCCCAGCCATAATCACCTCCCCCACCCCATGCTGGCTTACAGCAAGTTTTCAGATTGAAAGTTTGAGTCCCGTTCATAAAGCCACACCAGGTAGCGTCCTACTTCTTAATTAATAGCTGCCCTAAACCAGCAAGCTTGTTATGAGGTTGTGATAGCATACAAAGAAGACAGAGCTGTAGGATGTTGGGGAGAGTGGGAGTTGTGTCTATAGCTTTATGGCTGTAAGTGTTGAGTTTGTTGTTGTTGTTGTTTTTGTTTGTTTGTTTTTTGTTTTTTTGAGATGGAGTCTTGCCCTGTTGCCCAGGCTGGAGTGCAATGGCATGATCTTGGTTCACTGCAATCTCCACCTCCCAGGTTCAAGCGATTCTCCTGCCTCAGCCTCCTAAGTAGCTGGGATTACCGGCGCATGCCACCATGCCACGTTAATTCTTTTATATTTTTAGTAGAGATGGGGTTTCACCATGTTGGCCAGGCTGGTCTCGAACTCCTGAACTCAGGTGATCTGCCCGCCTTGGCCTCCCAAAGTGCTGGGATTACAGGCGTGAGCCACCACGCCCAGCCAGTGCAAATGCATTTTAAGAGCAAAGTACAAAGGTCAGTTGGGATCAGCAGAGGGTAATCAGGGCTCTGTATTTCTGTGAAGACCTGGCTGTCCTCAGTGGCATACTGGGATGCTTTGTCTCACCTAGAAGATGCAGCTTGTGTCGCAAAGCCAAGTCACATGTTCCTGGGATTGTCAGTGTATTTCCCAAGAAAAAACAAGAGTAGTGATCTCTTGGAATGAAAACAAGATAGATGATTAAGGAAATTAGGAATGTGTTCAAAAGTAAGGATTTTGAGGAATTCTACTAATTGCTCATTTTAAAGACTAAATTGGCCTTCATCCTACCAGAAAGATTCTTAAGGTTGGGCACAGTGGCTCATACCTGAGGCAGGTGGATCGCTAGAGTTCAGGAGTTGGAGACCAGCCTGGGCAATATGGCGAAACCCCATCTCTAGGGCATGGTGGCATATGCTGTGGTCCCAGCTACCTGGGAGGCTGAAATGGGAGGATCGCTTGAGCCTAAGAGGTAGAGGTTTGGGCTGAGATCATGCCACTGCACTCTAGCCTGGGCAACAGAGTGAGATCTGGTCTCAAAAAAAAAAAGAAAGATTTTTAAAACTGCATAACACTTTTGTCCAACTTCAGATCTCATCAGATTTTAAAATTTTGTTTGGTTTGTGCTGAAGTAGAAAAGAAAGTAGAGGATACCACACTTGGAAGGAAGACTGCTGTGTCAGGACATTCTTGCTTCACTTACACACATATGTACGTGTGCATGCGCCGGGCGGCAGTGTGAAGTGTATGTCTCATTGTAGGGTCATGACCAGAAAACACCCCTGGTAACAATGCCAGGGGTCTATCGCGTGTTAAGTGCGCTTTAAAAAAAACAGGTAGTTATGGGAGGAACTTACCTTGATAGAAATGGAATATTGATCTTTGCAGATGATGATGCTACTCGTTAGAGCCAAGAAAATAAAGCATGAAAAGCTTTTTTTCCCCTTAGCTACATCATGGAGAAAGCAGATCTTGTCATAGTTGGTGCTGAAGGAGTTGTTGAAAACGGAGGAATTATTAACAAGGTAAGAGCATCAGTTCTCCCCAGTTCCCTGCTCAAGACTTGGAGGTGTCTTGCTGACCTAGGACACCACAGCAGTGTTGATTATGGTTCCTTCTAATCCTGCTTCACTTCAGGACTTCATCATGGTATTGAGTTGTTGCCCATTTCCCGTAAGTCATAGCAATGGGCAGTCCAGTTTCAGTCAAATCTTTTTTAGATTGATCTACATAAATGAAGACAATGTAATTTGGTCAGGTGTGATGCCTTATACCTGTAATCCTAGCAATTTGAGAGGCCAGGGTGGGAGGATCACTTGAGGCCTTGAGTTCAAGACCAGCCTGGGCAACATAGTGAAACCCTGTCTCTACAAAAAATTAGAAAAATTAGCTGGGCGTGGTGGTGCTTGCCTGTAGTTCCAGCTGCCCAGGAAGCTGAGGCAGGAGTATCACGTGAGCCCAGGAATTTGAGGTTGCAGTAAGTTATGATCACACTACTGCATTCCAGCCTGGGCGATGGTGAGACCCTGTCTCAGTAAAAAAAAAAAAAAAAAAAGTGTAATTTATATTTATACAAAATTGGCTTGAATTGGAATTGGGGTTTGTCTGGTTTTTGCTTTATTTATGTGTATATGTATGTTTTATTTATGCATATATATACACACACATAATATATATACACAAATATTTTTAAAATATTATTTATATATTTACATATAAAGTATGTATGTATAAAATACGTGTATTTATATATAAATATTATATATATTTTAAAATAGAGACACATTCACTCTGTTGCCCAGGCTGTAGTGTAGTACAGTGATCATAGCTTACTGCAGTCTTGAACTCCTAGCCTGAAGCAATCTTTCCACTTCCCAAAGTGCTAGGATTACAGGCATGAGCCACTGTGGCCGGCCTGTCATTTGTTTTCATTTTAATTGAGCACATTTGACCTCAATTTATTACAATCTCTCTCTCCATTATTTAATTTAGAAAAGCTTCATGAAAGCTTTTTTTAGTTAAAATATATGTAACATAAGGCCGGGCGTAGTAGCTCACGCCTATAATCCCAGCACTTTGGGAGGCTGAGGCAGGTAGATCATCTGAGGTCAGGAGTTCGAGACCAGCCTGGCCAACATGGTGAAACCCCATATCTACTAAAAATACAAAAAATTAGCTGGGCATGGTGGCGGGTGCCTGTAATCCCAGCTACTTGGCAGGCTGACGCAGGAGAATCGCTTGAACCTGGGAGGCGGAGGTCTGCAGGCAGAGTGTTGAGTCACATGGTAACTATATATTTAACTTTCAGAAACTAATGATTTTCCACAGCAGCTGCACTACTTTACATTCCCACTAGCAAAGCACAAAGGTTCCAATTTCTCTACATCCTTGCCAACACTTGTTTTTTTAAATTTTTTTATTTTTTGAGATGGAGTTTCACTCTTGCTGTCCAGGCTGGAGTGCAATGGCACAGTCTTGGCTCACTGCAACCTCCAGTGCCCGGGTTCAAGCGAGTCTCCTGCTTCAGCCTCCCTAGTAGCTGGGATTACAGGCACCCCCCATCCCACCATGCCCAGCTAATTTTTTGTATTTTTAGTAGAGATGGGGTTTCCCTATATTGGCCAGCTGGTCTCAAACTCCTGACCTCAGGTGATCCACCCACCTCGGCCTCCCAAAGTGCTGGGATTACAGGCGTGAGCCACCACATCCAGCCTCTAGTGGCTGTTTCTATATCCTTTGAGAAACATTTATTTTTTTGATTCCAAAGTCAGAATTAGATATATCTAATATATGTATTAGATATATGTATATCTATATTATATACATAACTTTCTATTGCTGTTTTTTAATTGTTCCTTTATTGTAATTGAGACGAGGTCTCACCGTGTTGCCTAGGCTGGTCCCAAACTCATGGGTTCAGGTGATCCACCCACCTCGGCCTCCCAAAATGCTGGAATACAGGCATGCACCACTGTGCCCGGCCCGCTTTTCTGTGGCTTCTACTTCAGATGCACTCTAGAGCTCATCCATTCCATTTTCTGCCTTCCCAGATTGGAACCAACCAGATGGCTGTGTGTGCCAAAGCACAGAACAAACCTTTCTATGTGGTTGCAGAAAGTTTCAAGTTTGTCCGGCTCTTTCCACTAAACCAGCAAGACGTCCCAGATAAGTTTAAGGCAAGAGTTTTACATATTTGAAGGGGTACTAAAGTCTAAACAGAAACCTTTGGAAATTGTAGTCCTAAGAATGTTCCAGTAATTTTTTCACTTCCTATTGCTACTTTCCCCAACACTTGGAATACAAAGATAAATTGGTGATTGGACTCACACATTTGTCCCTAGAACTTCAGTCTTTCAGTCTCTTTAAGTAGCACCATAGATGGGTGGAGAGGAAGCCCGAAGCTGGTGGGTAAGTCCCAGCTTTGGGCTTAACTGAGCTCAGCTCCCATCACCACAACTTACAAACTGTGCGAGTTGAGGCAAGTCCTTTCATTTCAACCTCTGAACCGGTTTTCTTGTCTGTAAAATGGCATAGCAGTATCTGACAGGGTCATGAGGATTCTAAGATAATCTTAGCACAGTCCCTGGCACGCTGCAAGCTCTCTATTGTGACTCTCGATCTTCCCTTGAGAGGTCTGGAGAAGTTAATCCGGCATGAGAATGAGGGGACATGGGATTTAAGTTTGTTACACTACAGCTCTCAGCCAGCACACTGCCATGATCTGGCTCATGGCCACAACTCTGCCCTCGTCTCTAGTGTCCTGCATAGCTTAGTTTCTCCCATTTTCAGAGAGCAGTCTCAGGAAGTAGCACACTGATCACTCACACCAAGGCCCTACCAGGTCAGAGCACTAAATATTCAGTGCCGACTAATGTGTACTTCTCTCCTCAGTATAAGGCAGACACTCTCAAGGTCGCGCAGACTGGACAAGACCTCAAAGAGGAGCATCCGTGGGTCGACTACACTGCCCCTTCCTTAATCACTCTGCTGTTTACAGACCTGGGCGTGCTGACACCCTCAGCAGTCAGCGATGAGCTCATCAAGCTCTATCTGTAACCTGTGAGCCCTTTCCTGCCAAGGTGCAGCTTACGTAGTTGAGGCAGGGTGAGTAGCTGCTTGACACCCCAGTGAGTCAGGCCAAAACTGAGATGTGTTTAATGAAGATTTATGGAGTAAGGACTTAAAATCATACATCTTGGAGAACCTTTCTTACTCATTTCAGTCCCATCTAAAAATGTGTCAGCTATTCTAAATCCCAACTTAAATTGTTCTTACGGTTTCTAGAAACTTTCCTTTTCAGTTTCCAGAAATACAAGTTAGATAATTGGCTACTTAACTGATGAAAGATGAGCCCAAGTCCACCTGTCTTCATCCTCCCCTGCACTCCAGACTGATCTGCCTAAAGCACGCGAGATGCAGGCGAAAAGCAGCCACACCCCTCTGCCACAAATGACCAACAGCTGGTCAGGACGTTACACGCGGTGCCTTGTAAGAGGCAAGAAACACTTGCTGAATCTGCATCTGGCTTCCAGTGGTAAGCACATTCCTCAGCAGGATCAAGCCAAACAGTAAAAACTACCAAGAGAACACGAGGAAGGCAGAAACGATGTTTAGCAACAGTATTCTGCATGGTTCACTGCTTAAGAAAATGCCTTCTGGAATATTTGTAAACTGAAATTCTGTATGTGTAAGAGATGTTTAAATATGTTTGGGTCCTAAACAGCTTTTTAAAATTATACTTGGGAATAAATTCAGCATCTTTTCAAATAAACTCTATGAAAGACGCTGATGTGGTGTTGCATCAATACTGCAAGCTGACCAGGCCATCTAGGGGAAAACACTGTCCAGCTACATTTACACACTTAAGACCCAGGCAATCAGGACACCATTTATTCAACAGGAGGCATAAAAACTATAATTCTCTTTCCCGGAATATGACTTAATCCCTCTGTTTTTCAGCTATTCACCAATAAAACAATACTGTGACTATTAACACAGAAAAACCCCAGCACATTAGCCACCCCTGCAGGACATCAAAGGATAACTGAAGCCCAGGGCCAAGCACATTCAGGAGGTCAAATGCCTGAAGATACTGAGGAATGGTTTTGAAAATCAGAAGTCAAGAAGACTTCTGTATCTTTATGTTTAAAAATAACTATAAAATAGCCTCAGAAAAAAGAGCTTATATATATATATATATATATATATATATATATATATATATATATATAATATGTACATATGTCTATATGTGACCCATCATGATAAATACTGACATCTATTATTTACACTCAAATAATTTTACATTTTCTTCTGTTAGACTACTCCAAGACTGGAATTGTTTTGTTTTGTTGTTTTTAATGAGAGGGTCTCGCTGTGTTCCCAGGCTGGTCTTGAACTCCTGGGCTCAAGTGATCCTCCTGCCTCAGCCTCCCAAAGTGCTGGGATTATAGGCAGGAGCCACCGCACCCGGCCAAGACTGGAATGTTTTTAGTAAAATATTCTGAAGTGTGAAATCCTTCATTTCTCCCTCATCTGAAAGGACAGCTTTCAGAGACATCATTCTTTTCAGATGTCTCCTGAAGTTGTGATTTTCGTTAAAAGCAAACTGGAGCCATCCACCAAGTTAGGGAACAGCTATGTCCTTGTGGGTTCATCTGTGGCACTGGAATCAGCAGTCATCTTCCAAATCTGAGATCCCTAAATCCACTGTCTTGATTGTTCTTTTGCCAGTTGTCAACAAGCCCTTCTCAAATTCTTCTTCAGTTATTTTGCCTTTCTTAAGTTTTTTCAAGAGTCTTGTGTCATTAAGAAGTTCTTCCATGTCCTCATCTTCAATATCAGAACCCTAAGTGCAGAAGAAACCAATAAACTACTAAATTTTTCAGCAATAGTGTTGTAGTGAAACCAGCAGTTTTAACTCAAGAACTATAAGCTCTCAGATTGGCTTCTGCAAATAGAGCAAATTCCCCACCCTGGTCGCCAACGTAACAGAAATCTGACAGCCCCACACAATTCCTATTTAAAGAACTACTACAATAAATTTGTTCAAGATTCTAAGTTAATGTAAGTAAAAGTAAACTTTACCTCTTCCCTTTTCCTTTTCTCATTCATTTTTTTCTTCTTTTCTTTTTTGGCCTTCTGCTTTGACCAAGCTTTATTTTTTATGAATTTTCTTCTCCCTTCATTTTCTGTTTTCTCTCTTCTTTGTTGCTCCAGGAGTTTCTGCCTCTGCTTTTCTCTGATTTTATCTTTAAATGGAATCGTGTCGGTATTAACGTCCACGGGCACAAAATCTGGAAACTGCTTTCCTCTCAATTCTGGCATCTTGGGCATCCTCAGCAGGGCAAAACCTCGAGCAAGGCTGGCAAAATCAAGATCTGATTCAATCAGAAGATCAGAGTTAGCGCACTCAACAGGATTAGAACAATCAGTAATGGCTTACAATATAATTTTTTTCTAACCAAAGGGTTTAATGCATTCATTTTAGTTAGAATGAAAATAATTGAGGCCGGGTGCAGTGGCTCACGCCTGTAATCCCAGCACTTTGCGAGGCCGAGGTGGGCGGATCACGAGGTCAGGAGATCGAGACCATCCTGGCTAACACGGTGAAACCCCGTCTCTACTAAAAAATACAAAAAATTAGCTGGGCGTGGTGGCGGGCGCCTGTAGTCCCAGCTACTCGGGAGGCTGAGACAGGAGAATGGCGTGAACCTGGGAGGCAGAGCTTACAGTGAGCCGAGATCGCGCCACTGCGCTCCAGGCTGGGTGACAAAGCGCGACTCTGTCTCAAAAATTAAAAAAATTACATTTTTACAAAGTTAAAAGGAATACTCAGCAGCCAGTGGCCAGTTTATTCTGTGTCTACTCAAAACCTGGGAACACTTCCTTTTATGAGACAAAGCAATCTCATACTTGTAAGACCACCACATAGTTAAGATGGAGACATTATCACATGAAGAAGTCCAACTTACCCTTTAATCTGAAAATCAGGTTGCATTCATGCTTTGCATAAGCTTGGACATATGACACAAAAGCTTTCATGCCCTTTTCAAACACAGCTCTGTCAGCCAGGGCCATGGACTTGAGTTTTGGCAGAAGGTCCGCTGTGTTTCTCTGGGGCTTCATCTCCTGCAGGGGGCACTACACACACACACATACCACATTCTCACCTTCCCTGGCTGGCATCATATCCCCAGGGCTCCCCATCACAACCAAGAAAAACAAAAGCGAAACAATTCCTTTTCAACTGTTGAGGTCTGAAGCCCAACTCCAACCCAAATATTTCACATGCTCTGTAAAGTATGTTAAATTTTTAAAAGAAAATTTAAAAATCAGATTTCACATGACAATCCTAATCTGGTAGCAAAGTATGGCAACACTGGGTCTCTATTCACAAGAAGTAACCCTTGCCTGGGTCCCAGCAGGGCATGCTACCACACAGGAGACTTGGTCACTCCATGACCGAGGTGCCTCCACAGCCTTAAAGCCCACCAGGGTGGCCGGGCACGGTGGCTCACGCCTGTCATCCCAGCACTTTGGGAGGCCGAGGTGGGCGGATCACCTGAGGTCGGGAGTTCAAGACCAGCCTGACCAACATGGAGAAACCCCATCTCTACTAAAAATACAAAATTAGCTGGGGTGGCGCATGCCTGTAATCCCAGCTACTTGGGAGGCTGAGGCAGGAGAATCCATTGAACCCGGGAGGTGGAGGTTGCGGTGAACCGAGATAGTGCCATTGCACTCCAGCCTGGGCAACAAGAGTGAAACTCCGTCTCAAAAAAAAAAAAAAAAAACCCCACCAGGGCCCCCCACTGCCACCACCAGCCCAGCCCCAGTGAGTTTGCAATTCGTAATTTCAATTGCTGACCACATGCTGGAGAACTTTTCCAGCTACCCCGTCACTAGGCATTCTATCTGAAAACGGACGGCAGCTTACTTTTTGGTTAATTGCAAGGAAATTGATGTATGACTCTTCCATGGGCAGGAGGAACACCAGAGCGCTGCCCCCGTGGCCAATGCGAGCTGTGCGACCGCAGCGATGCACGAAGGCACTGTGAGAACACAGGGTGGAAATGGGTACCCAGGTGATGACAGCTGAACAGAGCTCAGGCTCCAGCCACATGGCTGCTGCAGCTAAAACGCTCTGGGGAGCCTCTAGCCTCCACAGCTCAGTGTGGACTCGGCCACTTACTAGTGTGAGAAATAGAACTGGCAATTAAACCAACACTGCAAACAGATACGATTCTGTAAGAAACATTTAATGTGAACTCTTAAGTAAAACTTGTATCTTTCTCTCTGATCATACAGGTGGGACATAGTCCCCAGTGGAAAATCTGGGAAACAATGAAAAATACAAAGAATAAAATGAAAATGA
This sequence comes from Homo sapiens, assembly GCF_000001405.40. Lineage (NCBI taxonomy): Eukaryota > Metazoa > Chordata > Mammalia > Primates > Hominidae > Homo > Homo sapiens. The sequence continues at coordinate 123,617,434 of NC_000012.12, read as the reverse complement.
CCAATAACCTCAGGAGTAATCATCAACACTTGGGGGTTTATAGGCATTTTCCTATGCGTGGAAGCATGTATTAGGAATATATGCTGACTTTGAAGAAAGTAATTGTAATTTTCACATGTGGTGGTATGTATTGCTTTTTTCATTTAGACATTCTATTGTGTGTTTCTGCAAGAACTGATAATATTTGAAAGTACTTTTAATTGCTACCAATACAGTATCACGATTTCACCATGAATGGGTTATTCATCCATTTGCCTATTTTTGCTACTTAAAACAACGGGTTTTTGTTTTGAGACAGAGTCTCACACTGTTGCCCAGGCTGGAGTGAAGTGGCACAATCCATTGCCACCTCTGCCTCCTGCGCTCAAGCGATTCTCCTGCCTCAGCCTCTCAAGTAGCTGGGACTACAGGAACACACGCCTGGCTAATCTGTATATATATTTTTTGTAGAGACAGGGTTTTGTCCTGTTGCCCAAGCTGGTGAATTCCTGGGCTCAAACGATTCACCTGCCTCGGCCTCCCCAAAGTGCTGGAATTACAGGCGTGAGCCACCGCGCCCAGCCTCAAATAATGTTGTTGTTTTTTGTTTTCTCTCATTGTCTGAAATTTCTATAACCTTGCTCTACATGGAGCACGGCAAGGCCTCAAACCATTTCAAAACTGTTCTGGCAAGCCCTGTAGGAATCCACGGGGTCACTGCAGACCCAAGCACGCTGGAGGCTTGCTATAAAATGTTTCAGTGAACATCATTATCTGTTTATCTTCTTCGGGATTCCTCCTTTATTAGGCTAAATTCCTCAACAGAGAGTGGGTGGCAGCCTCGTACCATACCTTGCATTGCTGGGAGGGTCATACTGCAAAACCCAGTTGACTTCAGGAATATCAATTCCCCGGGCCATCACATCAGTGCACACTAAAATCCCACTAGGAAATGAGAAAAAAGCATTCTGAGTAAGGAGGCCACCATCTTCATCACCATCAAACAGCCTACTGATCTCGATGACAGTGACACACAGGTGCTGGAGCTTCTCACAGAAGCAAATGTTTAAGGTAATATTTTGATTTTTTCTTCTTTCTACAAATCTCTGGGACTTCATAAATTCCAATAAAAATTGGAGGGAGGTGAGAGACAGCAAAGGGATTTTAAAAATTACAGCACTGCCATTTGAAAACCAAAACTGTATGGGTCTAATCCTTTGTAGCCATCTGAAAAACAACGGACAATTCACTCCATAACTGAGGCCTAGCAGTCAGGTATATCACTTTGTCCAAAAGAAGACTTTTAATATAGTCAGATGTTCAATGATTAAGAAAAACAGAAAACTATTATTTGTCAGCACAAGCAGATACAAGTTATGGTCATTGGTAGACACAAGTTGCCTGCTGTATAGTCACAAGCCTAATAAGCCACAGACAGTTTTTTGTTTTTTTGTTTCTTTGTTTGTTTGTTTTTGAGATGGAGTCTCACTCTGTCACCCAGGCTGGAGTGCACTGGCGCAGTCTCGGCTCACTGCAAGCTCCGCCTCCTGGGTTCACACCATTCTCCTGCCTCAGCCTCTGGAGTAGCTGGGACTACAGGCGCCAGCCACCATGCCCGACTAATTTTTTGTTTTTAGTAGAGACAGGGTTTCACCACGTTAGCCAGGATGGTCTTGATCTCCTGACCTCGTGATCCACCCGCCTCGGCCTCCCAAAGTGCTGGGATTACAGGCGTGAGCCACCGTGTCCGGCCTTAAGCCACAGACAGTTTCTACCCAGACAGGACAAATGGATTTGCTCCTTGCTGCTTGACAGTCATCACAACCTTTCCCTGGACCGGGCACAGGGCAATCTGGGAGTGAAGACAATACACAGGACTCCTGTGTCACGGAGCCTGCTGTCTAGCACAGAAGTTCAGTAACTAGGGAAATGACATAGCAAAAGGCAAAGCAATTGGAACAGGGCAATGGAGGCTCGGGGTGTTTACAGAGATGTGATAACCAGATTAGAGAGGGAAGAGGGTTCCAGGCAGGAAAGACAACACATGCGGACAGCACAGGCTACTAGAGAATGGGGCATTTGGGGACCTGAAAGAGCAGTGTGGCAGGAGAGCTGCTACCTTCAATGAAGCCCACCCACCTTTGCAATTTGCGGAACTCCATGAAGATCTTATTGCGTTTATATTTCATCTTTCCGTGAATGCACATAATCTTCACGCCCTTCACCAGCACTTCCAGAGCCTTCCCATAGTATTCCACACAGGCACAGGTGCTGCAAGAGGGACAGAGGGCTTAGAGTCATTGGCCACTTTGGTCCTTCTACAACCGGGAGAGGGGAACAGTGAGCAATAGCTGCAGCAGACGCAACCTAACTACAAGCCCTCCCTAGGGGAATGACAAGGAAAATGGCAGTGGAAATCATCCACAACTGAGTTCTCAATCTGTAATCCTCTCAGCCAATGAAAGGCCAATCTTTTGACAAAATCCCTTAAACATGAATTAAAACCCCCAAGGACATATTTTACTGTCTAAAGATGTTCTCACGGGAAATCTCCCTGACCCCGAGAAAGGAATTAAAGTGAAACAGTCATTCAGAACAAAAGCAATGACATCTTAGCCACAAATAGTGTTACAAGATTTAAAAACATTTCTGCTTTCCGTTTAGGGAACTGCTTCTTTCCCAATTAGCAGGATTCCCAAGGGCTCAGCAAATAACCCAAGCTAGGCCAGTCAGATCCCTTCTCCCAGATATTTGGGACTTGGAGCTGAGTCATCCAAAGACAAAAAGGGGTTGGCAGTCATCCCAATAAAGATATGCCCTAAAGAGATGGCCCATGAACTCCTGCCAGGGAGCCTCCTTCCCTGGGAGCTGGACACTCAACATTCTCTGAATCTGTGAGCTCCTTACCCGGCACCCTTCTAATAAAGTTCACCCTGGACCCTTTTCCTTAACTGGAAGCATTCCCAAGTGACTTCCCATCCTTTTGCAGATGAGGGAACTAAAACTTACCAGAGACACAGAGTAAGTGGCAGAACCAGAACCCAGGTCTAATGCTCCTCCCACTAGACCAGACTACTGCACTACTGCATTCCAGTTTGGGCTAACTCTTGTCTACTTCAGTCCCTCCACCTGTGCTGTGACCGCTCTTTTCCACCTTGAGTCACATAGTATGTAATGAAGTGGTGTTTCACACACTAAGCCTCACAACCCACAGACCTGGTGGGTTCTGAAATCAATTTAGTGGGTCTCGACCAGCATTTTAAAAAAATTAACAGCTGGAGTAGAACAGAATAGAAAACATCCCACCTAGCAGGGTGCAGTTTCATGAAAACCTTTGTTTTATTGTCTTGTTTGGGTGTGTACCAAATTGTACTTCTTACTGTGGGTCATGGTCAATATTGCATTTTATTTGTAGGATAACAGATAGAAAAGAAATTATAAATATAAATATATAAATAAATATAAAATTATTTTTTATGTACTACTAAAGATCAACACATTTATCTCTGGAGAAAAGGGGAAAAGAACCAACCAGTCCAAAGAACATATGCATCTGTCCCTACGCTGCCTTCTGACCACAGGACAAAACCCCACTGTGGCGGACTCCATGGGTGGCTGATAAACACTATTCCCAACCACTTCTTGCTTCACTGGCCACTACTACAGAGGCAGAAAAGCTGCGCACTCATTTTCTCTGCTGCTCTTGAAGTGAGGGGCCACCACGTGACCCACTTTTGGCCCCTAAGATGAATTCACAGCTGAAGTCAACTAGGGCAGAGGGGTTTCTGAAGAAGCTCTTTGCTCTCCTGATTAAAAGGCATGGATATAGCTAACATTGCCCTAAGCCCCCTCTGCCTTTCCCCCCTTATCTTTCTTCAGTGGAGACATGACAGGGTGTAATAGTGGTCATCCAGAATCCATGAGGTGACACATAGGAAGAGAAGACCAATCACATCAACATTGACCTTGACATGACTGACACATGAAACCCATGTGAGAAACTGCCTGCCTTTGGACGACTTTTTACGGGAGAAAAATAAAGCCAACCTTGTTCGGACAACAAAAGTTGGGTTTTCAGTTATTTGCAGCCAAAAGCATTCCGGAGAGAACCATGCTAGATGGAATCCAAAACCCAAAGGCCGCATGCACCTGCACATTCTGGCTGAATCCCTGATGCCTCTACCACAGAGACCAGAGGAGTACCTGAAGAAGACCAGGTGTTTCTCCTGCTTATGATTGCGAAGAAAATGGACCAGCTGATTAAATTTCTCATCTGCCTTGCATACCTGCAAAATAAAAAGGGAAACTAATAAAAAACATATTTGGCAATAATAATCCCCATGGCTATTTTCAGTTTCAGCATTAAATTTTAAGGAATGTCATTTCCCCCATGGGTAGGACAGACTTTAGTCGGAATGTTAACTGGTCTACCTAGCTCAGAATAAATATCAACATGTGCTGCTGCCTGTAAAAGTTAATTTGTATGTCACAAAATCATATAGCTCAGAGAAACACAGTCATCCAACAGGCAACAGTTCCCAACTCCCAATCCCAATATACATGCCAGCCATTACACCATCTCCAGGGTAGATTTTTATTTATTTACCTTTTTTTTTCTTCTTTTTTTTTTTTCAAGAGACAGACTCTCAATATGTTGCCCAGACTGGTATCGAACTCCTGGCCTGGCATCCGGCGATCCTCCCACCTCAACTCTAAAGTGCTGGGATTACAGGCGTGAGCCACCTCGCCCAGCCAAAGGATAGATTTTTTTTTTTTAAATGCAGATTCTTGGGTACGACATACAGATTCTGATTCAGTAGGTCTGAGATTGAACCTAAGAATCCCTATTATTTAAGAGTTCCCCCAGGAAATTCTGATGCCAAGTTCAGAAGTCACTGCTCTAAGGTGAATACTGATTTCCAGAAAGCAATGTACATCATTATTTAAAAGGCCTCCATGGACGCAGACCCCACTGCTTTTCTTCATAATGCAATCAAGTCCTCCATTCAAACTCCCAAATTAGAGACATTAAATTCACCTGAATGCATTCATCCTATTTTTACCAAAACCAAATCCCCAGTTTGGAATTTTTTCTCATGTACTCAGCCATCTCTAAATGCAAAACGAATGCAAAATAACAGAATGCAACAGTAGCCACAGTGTGTCCAAAGCTAACAGTAGTACAAGTATCCCTCATCCAAGGTCCTTAGGACCCGAAGTGTTTTTTGGCTTTTGAATTTTTTCAGATTTTGGAATAGCTGCACTATACTTACCAGCTGAGCATCCCTAATCTGGAAATCCGAAATCCAAAATGCTCCGAGTATTTCCTCTCAGCATCATGTTGGCACTCAAAAAAGCTTCAGATTTTGGAGGATTTTGGATTTTGGAATTTCAAGTTAGGAATGCTCAACCCATACTTATTGTGTACTAAGCACTATCATGAACATTTTTGCATGGATTAATTAATTAATCCTGCAGCAACCCTACGAAGCTGTATACTACTGTGGCCCCCATTTGACAAGTAAGGACCTCTAAGTTCATCGGTTAAATCTGGTAGGGGCCAAAGCCAAGATATGCACCAGGCAGTCCTGCTCTAGCGCCCATGCTCTCCACACTACCCTATGCAGAGTCCTTCCCTCTGCTTGGGAAGAGCTAGCCTCCTCCCTCACCCAGTCCAGCTTGTCAGAAACATCAATGGCAACTACAACTCCCACTTCTGATGAGCCTATCTGATTTTGACAACACTCTCCAGTTACACTAGGTGCAGTTTCTCATTTGCAAACTCATTCTACCTTTAATCTGCCTACAAATTGACACAAACCGGAGAGCAGCCTCGACAACCTCACAGTCTGCAGCAATAGGAACATTCTGGTTTCGAGACCAGCCTCCTTCATTTTGAACAGCAGACATGTTCAGGAGCTAGGGAACCCCTCCAGGCCTAACGAAAAATTTAACCTGAGAAAGCTTATTGCAAAAGAGAAAGAAAAGCCCCAGCCCCGGGCTGGTGGGCCAGTGTACCGTCAGCAGTGGCACTGGCCTGTGGGTGCCTCCTCGCCCTGATGGTGCTGCCTCCCCTGCAGCCTGTGCTCTCTACATTTGTGCCTCCTGGCCCATCCCAGCAATGGGACAGAACAGAACAGGGGTGAGGAGTGGCCTCATTACTAAACAATCAAGTTGCCAAAAGCCCATCTACTTCTTTGTGAAGAAACTACAGAAGCCAGCAGCCAGTATTTACTACTAGAAATTCAGCATATTTGGGCCAGGCATGATGGCTCATTCTTGTAATCCCAGCACTTTGGGAGGCTGAGGCAGGAGGATCATGAGGTCAGGAGTTCAAGACCAGCCTGTCCAATGTGGTGAAACCCCACCTCTACTAAAGATACAAAAAATTAGCTGGGCATGGTGGCACATGCCTGTAATCCCAGCTACTCGGGAGACTGAGGCAGAAGAATTGCTTGAACCAGGAGGCAGAGGTTGCAGTGAGCCGAGATCGTGCCATTGCACTCCAGCCTGGGTGACAGGGTGAGACCCCGTCTCAAAACAAAAAAAAACAAACAAAAAAAAACGGCCGGGCGCGGTGGCTCACACCTGTAATCCCAGCACTTTGGGAGGCCGAGGCAGGTGGATCACCAGGTCAGGAGATGGAGACCATCCTGGCTAACAGGGCTAACAAAAAATTAGCCGGGCGTGGTGGCGGGCGCCTGTAGTCCCAGCTATTCGGGAGGCTGAGGCAGGAGAATGGCATGAACCCAGGAGGCGGAGCTTGCAGTGAGCTGAGATCGCGCCACTGCACTCCAGCCTGGGCGACAGAGCCAGACTCTGTCTCAAAAAAAAAAAAAAAAAAAAAAAAGAAACTCAGCATATTTGATGCAGGTCAAAAATACACAACATTTACGGAGCAGAACATTTCCACCCCACAAAGTCTCCTTAGGAGTGAGTCTGTCATTTGATTTTCTGTGTTCCACCTGCACATCTAACTATGCCCTTCTCTGTCAGACAGGCTGTTCTGACGGGCCCAGGAACTACAGAGCTTAGTCATGGCTGCACCCAGCACACCCCAAGCATGTACAATAGAAACATTTGGTCACTTGAGGGTAGGAGGTTCAGAGACTCTGTCCTTAGAGACTGTGCTTAAAATACATTTATGTCCAATTTAACTTATTCATTCAATGAGTAGGACCACTCAGGCCATTTGCCCTAGCTAGCTCTGTCCCCAAATGCATTTCATAGGTGCTACAGGGTCTCACATATTTATTCTACCAGTACAATTTCCATAAAATGAGCACTGGTCATTATCGCTGAGTAAGAAGCAAGCCCAGGCGCTTACCATGTAGTAGTTTTCCAGGCGGGAGGGGGTCTTCTGGGCACTGCTGGCTGCCACGCCCTTCTCCTTCACTGAGACCCGGACAGGGTTCCGGAGGCCCGCTCTCACCAGGTTCTCCACTTCCTGCGTCTGAGTGGCAGAGAAAAGGCCTGTTCTCCTCTGCTTTGGCAAAAACTCCAGAATGGTGTTGATGCTGATAAAAAGAGGGCTCACACTTAACCGCTCACTTGCCAGCAGAATCAACACACAGTGCTTCACGATACTAAACAGGTATTCAAAAAGACTGAAAGTGAAGCCATCAAAATATTTATAGCACATACACTGGGAGGTGAGATTATAGGTGATTCTTTGTTTCTTCTTTATACTTTCATTTTTCCAAGGTTCCTCAAATTTTAGCATACAATTATAATGATATGTGAATTATATCCCATAAAGCTGTTTATTAAAAAACAACAAAACTGCCAGGTGTGATGGCTCATGCTTGTAATCCCAGCACTTCGGGAGACTGGGATGGGAAGATCTCTTGAGCCCAGGAGTTTGAGACCAACCTGGGCAACATAATGGGATCTTGTCTCTGCCAAAAATTAAAAAAAAAAAGCATGATGGCATGTGCCTGTAGTCCCAGATGACTCAGGAGGCTGAGGTGGGAGGATCACTTAAGCCCAGGAAGTAAAGGTCGCAATGACCCGAAATCATGCCACTGCATTCTAGCCTGGATGACAGAGTGAGACCCTGTCTCAAAAAAAAAAAAAAAAAAAAAACTTGAAGGAAAGTGCATTTTAAGATCAAAGATAGAACTGGAATAAAATCACGTGGTAGAATTTGAAAGCTCAAACTACTTAATGATTTGAAATTAAAATGTGGTTAATAAAAATACTTAGGCCAGGCATGGTGGCTGGCACCTGTAATCCTAGCACTTTGGGTACCCTAGGTAGGAGGATCACTTAAGTCCAGGAGTTTGAGAACAGACTGGGCAACATGGCAAAACCTCATCTGCAAAAAATAAAAAAACCATCCAGGCATGGTGGTGTGCACCTGTAATCCCAGCTACCCGGGAGGCTGATGCAGGAGGATCATCTGAGCCCGAGAGGTTGAGGCTGCAGTGAACATAATCACACCACTGCACTCCAGCCTGGGTGACAGCACAAGACCCTGTCTCTAATAAACAAATAAATAAAAAATAAATAAAAATGAAAATAAAAAATAAAAATACCTAGTCATGAAACAGTAAACTCCATTTTGCTCCCCTTTTGTATTAGTATCATCTGCCCACTCAAGCCAGTGAAGTCCAAAGTCCAGTACCTTGCCTCAAACCCCATGTCCAGAAGTCTGTCTGCCTCATCCAACACCAGGACATCCAGGGATCGCACACAGCTGGCCAGATCCAAGCCTTCGGCCTTCCTCCGGAACATGTCCTCCAAGCGGCCTGGAGTGGCCACAATGATGTTCCCACTTTGGAAAGAAAGTTAACATTTACCAAACTCTCTGGATCTTGGGAATGTGGTTGATGATTACCAAAATACCAAGTTTTATATCCCCCCAAAGTCATTTAAGCCCTAGTGAAGAGAACGAAGAGCATGAGAGTAGAAGAGTGCTGCAGGGTAGAAAGACTGAGGGCTGTGGTGAGACGGGATCTGGGTTCTGGGCTATGACCTAGGCAAGGTTGGCAAACTCCAGCTCCCGGACCAAACCTGGGCTGCTGCCTGTCCTTGCCAAGTATTTTATTGGCAGAAAACCACGCCCATTTATTCACATGTTGTCTATCGCTGCCTTCACACTACAACAGCAGTTGAGTAAGTGCGATGGAGACCATATGGTTCACAAAGCCGAAAACATTTACCATCTGCTCCTTTATAAAAAAAAAGCTTACCAACCTCTGACTTACGCAAGTTACTCAACCATTGTAGGTCCCAGGTAACTCACTTGTAAAATGGAAATGTTGACAGAATTAGAGAATCCTATGTAAAGATCACAAACTGGCAGACTCAGGGCCAGATGTGGCTCCCTCAGACTGGCTCACCTACAAGATATGTTTTTCAAATGTGGATTACACGCCAACAGTTAAAAAATCAGGAGATTACACACACAAATCTGGAATTCCATCTTCTTTTTAAAAAATTCAAAACCTGCCACTACTGAGCCGAGTCCTCCCAGGCAACTACCAGCTGGAGCTGAGTATTCAAGGCAGCTGCTGGCCAGTTCCTCACCATCCCCCAGCCCCTGACCACTCATTTATCTTCACGTCGTTCTCTTGACCTCTGTAAGAACCTGAGTTTGTGAAGTTCTCATCAGGGCCTTATGGGAAGGAGCCAGCAAAGCACAATGGGAAGCTGGCCTGGAGAAAACACCTTTTTGCAGGGGGAGGAGGCTGCTGAAAGGGGGACCCACAGTTAGGCTGAGATCACACATCGATTCTTAGGTTCAATGCCAAAAGCAAGCAAAGAAACAAGCAGACACGAGCAAACTCACCCTTGTTGCTTAAACCTCTCAACATCTTCTCCAGGATTCCTGCCTCCGATCCAAAGAATCTGGCTACAACAAGAAAACAGCCTTTGATTAAGTTCGACAAAACAGCCCATGACTAACAGGGACACTGCATCCAATTCACCTGAACTCGGGGAAGTGCTTCGTGAAATGCGACAGGACCTCGTCTATTTGAATGGCCAGCTCTCGAGTGGGGGTGATGATTATGGCTCCAACCTACCCACATGGAAGGAAGGGACACAGTCAGCAGCACAAGGGACTCCCAGAGAGGAACTCATAGGCCCTCCGCCCTCTACCACACAAAGGAAAGTTCCAGAGAAACAGTAGTTCCCAGACTTTCTCAGCAGCATCTCTGAGCACATATCAACTACTTTGAATTACGGTTACTCGTCATCATATACTGCAGTTATGCTCTTTCAAGTCATGAAGAACAGTGAATTAGTCAATGCTGAACCACTGCTCACAGGGGAAACACAGGGTTAGGTTCCTGCCAGTCTTTGGGCATGACATTTTTGTCAACCAATCAATACATAAACCTATTTTATGTCTGTTTGTGCTTAAAAGACTCTATTTAACATATACTATTGATTCATTCTCATTGAACTCGTGGCCAACAGCACATTAACTCATGCCTTAGCTTGTGCTTCTCTAGCACAGGGATTTTCTCTGCACGTCATAACCTTCTTGCACCCAGGAACACTAGACTGCACTACATCACGGGGCCATTTCAAAAACCAAAATCACCAACATAAAGCACAAAAATGTGCAAAATGGCCGGGCGCGGTAGCTCACACCTGTAATCCCAGCACTTTGGGAGGCCGAGGCGGAAGGATCACTTGAGCCCAGGAGTTTAAGACCAGCCTGGGTAACATGTCAAAAAATACAAAAAATGACCCAGACATGATGGTCCACACCTGTAGTCCCAGCTACTTGGAAGGCTGAGGCAGGAGGACAGCTTAAGCCTGGGAGGTGGAGGTTGCAGTGAGATGAGATCACACCACTGCACTCCAGCCTGGGTGACAGAGCAAAACCCTGTCTCAGGGAAAAAAGAAAAAAAAAAAAAAGGTAAAAAACATGGCACTAAATAAATGACGAAAAGGACACTGTTTACACCTGAGCAGTGAAAACAAAGGCAGCTCTGCCCACGCCCATGACCACAGAAGCACCGAGGATCCACTGGGGTGTTCTAAATTTTAACGAGCAGGCAAATTCACAAATACAGAATCCACAAATAATGAGGATTAACTGTCTTTTTTTTTCAAGTTTCATTCATTCATTATTTGTAGAGATGAAGTCTCACTGTGTTGCCCAGGCTGGTCTCAAACTCCTGGACTCCAGTGATCCTCCAGACTCAGTCTCCCAAAGTGCTGGGATTACAGGCGTGAGCCACGGCTTCTGGCCTATTTTTTCACATTTGTAGCCAGCTTCTTAATCCAATGTGAACTCTCTGATGACTAGGTGAAAATAAATCACTTTTGTTGTCCTCACCTGACTCTTTTTTAACTTCTCTTCTCTTCTCAGAAGAATTTCCAGGATGGGGATGACAAAAGCGAGTGTTTTGCCACTACCTGTGACCTGCAAACAGAGAGTTTTGGTTTCCCTTTCTTCCTCAGAGTTCATCTGAGGGAGAACACGAGGACAGGCTGCACATACCCGAGGCACTCACCGCTTCTGCAGCGACATCTTTGTTTCGCATGAACAGAGGGATGGTTGCGGACTAAAGAGAGAGATTGCAAAGCACTGGTTAAAGGATGCCATCAATTCACAGGTGAGACCCGAAGCCCTAGGAACATAATGGGCAGCTAAGGTCACAGTGGGTCCCACCACAAAAGGGGCTCTGAGTAACCAAGTCACCATAGAGAAGTTGAATCAAACGTGGCAACTGTGTCTATGTGGACGGCGTGTGGGGACAGTGAGCTGAGCTGGGAGGTGGGAGTCCTGAATTCTAGCCCTGTCGCTCCTACTTTCCTCTCTGAACCAGGAAGGCGTTGAAGACATTGGGTTTTAGGGTCCCTTCCAGCTCTAGTATCACAGAATCATGATTCAAATAAACCCTCTCATTTTAAGCACTGTAGAGGTTGCCAGACTTTAAAAGAAACCTGGTTTTAGCAATCAAAAAAAACCTCAATTAGATTCAGGCCTTGGCCTGGAGGCTGCTCCCTCCAGGATTCAGCCCTGGTCCCCAGGGCCTGAGCTCACTTAAATCACAGCAGGTGTAATATTATTCTAACTGCCTCTACACAGTGATTGCTATCCCCCTGCTCAACCCCTGAGGGAACATTTGACAATGTAAGGAGACATTTTTGGTTGTCAAAACCCAGGGTGGGCCAGGCGTGGTGGCTCACATCTATAATCACAGCACTTTGGGAGGCCCAGGTGGGTAGATCCCTTAAGGCCAGGAATTCCAGACCAGCCAGGCAACACAGGGAGACTCTGTCTCTACAAAGAAAATTTTTTTAATTATGTGGGTGTGGTGGTGCATGCCTGCAGTCCCAGCTACTCAGGAGGCTAAGGTAAGAGGATCACCTAGGCCCAGGGAGGTCGAGGCTACTGTGAGCTGTGACTGTGCCACTGCACTCCAGCCCGGGTAACAGAGCAAAACCCTGCCTCAATAAATAAATAAATAAATAAAATACAACCAGGGTTGGGAGGTGATGTCCTCTGATGGACAGATTCCAGTGATGTTGTTAAACATCCTACAATGCCCAGGACAGCCCCATAACAAAAAATTTTCCAGCACAAAATGTCAATAGTGCCAACAGTGAGGACCCTGCTTCAGGCCATTGCTGTCCAATAGAAATAAAATGTGAACCACATAAACAATTTTAAATTTTCTAATAGCCATAGTAAGAAAAGTAAAAAGAAATGGGTGAAATAAATTTTAATATTTTATTTAACCCAATATATCAAAAATATTGTCCCTTCACATTTAGTCAATATTTAAAAATCAGCATTTTCCATTCTTTTTTCATACTAGGTCTTCAAAATCTAGTGTGTTATTTGATACTCAGAGTACACTTTGATTTGGACAAAGTGTATTTCAAGCACTTGATAGCCATGTCTGATGACTGTGTAGTGGATGACAGGTCTAGACAATGAGCTCTGAGGCCAGAGATTGGGTCTTGCTCGCACTACATTCCCTAGGCAGGGCACATAGCACTCCCAGTTTTCATCTCCAGCCCTGCCTGCTGGAAATACATTCTCCACATTCCCGGGAATCTTATGGGCATCTCAAACTCAAGACTTCATTTATTTAAAAAAAATTTTTGTGATGACAGGGCCTCCCTATGTTGCCCAGGCTGGTCTTGAACTCCTGATCTCAAGTGATCCTCCCACCTTGGTCTCCAAAAGTGCTAGGATTACAGGCGTGAGCCACCGTGCCCGGCCATTATTTATTTTAATTTCGAAGATGCGGGTCTCACTATGTTGCTCAGGCTGGTCTTGAACTCCTGGGCTCAAGGGATCCTCCCACCTCAGCCTTCCAAACAAATGGTACTACAGGCGGGTGCCACTGTACCCAGCTCAGTGTTTAAAAACAGGACTCTTGTGGTCAGGCGCAGTGGCTCACTCCTGTAATCCCAGCACTTTGGGAGGCCAAGGCGGGCGTACCTGAGGTCAGGAGTTCAAGACCAGTCTGGCCAACATGGCGAAATCCCGTCTCTACTAAAAACACAAAAATTAGCCAGGCGTGGTGGTGTATGCCTGTAACCCCAGCTACTTGGAAGGCTGAGATGGGAGAATAGCTTGAACCCGGGAGGCAGAAGTTGCAGTGAGCCGAGATCGTGTCATTGCACTCCAACCTGGGCAACAGAGAAAGATTCCGTCTCAAAAAAGTTAAAAACAAACAAACAAACAAAAAACAAAAAAAAGAACTCTTGACTTTCCCTCTGAAACCTGATACGCACGCCAGTCATTCTTGGGAAATGGTAACACCATTCACTCAGCTACTAATAAAAATCAGCCGGGTGCGGTAGCTCAGCCTGTAATCCCAGCACTTTGGGAGGCCAAGGCGGGTGGATCAGGAGGTCAGGAGTTCAAGACCAACCTGGCCGAGATGGTGAAACCCCGTATCTACTAAAAATACAAAAAATTAGCCGGGCATGGTGGCAGGCACCTGTGATCTCAGCTACTTGGGAGGTTCAGGCAGAGAATTGCTTGAACCCAGGAGGCGGAGGTTGCAGTGAGCCGAGATCGCGCCACTGCACTCCAGCCTGGGCAACAGAGCGAGACTCCATCTCAAAAAAAAAAAAAAAAAGAATAAAAACCTCAGGTCCTGTAGTCTTTTCTTTCCTAACCTCCACTTCCAGTCCCTTAGCAACCTTAAAGCTATCCCAAATGTGACTTCTCAGTATCCACTGGTTCCACCCTACTCCAAGTCACCATCATCTCTTACCTGACAATGGCCTCCTAAGCGACCTGCCTGCTTCATCTCTTATGCCTGGAAAGGCCACTCTCTACAGAGAAATCACAGCCCTTCCCTTCCTAAACATCCTCCCAGATAAGATGGCTTCCCACTACATTTAGAATGAAATCCAAGCGCCTACAAGACCCTGCACAATCCATCTCTTACACTACTCTTGATGTTCAGCCACAAAGGCCTCCTTTCTGCTGCTCAAACTATTTGCAGCCTGCCGCAGGGCATTTATGTGCACTGGTATTTCTCTCCAGTGGAATAATCTCCCCCTAGTCACCTCAGAGCCAGCTCCTTCTCAATCACTGAGGTCTCAGCTCAATGCACCTCCTCAGAGAGGCCTTCCTTAACACCCTATCTCACCTCCTCTGCAGTCCTCGCGCGACACTATCACAACCGTCTTAGTTCTTTCATAACACTTACCAGCAGCTGAAATTATCCTTTCTCTAGCTCTTGCACTAGAAAGTAAGGCTATGAGCAGATGCCAATACTGCAAACTCCCCAGAGCCTAGAAGAGTTCCTGACACATAGCAGGTCCTCAAGAAATATTCTTGAAGAGATGCATAACAACGGTAACCCTTACTGAGCTCCCATAGTGTGCCGACTGGTTTATTTAGTCCCCACAGCAACCCCATAAGGAGGGTGTTATTTTTTCGTCATTTCACAGAGAAGGAAAATGAAGCACGGAGAGGTTAAGCCATTTGCCCGAGGTCTCACAGCTACAGCGAGCAGGGCCAGGATGAGAACCAGGCTTGAGACCACAGCACCCGAGGGCGGGGTGGGTCGCGGCCCCTCTGCCGGCTCGCTGGCCGGGCAGCTCCGCATTCCGCCAGTCTGGGCAGCTGGAGACAAGGCAAGAGCCCCAGCTGGAGGGATGAGCGCCCCAGGGCTCAGATCTGTCCGATCACCTCCTGTGGGTCCGATGCAGCGGGTGCCTGCCCCTCTCCCAGCCTCACTCCCCCACGCCAGGGAACCGATACCTGCACCGGCGTCATGTACGGGAAGCCCAGCTCCCGCAGCGCGCCCAGCACCTGCGGGTGCAGCGGCACAGGCAGCGACTCCCAGGAGCCCTCTGTCACATGCTCCATGGCGCGCTCCTTCGCCGCGTCGGTCGCCGCTGCTCGAACGCGCCTTGTGCACCCCCAACGAGCACTTCCGCTTCCCGCAGCTCCAGCGGCCGGCCGGGAACTTCGCTGGAGCAGCAGAGTTCCGGAGCGCGGCGAAGGCTCCCACGCCGCGGGAGGGAGGAAAGGCGTCCGCGGGACGGTGGAGGCAGGCGGCGGGGCAGGCCTGGGGAGTTACACCCGCTCCGCACAGCGCCCTGGGCTCCGGGCGCCTCTCCGCACCGGGCAGGAGTTTTGGCGGGAGGGATTCTGGCCCGGCCCTCCCACTTTCTCTGCCCCTCGGAGGCAGGTGGCAGCACAGGACCGCGTCCAGGCCGAAGGACAGCGGGGCTGGCTACCGTGGGCAGAGAAACGTGTCGGGGACCCGGGTTAGCAGCCCTGCAAAACAGGCACCCGCTGATGGCCGGTACGTCCTGAATGTTGCGGTCCGATGGCCGGTACGTCCTGAATGTTGGTTTACTTTCCCGGAAGTTAGGGTCAGAGTCCTAACTAAGAACACTGTCCCATTCCTCTGTTCACTGTTTGCCTGGGCCATTCATGTCCACATACAACTTCACTCAGAAAGCTGTTTTTGTTGTTGTTGTTGTTGTTGTTGTTGTTTGAGACGGAGTCTCGCTCTGTTGCCCAGGCTGGAGGCTGGGCGCTATAACGGTTCACTGCAAGCTCCGCCTCCCGGGTTCACGCCCTTCTCCTGCCTCAGCCTCCCGAGTACCTGGGACTGCAGGCGCCCTCCACCACGCCCGGCTAATTTTTTGTATTTTTAGTAGAGACGGGGTTTCACCGTGTTAGCCAGGATGGTCTCGATTTCCTGACCTCGTGATCCGCCCGCCTCGGCCTCCCAAAGTGCTGGGATTACAGGCGTGAGCCACCGCGCCCGGCCTTCACTCAGCAAACTTTTATTGACCACTCATTATGTGCCCTCTATGAGGGCCTATCTCCTCCACCTATGTGCATGGCTTGCTCCTGTTGAGGCTCTGAAAACGAAACCCCAAAATGAAGGCCCCAGAGGCAGCCTCAGAAGCAAGTTTCTCTCTGACCTTCTGCTCCCTCTCTGATCTCTGATTCTCTGAGGCTAGCCATAGAAACTCAAGAATCCCTCTTGCCCATGACGGAGCATAGAAACAGGAATCCCTTTTCTCCACAGTCAGCCATAAAACCTAAAAATATTACTCTCTCTCCACCTTTCTGTGAAAAAACTGGCCATAAAGAAATTATTGGCCTGGCACGGTGGCTCACGCCTGTAATCTCACCACTTTGGGAGGCCAAAGCGGGCAGATCTCAAGGTCAGGAGTTCGAGACCAGCCTGGCCAATATGGTGAAACCCCGTCTCTACTAAAAATACAGAAATTAGCCAGGCGTGGTGGCGCATGCCTGTAGTCCCAGCTACTCAGGAGCCTGAGGCAGAAGAATCGCTTGAACCAGGGAGGTGGAGGTTGCGCCACTGCACTCCAGCGTGGGTGACAAAGCGAGACTCAGTCTCAAAAAAAAAAAGAAAAAGAAATTATCTGGGCTAGGTGCGGTGGCTCATGCCTGTAATCCCAGCACTTTGGGAGGCTGAGGCAGGCGGATCACCTAAGGTAAGGAGTTTGAGACCAGCCTGGCCAACGTAGTGAAACCCTGTCTACTAAAAATACAAAAAATTAGCCAGGTGTGGTGGCAGGTGCCTGCAGCTACTCCGGAGGCTGAGCTACAAGCATCGCTTGAACCTGAGAAGTGGAGGCTGCAGTAATCCTAGATCGCACCATTGCATTCCAGCCTGGGCGACAGAGTGAGACTCAGTCTCAAAAAACAAACAAACAAACAAACAAACAAACAAAAAAAGGCCAGACGTGGTGGCTCACACCTGTAATCCTAGCACTTTTGGAGGCCAAGGCGGGCAGATTGCCTGAGCTCAGGAGTTCGAGACCAGACGGTGAAATCCCGTCTCTACTAAAAATACAAAAAAAAATTAGCCAGATGTGGCAGCGTGCGCCTGTATTCCCAGCTACTTGGGAGGCTGAGGCAGGAGAATTGCTTGAACCCGGGAGGCGGAGGCTGCAGTGAGCCAAGATCGCGCCACCGCACTCCACCCTGGGTGACAGAGAGAGACTGTCTCCAAAAAAAAAAAAAATGTATCTGACCTCCTTTGTTTTGCTGGTAGGTTGTAAGACCCCATTCCAGGAAGGGTTCTTTCCCCTATCCAGAAGGAAAGAATCCAGACAGGCCTCGCTGGGCTTCCCCACTCAGTCTATGAGCATTAGATCATGCCCTTCTTGTCCAGTCCTATTTCTACTCAGCTGTGCATATTTTGTTGAGCCTAAGCATAAAAATAGTTTTCCCTGTAACTTTGGGTCTTAATTCTGAAGGTTCCTTTGTCATGTAAAAGCATGACCGAATAAATTTGTATCACTTTCCTCCTATTAATCTGCCTATTTTCAGTTGAATTTTTAGAGAAACCTGAGAGCAAAGGGGAAGTTTTCCCTTACACTCCCTTACATTCCACTTGGACTTTTGAAATCAACTTCTGTTACCTTCCTTTCTGTATCACTGAAACTCCTACCTTGATTTATGTTCCCTTCTTAGCATTTACCATTATCTCTTTCTCGCCACACACACACAAACACACACACACACACACAAAACTTATTAGGTTCATCTCTGCCACCAAAATGTAAAACCCACACTAATAGGGTCTTTTCTCTATCTTCTTTATCCCAAGGACTATCACTGTAGCACACAGCAATCACTCAAATATTTGTGGGATTGATAAATGGGAATACAACTCATGCAGACTGCAGTCATCTCAAATTAAGTAAAAGACAACAGCCTGAAGCCACATTTTCAGTGAAATGATCATCACATTCTCAAAACACCTTTGACAACTTTTATAAAATGGGACTTCGGCTAGGCACGGTGGCTCATGTCTGCAATCCCAACACTTTGGGAGGCTGAGGCAGGAGGATCACTTGAGCCCAGGAGAATGAGGCCAGCCTGGGCAACATACAGGAGACTCTGCCTCTACAAAAATAATTTTTTAATTAGCTAGGCGTGGTGGTGCATGCCTGTGGTCCCAGCTACTCGGGAGGCTGAGATGAGAGGATCACTTGAGAGGTTAAGGCTCCAGTGAGCCATGTTTGTGCCACTGCACTCCAGTCCAGGTAACAAAGCAAGACCCTGTCTTTAAAAAACAAAAAATGTAGTCCCAGCTACTTGGAGAGCTGAGGTGGTAGGATCACTTGAGCCCGGGAGGTTGAGGCTTCAGTGAGCAGAGATCAAGCCAACCTGGGAACAGAGTGAGATCCTGTCTCCAAAAAAAGAAAAGGTGGGAGACTTCACAGACAGTTCTGAAAGCAAAGGCACAGGGAAATTACATATCTGTGTGTGTCTTCTGGGCTCTACTACCTACTAGTTTTCTGACCTTAAGACCCTTTCCAAGCCTGTTTTCCTCCTCACTTCCAAAATGGTTTTACCCAAGGTAATGGCAGTTTTGAAGCATGAATAAGACAGACCAAGTAAAGTGCTTAGTACTAGATCGAGACATTACACAGTACTCAAGAAATGGTAGCTACTTTTATTACCAGCAGGCCGTTAGTTTCACAGAGGAAGAACAGTTTCTACAGGTGGTGATCTAGTCTCCGGTTCCACCTTTCACTCTTTTCTGTGGCCTTGGGCAAATCATTTAATCTGTCTTTGAAGCTATTTCCCACATTCATAAACTACGTGGGCAAGTGAAAATAATTCAACCCTTTTTTCCCAAATAGAAAAATACTTAAGATTTTAGCACTGATCCATCAGAGAAGCCACACTGGAAAACCTACGCAGAAACTAAAACTTGGTACCATTCACTATCCTCAAGTTTATAGAATTAAAAAGTAACAGACGTAATAGGTATAAATACTCAGAAAACATGAACATGTCTCATGTCAAATAAGAACAGAAAGTTGGTGTGTAAAAAATGTGGATTAGCTGTCAATATATAAAACACAGAATACTGTTTTTAAAAAGAATTGTTTATTTACCGAACCTGGGGCATATTAGATACAACCAATTTTAAATTTACATCTTTTAAATCAGTTTTGAAGTGTTTCACACACACAAAAAACTTGGCATGCAACAGTTGTCCTAAGGTGAAAGTCACCTCATTAATAAACTGTTGCAAGTGTTCTCACCCAAGGTGGAAGTATGGTTTATCCTGAACATGAAAACCTGTAACAAATTTAAATTAATTATATAAAACTCGTTACTTGTAGTTTTGCCCTTGCAAAGATCCAAAAAAAAAAAAAAAAGCACAAGTAACTAATATGTATCAGTCACAACATAATCCTGGATCATCCCCATACCAAAACCGGATGCTCTTTTAATTTTAAACCCATCATCAGAGAACAAGAGAAAGTAATTTCATTTTACACAAAACAAGATTCACATGTGCCAAAAAAGAAAGACCCAAAAGAAACAAAAACCAAAACCCTAATGCTGACACTGATGGTCAGTACCCTGAACAGTGGCCCAAAGGCCACTGATCAAAAATAAAATAGTGGCTGTATATCAATGAAATGAAATCCAAGAAGCTTTAACCCTTTGGCATCAGAAATCCAGATTTTTCCAATTATGTAAATGCTTATTTCTTACATGCCAAGAGTGGGAGAAGTGAATGTGCCAATGTGGAAAGAAAAAAAGCCACCACTCACTGGGACACCCAGAGAATTGGCTTTAACAGACAATTAGGGGGTTAGGCAGAAACCCAGAAATGGTTATTAGCTGCTTGTGTCATCAATTTAAGTGGAGATGACTGAGTCCTAAGGTACAATGTAAAAATGTATGTGGGAAAATGTATGCTGAGTCGTAGTTTTAAAGCAAAACAAGAAAACAAAGTATGAAAGTACCCAGCCTGGCAGCATACACCCAAGTCAGAGAGCTCTGCCATTAGGACGGGCAGAAACCGTCAAGATTCATACTGCTGTTTCTCATAAGGACTCAACAAAAATGAATCTTTAGTGACTTGAACCATAGACTGAAGGAATCCAAAGAATGCAGTCATTTTAGTAAAGTACTATCAGGCTTTGTGCTGATTTCCTGAACAAACTGCATTATATTATGAAAACAAAAGGAAAAGAAGAAATAATAAAAACTATACTCCCATATTTCACTTACAGTGTTTGAGTTCCTGGAAGGACCTATATAATGGAGGCAGCATTCAAACAAGAAATTATGCCAATCAACTGTCAAATTTTCACTATAATTTTCCTAAAAAGGCGTTTTTCCCCCAATATCTATTAATCTCAAAGAAACATAAGTTGTGAATGTACAGTTCAGAAAATAAAAATGGAGAAACTAATGACATTATTATGACCAAGGTGTTTGGTAAACAGTGAATTCTGAGTTGGGATCATCAGGAAGAGGCTTTTTAAACAACTCTCCGGACTTCAAAAAATCTCTTCAGGTAGTAGATCTGTCCCAATGTCATGGCAACTAGAACAAGAGCTTCAAAGAAGGACCAAAGGACCACTCTGCTGTTTGTGTTGTCGTTGACTGTTGAGGACAAAACAAACAAACAAAATTTAACAATTCTCCCCCAAAAAGACATAGGCATCATAAATATTTTAGTCTTCACTCTGTGTGAAAGTAATATTGTGTACACCACTCATAGAATAGATGTTCCTCAACTTACGATGGGGTTACATCCCAATAAACCCAGCTTATGTTGAAAATACATAAGTCAAAAATATATTTAATACACCTAACCTAGCAAACATCATAGCTTAGCCTAGCCTACGTAAAACACGATCAGAACACTTACATTAGCCTACAGTTGAGCAAAAGCATCTAACAACACAAAGATTATTTTATAATAAAGTGTTGTGTATCTCATACACGTTAAACTGCATTTTATTATTATTTTCTATTTTATTTATCAAGTTAGTGAACACTGCACTGAAAGTAAAAAACAGAATGGTTGCATGGGTACTTGATGCTCAGTTTCTTCTGAATGCACATCACTTTTGCACCATCATAAAGCTGAAAATTTCTAAGTGAAGTCATTGTAACCTATGGGTCACCTATACTCTAAATACTTTTGTCTCCAAGCAACTCAACATACTCCAAAGCAAAGACTTTTTTGTTTGCTCTGTTGCCCAGGCTGGAATGCCATGACACAATCATAGTTCACTGCAACCTTGAACTGTACTCAAGCAATCCTGCCACCTCAGCCTCCTGAGTAGCTGGGAGTACAGGTATGCACCAGCCCATTTGACTAATTTTTTCTGTTTTTGTAGAGAAAGGGTCTTGCTATGTTGCCCAAGTTGGTCTTGAACTCCTGGCCTCAACTGATCCTCCTGCCTCAGCCTCCCAAAGTAGAAGCAAAGATTTTTAAAAGAAACCTTAAAGATTCACTGGGTACAGCCAAGTCCATTCTGCTTGTATATGGGGAGCAGAGAAGAAAATGTGACTTGCCCAAGGTCATAATTCTAGGGTTAAAACCCAATACAACCATCTTTCTCCCTCACCATTGAAACGTCCTGTATTAGTATCCAATTTGCTGAATCAGAAAACTGACTTCTAAAAAAATTAAGGAATTATTTCAAAATCACAGTTATCCAAAATGCAATTATTTACAACATCAAAATATGGCAGTCTGAGTGTCTTTTTCCCCAAATATGTTACAAATATTTGTTGAGCACCTGTGTACTTGTCAATTGTTCTCAATGGAAGAGGTTACTCAGTTATATGGATCCATACTGACAGTTACTACCAGACCATCAAATACAAGACAAACTATGCTCATCTGTCCTGCTCTCAAACTAAGGATTTGATCCTTAAAGTAAAATCCACACCTACTCTATATTTACTATACTCTATTTGTTACATTCAAGTTTCTGATCAAATTCTTTTTATTTACTTACTTTTTTTTGAGTCAGAGTCTCACTGTCACCCAGGCTGGAGGGCAGTGGCGCAATCTCAGCTCACTGCAACCTCTGCCTCCTGGGTTCAAGTGATTCTCCTGTCTCAGACTCCTGAGTAGCTGGGATTACACGTGCACACCCCCATGCCTGGCTAATTTTTGTATTTTTAGTAGAGATAGGGCTTCACCATGTTGGTCAGGCTGGTCTTGAACTCTTAACCTCAGGTGATCTGCCTGCCTCGGCCTCCCAAAGTGCTGGGATTATAGGCATGAGCCACCACGCCTGGCCAAATTCTTTTTATTTTTAAATGTATTTTATTATTATTATTATTTTATTTTTTATGTTTTGAGACAGAGTTTCACTCTTGTTGCCCAGGCTGGAGTGCAATGACGCGATCTCAGCTCACTGCAACCTCCACCTCCTGGGTTCAAGCGATTCTCCTGCCTCAGCCTCCCAAGTAGCTGAGCTTACAGACATGTACCACCATACCTGACTAATTTTGTATTTTTAGTAGAGATGCGGTTTCTCCATGTTAGTCAGGCTGGTCTCGAACTCCCGACCTCAGGTGATCCACCCACCTCGGCCTCCCAAAGTGCTGGGATTATAGGCATGAGCCATCACGCCTGGCCAATTTATTTTATTTTTTTAAAAACGGTCTCGTGTTGCCCAGGTTGGTCTCAAGCTCCTGACCTCAAACAATCCTCCTGCCTCAGGCTCAGAAGCAGCTAAGACTACAGGCACAAGCCATTGTGTCCAACTCTCCAGTCAAATTCTATAGCCTTAGCTTTTAATTACTATGTAGGCTGGGCACAGTGGCTCATGCCTGTAATCCCAGCACTTTGTGAGGTCGAGGCGGGTGGATCACGAGGTCAGGAGATCGAGACCATCCTGGCTAACACAGTGAAACCCCGTCTCTACTAAAAATAAAAAAAATTACCCAGGCGTGGTGGCAGGCACCTGTAGTCCCAACTACTCGAGAGGCTGAGGCAGGAGAATGGCGTGAACCTGGGAGGCGGAGCTTGCAGTGAGCCGAGTTTGCACCACTGCACTCCTGCCTGGGCAACAGAGCGAGACTCCATCTCAAAAAAAAAAAAAAATTCTATGTAGTGTTTTATTTTTCTGCAAATAGCCAACATTAAAAACAATTACACTATAATCCCAGGACTTTGGGAGGCTGAGACAGGAGGACTGCTTTTGCTCAGGAGTCAGAGGCCAACCCTGGGCAATATGGAGAAACCCAGTCTCTACAATACCAAAAAAAAAAAAAAAAAATTAGCCAGGTGTAGTGGCACATGCCTGTAGTTCCAGCTACTTGGGAGGTTGAGGCGGGAGGATCACTTGAGCCCAGGAGGTTGAGGCTGCAGTGAGCTGTATTGTCAGCACAGCACTACAGGCTGGGCAACAGAGTAAGACCCTGTGTCTCTAAAAAGAAAATAGGGCTTGGCGTGGTGGCTCACGCCTGTAATCCCAGCACTTTGGGAGGCCAAGGCGGGTGGATCACAAGGTGAAGAGATAGAAACCATCCTGGCCAACGTGGTGAAACCCCGTCTACTAAAAATACAAAAATTAGCTGGGCTTAAAGATTCACTGGGTACAGCCAAGTCCATTCCGCTTGTATACGGGGAGCAGAGAAGAAAAGGTGACTTGCCCAAGGTCATAATTCTAGGGTTAACACCCAATCCAACCATCTTTCTCCCTCACCATTGAAACGTCCTATATTACTATCCATTTTGCTGAATCAGAAAACTGACTTCTACAAAAAATTAAGGAATTATTTCAAAATCACAGTTATCCAAAATGCAATTATTTACAACGTCAAAATTTGGTGGTGGCGTGCGCCTGTAGTCCCAGCTACTCAGGAGGCTGAGGCAGGAGAATCGCTTGAACCCAGGAGGTGGAGATTGCAGTGGGCTGAGATAGCACCACTGCACTCCAGCCTGGGCAACAGAGCAAGACTCCGTCTAAAAAAAAAACAACAAAAACCAGAGAGTCTGTAAAAAGAAAATAGGCCAGACACAGTGGCTCAGGCCTGTAATCCCAGCACTTTGAAAGGCAGAGGCAGGTGGATCACTCAAGCCCACGAGTTCAAGACCAGCCTAGGCAACTCCTGGGTTCAAGTGATCTCAGCCTCCCAAGCAGCTGGGATTACATGTGCCTGGCTAATTTTTGTATTTTTAGTAGAGATGGGGTTTCACCATATTGGCCAGGCTGTTCTCTTGGCCAGGCTGGTCTCGAACTACTGACCTCGTTATTCGCCTGCCTCAGCCTCCCAAAGTGCTGAGATTACAGGCATGAGCCACTGTGCTCGGCCTAATTTTTGCATTTTTAGTAGAGACGGGGTTTCACCATGTTGGCCAGGCTGGTCTCAAACTCCTGACCTCAGGTGATCCACCTGCCTCGGCCTCCCAAAGAAAAATGCACCTTTAAGTTTAAATAGAACACATTGAAGCACAGTAACATCAGAATGTAGTGACCTGGGACACTGTCCTCATGCCACTCATATATCAGCCTGATCTAGAAGCAACACATTATTATTACAACACTGTAGTGAAAGGATCTCATTATGTTCACTGCTGAGGAGTGGGTCCTATAGGAAGACTCACAAAAACAAAACATTATGGGAACCATTTGCTTTGTAAATTTAAACTGAATGCCTATAAACTCAATTCTAGAAATTGCTAACACTTTTAAATATGAACACATAGCTCACTATTTGTGAAACAAATACAGGAGTATCTCCACTCAAATCATGGGTGAGAGAACAAGGTTGGACACCCTAAAGACGGAAGACATGTGCTTCCTCTGGCCACTGTGTTCCCAAGAACTTCTATAACTTGAAAGCCATCTGGTCTGAACCAGTTAAAATTGCAAAGTAGAGGAACTTGCCCTCTGAGTTAGTTCAGTGCCCTTCCAACTCCAGAATGGGCTGTTTCCCCATCTGGGAACAAGGTAAACAACATATGAGTCCCAACAAGATAAGAGAGAAAAAGTGAAGATCCCAGCTGGTGAGATTAAGAGTGGAGGCAAGGAGACAAAATTGTGAGGCAAGAGGCTGGAGTAATTGTAGACAAGCCTTGGTCCATAATATGCCCCACTCCACTCCTAAAACAAGTGGGGATGAGGGGAGTTCTCCAGGCTATTACATTTACACACCTTCCTGCCAACACAAGCTGATGTCTGTGCTCTAGATCCTGAAGATTTGTTTCCATAAGTAGCAAGAACAGATTTAAGGGTAGGAAAAACAGAAAGCACATCTGGAAGAAATTCAAGCTGTGCTTATCTCTTTGAGTCACTCTTCACTTCCTACTCCAGTCTCAGAACAAAGATTCCTGACATAAAATCACTGCCCTTAAGACAAGAGCTTGCTCCCAAGCAATCCCCCGCCTCAGCCTCCTGAGTAGCTGGGACTACAGAGATGCGTCACTATACCTTGCTCTTTTTCCTTTTTTTTTTTCAGACAGAGTCTCGCTCTGTCGCCAGGCCGGAGTGCAATGGCATGATATCAGCTCACTGCAACCTCCGCCTCCGGGGTTCAAGTGATTCTCCTGCCTCAGCCTCCTGAGTAGCTGGGACTACAGGCGCGTGCCACCATGCCCGGCTAATTTTTGTAGTTTTAGTAGAGGTGGGATTTCACCATGTTGGCCAGGATGGTCTCAGTCTCTTGACCTTGTGATCCGCCCACCTCAGCCTCCCAAAGTGCTAGGATTACAGGCGTGAGCCACTGCCCCCAGCCACCTTGCTCTTTTCATCTCCCCAAGAACTACCTGGAGGATGAAAACACTGAACAATGGTGTGGCCCTGAACCTAATCAATGGAATTGGTCTGTCTGTCAATATAGTACCTCTTAATTTTAAATGCAAAAGCTTCATTTTTAATGCTCTATCCAGTTCTAAACAGACTTTTGCAACCTAACACAAGATTTCAATCATCACTGTTTCCACAGCAAAATACATTCCAAATTCCCAACTTACAAACTTGAGGACCCAAACTGATCTTCACCTGGTGACTTCCCTGTACTCATGTTTTGGTGTTTTCTAGTCTAACTATATTAAGCTTTCCATTTTAGTAAAAAGGTTAAATCTCAGCATCTAATATTAATCCCACTGGTACATAAGTTTCAGGTATGTGATTAAAAACCAATGCAATACGCATTTTACAACATTTTTCCCTTCTGATTTAAGAAAACAATTAGCTTATTCCTTAGCTCACCATACATTTTTAAAAACCCAAACTTTTTTTTTTTTTTTTCCCTGAGACAGAGTCTAGCTCCATTGCCCAGGCTGGAGTGCAGTGGCCCAATCTCAGCTCACTGCAACCTCTGCCTCCCGGTTCAAGTGATTCTCATGCCTCAGCCTCCCGAGTAGCTGGGACTATAGGTGCACGCCACCACACCCAGCTAATTTTTTTATTTTTTGTAGAGACGAGGTTTCACCATGTTGGCCAGGCTGGTCTCGAACTCCCAACCTCAGGTGATCCGCCTGCCTCAGCCTCCCAAAGTGCTGGGATTACAGGCGTGAGCCACCATGCCCGGCCAGAAAACTAAACTCTTAAAAACTTGTACTAAATCTTAATAGCATTTTCTAGTTTACAATGAATGTCCCAATAATAAACTACAAAGCTCCACACATGTGTATGCTCAAAAAATATCTCGTGTAGGTACACTTTTAAAGTCAATGCTTTCACATAAAATTTGCAAAGTTTCCAAATGAGGAAAATACGAGCAAGCTGTTGAGTAAAACAACCTTCACCATCAGACACTGCTGCAAAGTGACGGCATTCACTTACTGGCTCTGTGTATTCTCTCCCGGACTTCCATGTATTCCTGTTCGTGCTTTACAGCTGTCATCGCCACTGCTAGCTCATTGATCATTTCTTCTAGCTTGTTCTGGTGAGCTATAGAAGGATTTGAAAACAAAACACATTTGTCAATGTCTTTTTTTTTTTTTTTTTGAGACAGAGTCTCGCTCTGTTGCCCAGGCTGGAGTGCAGTGGTGCTCAATCTCAGCTCACTGCAACCTCTGCCTCCCAGGCTGAAGCGATTCTCCTGCCTCAGCCTCCAGAGTAGCTGGGATTACAGGCACACGCTGCCACACCCAGCTAATTTTTGTATTTTTAGTAGAGACGGGGTTTCACCATGTTGGTCAGGCTGGTCTTGAACTCCTGACCTCAGGTGATCCACCTGCTTGAGCCTCCCAAAATGCTGGAATTACATGCGTGAGCCACTGCACCCAGCCATCTTTTTTTTTTTTCAAGACAGGATCTCACTCTATCACCCAGGCTCAAGTACAGTGGTGCAATTATAGCTCACTGTAACCTAAAATTCCTGGGCTCAAGCAATCCCCTGCCTCAGCCTCCTGAGGGGTGCGTCACTATGCCTGACTACCATTTTATTTTTATTTTTTAGAGACGGGGTCTCGCTATGTTGCCTAGGCTGGGGCAATCTCTTTTTGAAAAACACTTATAAAATAAATATAAAATATAAAATAATATAAAATAACTTTTCAAAATCCTCAGAGAAGGCCTGCAAAAGAAGCTACTTTTGAAATGGTTCAAACATCAATTTGGACTACTGATATGAATCATGTCAATTTAATTCTCAAAGCATTTTTAAAAGTCCCTTCCCAGTAGAGAAACCTCTTTCAGGGTAGGAAACATACTATATAATGCTTACTAAGGAAAGGAAAACAACCCCAGGAAATTTCTTCTAATGGAATGTTGTTATGTGAAGTTCACTATACTGACTATTAACTACAGCAAAAGTAGTAAAACACTGAGGAGAGGGGACTAAGAGCACAAAATAAATACCTGTATTTTTAAAATGTAATCCTACAAATAAAGTCTAAGAGTCATGTAACTCTAATATTAATTAAGAAGCAGGAGCAGCACCAAAACAGACTCTTAATCTCTATAAAGCTGAGCAGAGAAAAACATTAAAACGCTCTTAGGAAAATCCACACCAACTCAAACATTCTTCTTTGACAAAGTAATAGTTTCACTATAGTGGGGAACAGCAGGCAATGTAAGTAGAGAGACAAGCCCTTAGCGGCACAAGTTTTCAACCAGGCATCCCTCTTGAACCAAAAATACACACAAGGCACTGTTCTGAAGAGTAAGCATGTGCTTCTAGGTAGTGCCACGTTATGAGAATGAACAGACAGGCAGGAGAGAAACAGCACCAGGAAACCTTCCTGGGAAAGGGGGATCTCTTCATCCCTGCCCAAGACTGGGTCTCTTCTGGGATTCCAGATTCTCGCAGACAACCCCAAGTTTCTTAGGAGAAACCAAGGGCCTCTACCATTGAAGGCAGTTGAATTGGAATGTCAAACCGTCCCTCACTCGAAATTTCCCTTTGGAAGCCCCATGCACCACATGGAACTGATAGAGCAGGGTTTCTCAGCAGTGGCATTGTCTCCATTTTGGACCAAATGCTTTTCTATGCTGTGGGGCGCTATCTGATGCACTATAGGGTATTTAGCAGCCTCCATGGCCTCCAGTCCTAGATGCCTGTAGCACCTACCCCCAGTCTTCCGAATAAAAAATACCTCCAGATATTGCCAAATATCCCCTGGGCATCCTCACTTGAGAACCACTGCTTTAGAGGAAGGCTTGATTTGACAGCTGCCATTCACTGACATTAACAAGCAAAAGCAAGAATTTTGGATATATGTTAAAAAATTATCTAAGAAGTTCAATATTCACATTCATCAACCAACATTTTCAAACTATTTAAGTAGGATCAAACTCCAGAAAATAAACCAAAAAAGCCTTTCAGAACTCCTCATTCTCCCTGAAAATTAGTCAAGTCCTACCCTATAAGTGGCCCTGAAAAATGAGTGCAGGAATTACTAAGTAGTAGGACTCTCTAAATTCTATAGATTTCAAAATCCAACCAAACAACTCAGCTTCTTTATGATGTTAACACTCTACTGATACTGAATATCTGGGAGAAATGTTACCACGCTAATAGTATACTATGAAATGTGTGAAACAATGACTAGCTTCAAAAACTCTGGCATGCACTGTGGGGAAAAAAAAAACAAAAAAAAACACCACCAAATGTGCTGGCTCCCGGTAAGCAATTTATCCAGAACCACCAAGAACCAATCAGGGTTTATTACTGGTAACCTGAGCAATGAACACTCTAACTGCAACATATGGCTAAAAGAACTCTTGTCTTCATATCAACATATGGCTCCTAGAACTGCATTTCATATCCAACTAAGCTTCAGGTTAAGAAGTCTACAAAATGACTTTCTACAAAGTCAAAGGCACCATTTGCTATGAGCTATGTTTAATTGGGACTTCTGTCCCCTTATCATTGAATTTCCACTCTTTAGCATTCATCTTAAAGAACAAAGATGTTACTACTAAAATGTCAACTGTGTTTTCAGTGCTATTAGTTTAAAATAACCTAACCTATACCTCCTGTCAACGAAATAAAAAACCACCAAAAAAAATATCAATCCAATTAGTTGTAGGGGTTTTTTAAGAGAAAAAAACACTCTCATGCCAACAAACTGAGGTTAGAAAAAAGAAAGCAGAAATTAGACATTAGCAAACAAAAAGATGCAAAAAGGATGCTGTCAAAAAGCAATCCACATACCATCCCAGGTATCTCCACCACCTAAAGAAAAGTTAAGATATCTTAACACAAAAAGAACCAACAAAAAGTTTAGCTAAACTAGTCATGTATACAAATGAGCAAATAAAGTATATGCCAGGATTAGCAAATAAACAGAAAAAATAACTGAAGACACATGGAACCTACATGCTCACAAGAGCACAAAATGACTAAGAAAATCTGTTAGAAGGGACAAATGTAAAGAACAAAAAAATCCCAGCACTTCAGAAGGCCGAGGCAGGTGGATCACCTGAAGTCAGGAGTTTGAGACCACCCTGGCCAACATGGTGAAACCCCGTCTCTACCAAAAATACAAAAATTAGCCGGGCATGGTGGCATACGCCTGACGCTACTTGGGAGAATCGCTTGAACCCAGGAGGCGGAGATTGCAGTAAGCCAAGATCACGCTACTGAACTCCAGCCTGGGCGAAAGAGCGAGACACAATCTTAAAATAAATAAATAAAAGAAAAAAGAACAACAAAAAAACAAACACTAGCCTCAAGAAACTTTTTTATTAATTAGGAGACTTGCAAAAAATAAAAAGCGTATTTCACAAAAAGGTTTTGGTTAAGAAATTTAAAAAAAATAAGTACTCCACTCAGACAGGTAAAAATGTATAGAACTAAAATTAGCTCTTGGAATGTGATGTAAATCTTCTGAATGTTCATCTCACCTTCTGTTTCCATATCTTGTCCTTTTGGAGCCTCCCCAATATCAATGGTGAACATCACTATTTTTGGAGTCATGGTGGACATCCGGTTACTAAAACAAAATTTGTATGTTCCATCCATGTGAGCAGCAAATGTGTATTTCCCACTGGATTCTCTGTCTCCTTTGTAAATTCCTTTGTTATCTGGTCCTGTAATCTGGAGGCAAGAGAGAAATGCATAAAATGTCACAAAAGATTAAGTCATAGACTTTATAAGTAATGTCTAATGGCAGTAAGAAATTCACCAAGAATATGGCTGGGCATGGTGGCTCACGCCTGTAATCACAGCACTTTGGGAGGCCAAGGCAGGCAGATCACTTGAGGTCAGGAGTTCAAGACCAGCCTGGCCAACATGGTAAAACTCCGTCTCTACTAAAAACACGAAATTAGCCGGGCATGGTGGCGCACGCCTGTATTCCCAGCTACTCAGGAGGCTGAGGCAGGAAAATCGCTTGAACCCGGGAGGCAGAGGTTGCAGTGAGTCGAGATCGTGCCACTGCACTCCAGCCTGGGCGACAGAGCGAGACTTGGTCCAAAAAAAAAAAAAAAAAAGAAATTCACCAAGAATATGTAACTTTCACTTAGCTTCACTTCGGTAAGTGATAATAACCATTTTGGGCTGCAATTCTCCCACTTTATAAAATAAGAGTTGACTTCATGGCTTTCTAAAACACCTTTAGGTCCTGACATTTATGTCTTATTTATCCTTATTAAACCCCTCAGAAACAGAAAGCTCACCTTAAATGTGGTCTCTAACTGGCCTAATATCACCAACAAACATGGAACTGTGACTGATAGCAAAACTCAAGAAAAAAGAAATCTCTTTAAAATAAAGAATTTCTGCATCCCTGGTTGACATCTTGATTGCAACCTCATGAGATACTCCAAGCCAGAACCACCCAGCTAAGCCTCTCCATAATTCCTGGCCACAGAAACCATGAGGTAATAAACGTTTGTGGTTTTTTAAAATATAAACAAGATGAATTTTTATCACATTTCAAGGTTTTCCAGATTACTGCCAAACAGTGAAGGAATTCTGCTTTATCTGAGATGCCTGAAGGCTTAGGGGAAAGGACTAGCCTGGAAATGAGAAGACCCAAACTCTCATCCCAGTCTGCTACAAATCAGCTGTTAGGCTGTGATCAAGTCAGTCGCTCTTTCAAAGTGCATGTCACTTGCATAACTTCGAGACTGTAATAGTTGATCGCTAAATTCTTAGCTAAGTGTAAGAGTCTCTCCCTTCCGTTATCCCCTTATTTTTGGATTTCACTTGTATTGTGTAACTTGTGCCCAGCCCTACTGAGTACACTGTCAAATGGAAACTCCTTAGACCCAATTAATCATGCTAGCAGGTGAATTAAAATAAAAACTAGCAACACATCATTCTTTTGGTTTACAAAACATGAGTGGAGATTTAGGGACTGCTGGTTTCTTAAACTCCTGTCTTCTCCTGATACTTCACTGCACTGCTTACTCCTAAAACGCATGACCCAACTCCCCATCTCTCCTTGGCAGAAGAGACTAAACGAGGTAGCTGGAGGCGTAAAGAGTAGAACCTTAAGGTTGCTTCTATGAAAAATAAACACAACGCGAAAGTATGCCTAGCACTCAATAGGTTTTTAATCCTCAATCGATTTTAATCAATTTTTTGGAAAAGTTTCCGTGCCACGTTCCAGCATTAATCCGTAACACGAAAGAAGGCAGGTGCTAACTGGATAGAGACCCGCCACCAGCTAACTGTGACTGAGAAGCGCCTTTGGGGCCCGGACTGACACGCGGCGCCTGATTCACAAAGCTCAGCGAGAGGTTCCAACAGGAACCCGTCGTTCAAGGAGAAAACCCAAAGCAACCAAGCATGCCGAAGGAGCCCCCAAGGGATCCCGGAACCCAGGCAAGTCGCGGGAAAAGGGGCCGTTAGGAGGTCGCCGTGGCCGGGGCGGGGCGGGGGGTGGCGGCCTGGGCTTCTCCAGGACTCGGACAGCGACTTCCAAGCCCACTCCCCACACAGGCCCCGCGCCGGTCCCAGGTGCCACCAATCCCCGAGTGGCCACGCGACCAAGCCTCAGCTGCGGGCAGCTAGCCCGCACCTCCACGTCGATGTCCAGGAAGCCGCCCTCCGCCACCTCGAAGATGAGGCCCATCTTGGTGCCCGAGGTGACCCGCTCAAAGAAGCACTCTTCAGCATGGGCGTCGATGCTAACGAAATAGCCCGAGACCGTGGCCAGGAGAGCGGCCAGAAGCACCAGCAGTTCAGCAAGCGTCACCATGGTGGGGCTGAGGCCGAAGCCAGGACCCGGACTGCGGCCTCCACAGCCGCCGCCGCCGCCGCCGCCGCCGCCCCGCTGCCTTCTCAGCCACCGCCGCCTAAGCTCCGCCCCTTCCGCCTGCGCCACCAGTGGGGGCTGATGCGGGCGCAGTGGATTGGCGGGCTCCCGCAGCTGCCACGTAAAGGGAGGCACGGCAGCCGCCGAGGGACAAGCGACTCTGCGCGGCCCGAGCCTGGACGGCGGCTCCGAAGGACCAAAAATTTTTCCCTAGTCCTTTCTCGTCCAAGCTAAAGTTCCTGTGGA
This sequence comes from Homo sapiens, assembly GCF_000001405.40. Classification (NCBI taxonomy): domain Eukaryota; kingdom Metazoa; phylum Chordata; class Mammalia; order Primates; family Hominidae; genus Homo; species Homo sapiens. The sequence goes on along the minus strand of NC_000012.12, from coordinate 123,584,333 downwards.
CTTCCCAGGAAAACGACAGTGTCCGGAAGCCTCTGCAATGCCCTCTTAGGATTGTCCAAGAAGATGGCGAAACATTTGCAGGCAGCGATAGGAGTTGAGGGAATGTGCGGGCTGAAACTAAGGTTTTTTTCTTTTGTTTTGTTTCGTTTTTGAGACGGAGTCTTGCTCTGTCGCCCAGGCTGGAGTCCAGTGGCGCGATCTCGGCTCACTGCAACCTCCGTCTCCCGGGTTCCAGAGATTCTCGTGCCTCAGCCTCGCGAGTAGCTGGGATTACAGGCGTGAGCCACCACGCTTGGTTAATTTTTGTGTTTTTTGTTTGTTTGTTTTTTGAGACGGAGTCTCTTTCTGTCGCCCAGGAGTGCAGTGGCGCGATCTCGGCTCACTGCAACCTCCGCCTCCTGGGCTCAAGCGATTCTCCTGCCTCAGCCTCCTGAGTAGCTGGGATTACAGGCGCCCGCCACCACGCCCGGATAATTTTTTGTATTTTTAGTAGAGACGGGGTTTCACTATGTTGGTCAGGCTGGTCTTGAATTCTTGACCGCGTGATCCGCCCTCCTCGGCGTCCCAAAGTGCTGCTGGAATTACAGGTGTGAGCCACCGCGCCCGGCCAATTTTTTTTTTTTTTTATTTTTTAGTAGAGACGGGGTTTCGCCATGTTGGCCAGTCTGGTCTGGAACTCCTGACCTCAAGTGATCCGCCCTCCTCGGCCTCCCAAAGTGCTGAGATTACAGAAGTAAGCTACCGCGCCAGGCCTGAAGCCATGGGTTTTGAGGGGTGTTTATTTGTTTGTTTGCTTAGAGATGGGGTCTTGATCTGTCGCCCAGGCTGGAGTGCGGTGGCGCGATCATAGCTCACTGCAGCCTCCAACTCCTGGGCAAGTGATCCTCCTGCCTCAGCCAACCCAATAGCTGGGATTACAGGCGCGAAGCCCACTGGTTTTTAGGTTTCATGTTGCCTCTCCCACCCCCTCTCCTTCCAGGGGACTGGGGAACGGTGGAGGCTCATATAGACCTGAAAGGGGCACGAGGGATCCTCCCAGGTTGCTGGAATCTCTAGTATCTTTACCTAGGTGGTAGATACGTGGATGTCTACATTTTTTAAAAAAATCAATTAGACTATTACATTTTTATTTTATTTTGAGACAGCTTTTCACTCTTGTCACCCAGGCTGGAGCGCAATAGTGCAATCTCAGCTCACTGCAACCTCCACCTCCGGGTTTCAAGCTATTCTTCTCCCTTAGCCTCCCAAGTAGCTGGGATTACGGGCGCCTGCCACCACACCCAGGTAATTTTTGTATTTTTAGTAGAGACGGGTTTTCACCATGTTGGTCAGGCTGGTCTCGAACTCCTGACCTTCAGATGATCCACCCGCCTCTGCCTTCCAAAGTACTGGGATTAACAGGCGTGAGCCTCCACACCCAGCAACTATTGCATTTTATTTTACTGTATGTATGTAATACCTTAACCACACACAAAAAATTACCTTGTTCAAATTTTCCAGAATTAGAATTCTACCAGTTCCCCAAAGTCTTGCTGTTTCTCCATGCCCCTTAGCCCTTACCAGCTGCTAGAGCTGTCTTTTCATCCTTTGCACCCTGGCACACTCCTACTCATCCCTCAGAACCCAAATGTCACCTCTTATCTCTAAAATGTTCCTTGACATCCTTCTGCCAAATACTAGCCCCTTCCTCTCTGTTTACAATGCAGATTCGGTCCTAGTGAATTACTGTTATTTTCTACTCTGCCTCACTCATGAAGGCACAAGACTTGATTTACATACGCTGTCCTCTTCAGGCCCTGCCACAGGGCCACAGAAGGACCTCACACATTTCATGTCAATTGAGGTCACTGGACTGACCTGGGAATGAGGAGCCTGGGTTGTTACTCCACTTTTGCACATAGATGTGTGACCTTGATTATTTTCCACCACGTCCTGGCCTCGGTTTCCTTATCTGTTAAAAGGGAATGACACCACAGGCCTTGCAAAATTGAAGGGATTATTTCTTTGAAGACCAACAGGCGATAGGGGGCAGTAGTGTCCCAGGATCCAGTTTCCCGCTTCAGGTTTCAAGAAACAGGAGCAGCTGCAGTGATGAAGTTTTCCCGACTATGACAGTGTACAGTTGACCTTGAACAACGTGGGGGTTTGGGGCACCGACCCCTGCACAGTCCAAAATCCTGGGGTCTTTTTTTTAATTTGACATGGAGTCTCCCTCTGTCGCCAAGGCTGGAGTGCAGTGGCGCGATCTCAGCTCATTGCAACCTCTGCCTCCCGGGTTGAAGCAATTCTCCTGCCTCAGCCGCCCAAGTAGCTGAGATTACGGGCGCCCGCCACCATGCCCGGCTAATTTTTGTATTTTTAGTAGAGACGGGGTTTCACCAGGTTGGCCAAGCTGGTCACGAACTCCTGACCTCAGGTGATCCACCCGCCTCGGCCTCCCAAAGTGCTGTGATTACAGGCATGAGCCACTGCGCCTGGCCTCATTTTTGACTCCCCAAAAACAACTTTTTTTTTTTTTTTTTTTTTGAGATGGAGTTTTGCTCTTGTCGCCCAGGCTGGAATGCAATGGCACGATCTCGGCTCACTGCAACCTCCACTTCCCAGTTCAAGCAGTTCTGCCTCAGCTTCCTGAGTAGCTGGGATTACAAGTGCCCACCACCACGCCTGGCTAATTTTTATATTTTTAGTAGAGACTGGGTTTCGCCATGTTGGCCAGGCTAGTCTCGACTCCTGACCTCAGGTGATCTACCCGCTTTGGCCTCCCAAAGTGCTGGGATTACAGGCGTGAGCCACTGCGCCCAGCCCAAAAACTTAACTATTGACAGCATACTGTTGACCAGAAGCCTTACCAATGACAGTTGATTAGCATTTTGTTTGTTTGTTTTTCGTTTTTGTTTTGAGATGGAATCTCGCTCTGTTGCCCAGGCTGTAGTGCAGTGATGTGATCTCGGTTCACTGTAACCTCTGCCTCCTGGGTTCAAGTGATTCTCCTGCCTCAACCTCCCAAGTAGCTGGGACCACAGGCACCCGCCACCATGCCAGGCTAATTTTTGTAGTTTTAGTACAGATGGGGTTTCAACATGTTGGCCAGGGTGGTCTCGAACTCCTGGCCTCAAGTGATCCACCCACTCTGGCCTTCCAAAGTGCTGGGATTACAGGCATCAGCCACTGTGCCTGGCCAATGACAGTTGATTAGCATATTTTGTATGTTATATATATTACATGCTGTATCCTTACAATAAACCAGAGAAAAGAAATTGTTATTAAGAAAATAATAAGGATGAGAAAATATATTTACTCTTCATGTAGTGGAAGTGACTCATGGTAAAGCTCTTCATCCTTGTCATCTTTATGTTGAGTAGGCTGAAGAGGAGGGGAGGAGGAAGGGTTGGTCTTGCTGTCTTGGGGGGTGGCAGAAGTGGAAGAAGTGGTGGAGGTGGAAAGAGAGAGGCATGAGAGGCGGCATACTTGGTGTAACTTTTATTTATTTATTTATTTTTATTGAGATGGAGTCTCGCTCTTTCGCCCTGGCTGGAGTACAGTGGCTCAACCTCGGCTCACTGCAACCTCTGTCTCCCAGGCTCAAGAGACTCTCCTGCCTCAGCCTCCCAAGTGGCTGGGATTACAGGCGCCGGCCACTATGCCCGGCTAATTTTTGAATTTTTAGTAGAGACAGGGTTTCACCATGTTGGCCAGACTGGTCTCGAACTCCTGGCCTCAACTGATCCGCCTGCCTCCGCCTCCCAAAGTGCCAGGATTACAGATGTGAGCCACGGTGCCCAGCCAGGTGAAAAAAATCCATATATAAGCGGACCCATGCATTTCAAACCTGCGTTGTTCAAGGGTTAACTGTATTATTGAACTGAAGAGTTCTACTGGTGATCCCCTACTTCCCCATCTTCCAGACTGGCAGACATCCTGCTTTCCCTGGCAGGTCAGTTCTGTAATGTGACTCCAGTGCCGTCACTGGAGGGAGACAGCCTAGAGCCTCTTCCTCTATCCTTAACAACACATTGATACGCCTGTTTCCCGGATGTCTCTTTCAACTGATAATATCTTTTTTTTTTTTTTTTTTTTTGAGACAAGAGTCTTGCTCTGTCGCCCAGGCTGGAGTGCAGTGGCGCGATCTCTGCTCACTGCAAGCTCTGCCTCCTGGGTTCACACCATTCTCCTGCCTCAGCCTCCCGAGTAGCTGGGACTACAGGCGCCCGCCACCATGCCCAGCTAATTTTTTGTATTTTTAGTAGAGACGGGGTTTCACCGTGTTAGCCAGGATGGTCTTGTGGTCTTGATCTCCTGACGTCGTGATCCACCCACCTTGGCCTTCCAAAGTGCTGGGATTATAGGTAAGAGCCACTGCGCCCAGGCTTTTTTTTTTTTTTTAACTTGAGATGGAGTCTCGCTCTGACTCCCAGGCTGGAGTGCAATGGTGCGATCTCAGCTCACTGCAACCTCCGCCTCCCGGGTTCAAGTGATTCACCTGCCTCAGCCTCCCAAGTAGCTGGGATTACAGGTGCATGCCACCATGCCCAGCTAATTTTGTTTTTGTATTTTTTAGTAGAGACAGGGTTTTGCCATGTTGGCCAGGCTGGTCTCGAACTCTTGACCTCAGGTGATCTGCCCACCTCAGCCTCCCCAGAATGCTGGGATTACAGGTGTGAGCTACTGCGCCTGGCCTCTGCTGATAATATCTACAGAGGTTTCCTCTTAAACCAATGGATGCAGCCCCTTTTGTTTTCTATTTTTGTTTGTTTCCTTTGAGACAGGGTCTGGCTCTGTCACCCAAGCTGGAGTGCAGTGGCATGAACACGGCTCACTGCAGCCTCACATTCCTGAGCTCAAGCAATCCTCCCATCTCAGGCTCTGCAGTAGCTGAGACCACAGGCACATGCACCCACACCCAGCTAGTTTTTTTGTTTTTGTTTTTGTTTTTGTTTTTAACTATTTGTAGAGATGGAGGTCTCCCTATGTTACCCAGGCTGGTCTCCAATTCCTGGGCTCAAGCAGTCCCAAAGCACTGGGATTACAGCCGTCAACCACCACTCCTGGCTTTTTTTTTTTTTTTTTTTTTTGATACAACCCTTTTTGACTTCCCAAGCAACCCAACTGCAGAAGAAGGCCAAGAACAATTTTGATTTTATCTAGAAATTCAATGTTAATTTTCGGCTTTGAACTGATTAAATAATAGTTCTAAGTCCACTTATCAAGGAATTAAAATGCGGGGCTGGGCGCAGTGCCTCATGCTTGTAATCTCAGCACTGTGGGAGGCCAAAGGGGATGGATTGCTTGAGTCCAAGAGTTCAAGACCAGCCAGGGCAGCATAGCAAGACCCCATCTCTACAAAAAATACAAAAAAAAAATTAGCCAGGCATGGTGGCACGTGCCTGTAGTCTCAGCTATTTGGGAGGCTGAGGTGGGAGGATCACCCAAGCCTGGGAGATCAAGACTGCAGTGAGCTGAGCTGTGATAGTGCCACTGCACTCCAGCCTGGGTGACAGAGTGAGACCCTGTCTCCAATAAATAAATAAATAAATAAATAGTGGACATTTTTAGGATCTCGGCGGAACACAGTGAATTGTATATTGTAGGGTTTTATTATATAAATCGGGACTCAAATTCAAATGCCTTCAGGGATCAGGCAGTTTATATGAATCAGAGATGGCACTAGCATAGGCAGTAGGAGCGGGGAGGATTGTGGCAAACTGGATCATAGGATGTCATACCTAAATACATTCAATTCCAATGTCTGAAAACACACTGGTAGCCAAACCAAAGATGCAGCCAGAAGTCACTAAGTTTATGGTTTACGTTATAAATGTAATTGACTATGTTATCTGAAATCAGAAAAGAGATAAAGGTAACTCAATCACAGTACTGTAAAATGATTGCTATCAACTGCTTGACGTATTTCTTTTGACGGCTCTAGTTTTTTGTTCATTGGTTTTTTGGTTAGCATTGTTGTAGCTATATTTACTCATCAGGTGTTTTTCAACATTACTGTTTCAGGATCTGCAGTCAAATTTACCCAGAGGATCCCAGGCTCTTAGGACTTGACAGGTCACCCACAGTAAAGGTGCCTTTTTTTTTTTTTTTTTTTAAGACAGTCTTACTCTGACACTCAGGCTGGAGTGCAGTGGCGTGACCTTGGCTCACTGCAACCTCTGCCTCTGGGTTCAAGTAATTCTCGTACCTCAGCCTCCCAAGTAGCTGGGATTACAGGTGCCCGCCACCATGCCCAGCTAATTTTTGTATTTTTAGTAGAGATGGGATTTCACCATGTCAGCCAGGCTAACTCCTGGCCTCAAGTGATCCACCTGCCTTGGCCTCCCAAAGTGCTGGGATTACAGGTGTGAGCCACCATGCCCAGCCTTAAATGTATACTTTTTTTTTTTTTTTTTTTTTTTGAGATGGAGTTTTGCTCTTGTCACCCAGGCTGGAGTGCAATGGCGCAATCTCGGCTCACTGCAACCTCCGCCTCCTGGGTTAAAGCGATTCTCCTGCCTCCGCCTCCTGAGTAGCTGGGACTACAGGCGCCTACCACCATGCCTGGCTAATTTTTTGTATTTTTAGTAGAGACGTGGGTTCACTATGTTGGCCAGGCTGGTCTCGAACTCCTGACCTCAGGCGATCCACCCACCTCAGCCTCCCAAAGTGCTGGAATTACAGGCATGAGCCACTGCACCTGGCCAAATGTGCATTTTTAAGGTTATCACCACAGATTGATTGGCATGAGCTCATGTGCCATCAGGTGCATGAATCATCCAACAGGACAAACAGCTGGCACATGGTGGGTACTCCATACATATCTGATGGATAATGAATGAACCTCTTAACTGCCGTCTGGCCCAGAACTGACCAGGTGGTAATCAGTGGTCAGTGAGGTGCAACATGAACTGGGCCCTCTCTGCTTCCCTCCCTTTTCATCCTGCCTTATTGAGATACAATTCATATACCATAAAATCCATCCTTTTAAAGTGTTATATGGCAGATGCGGTGGCTCATGCCTGTAATCCTAGCATTTTGGGAGGCCGAGGTGGGCGGATTGCTTGAGGTCAGGAGTTCAAGACCAGCCTGGCCAACATGGTGAAACCCCATCTCTTCTAAAAATACAAAAAAAAAAAAAAATTAGCCAGGCGTGGTGGTGTACGCCTGTAGTCCTAGCTACTCAGGAGGCTGAGGCAGGAGAGTCACTTGAACCCAGGAGGTGGAGGTGGTAGTGAGCCGAGATTGCACCACTGTACTCCATCCTGGGCAACAGAGCGAGACTTCGTCTCAAAATAAATAAATAAAGTGTTATACTTCAGTGGTTTCTGGTATATTCTCAGAGTTGTTCAAACATCACCACTATCTAATTTCAAAACATCTTATTGCCCCAAAAAAGAAACCCTGTACCCATTAGCAGTCATTCCCCAATCCCTCCTCTGCCCAGCCCTGGCAACCACTGTCTACTTTCTGTTCTGTGGATTTGGAGTAGAATCATATAGTATGTGGCCTCTTGTGACTGGCTTCCTTCTCTTGGCATGATGTTTAAAGGTTCATCTACATTGTAGTGTGTGTCAGGATTTCATTTCTTTTTGTGGCTGAATCATATTCCATGGTATGCATGCACCACATTTTGTCTACGGATATTTGAGTTGTTTCCACATTTTGGCTATTATTAATGCTGCTATACACATTTGGCAGAGTGCAGTAGCTCACACCTATAATCCTAGCACTTTGGGAGGCTGAGGCAAACGGATCAATTGAGGCAGGAGTTTGAGACCAGCTTGGCCAACATGGCAAAACCCCGTCTCTACTAAAAATATATAGCCAGGCATGGTGGTGCATGTCTGTAATCCCAGCTGTTCAGGAGGCTAAGGCACAAGAATCGCTTGAATCCGAGAGGCAGAGCTTGCAGTGAGCCAAGATCGCACCACTGCACTGACAGTGTTTCATCATGTTGGCCAAGCTGGTTTCAAACTCCTGATCTCAAGTGAGCTGCCCACCTTGTTCTCTCAAAGTGCTGAGATTACAGGCATGAGCCCCTGCACCCAGCCTGCATAACTTTTTTTAAAAGGCATTGTTGCCTTGTTCCCTTGAATCACTTTCTCTGGGAAACTAGCTATCATGTCATGAGGACACTCAAGCAGCTCTGGGAGAGACCCCCTGTGGCTAGAAGCTGTGGATTCTCACCAACAGCCATGCAAGATTCCCCAGCCCCAGTCGAGCCTTCAGATGACCACAGCCCCAGCTGATATCTTGACTGCAATATCATGAAAAACCATGTGTCAGAACTGCTCAGACATGTTGCTCCCAAATTCTGGACCTGCAGAAACCATGAAAGACAATAAATGATTATTGCTGTTTTAGGTCACTATGTTTTGAGCTAACTTCTTACACAGCAATAGATACTAATGCATATTTTAACCAGTTTCCTACATTAAAACCTTTCTGTTGGAAAGACCTGGAGTGTGTTTTATTTTTCTGACTGATACAAACTCCTGTCCTGAATTGTAAACCAAGAGTGAAAAAATAAGAAAAAAGAGTAAAGAAGATGGAATATCTAAATACAGTCATGTGTTACTTGATGACAGCAATACATTCTGAGAAACATATGGGTGGCAATTTTGTGGTTGTGCAAACATCACAGCATCTACTTACACAAAACTAGACAGTATAGTCTGCACACCAAGGCCATAGGGTACAGCCTATTTCTCCTAGGCTACAAACCTGCACAGCATGTGACTGTACTGAATACTGTAGGCAATTGTGACACACAGGCATTTGTGTATCTAAACATAGAAAAGGTAAAGTAAAAATATGGTATTATCATTTCAAGAGACCGCTGCTGTATATGTGGTCCATCGTTGACTGAAACATTGTCATGTGGTGCACGACAGTATTATAAGGATGACTTATAAGTGAATGTTGGGAATGTGGCTTATAGATGTAGCCAAATATGGTTGCACAGAATACCGAAGCACGGAATTACACATACCGAGCCGGTTTTGTGATTTGCCCTCACAGATACTTCAGGATGAGAGTGGGCTTCTGTGGGCAGACCCTGATCATATAAAACTATGGTAGAAGGGGACAGAAGAGCTGGTTCCCAAGAGAAAGGGGAGGGGAAGTGGCTGGGTAAAGCATGCCCAGTTTGTCCTTCCAAACTGAGCATTCAGATTAAGCTAATTCTGCTTCCAAAGGAGGAGTGAGCAAGGCCATGGGAAGACATCATGAGAGTTATCCTAGGAGAACTCAGTCTGGCTTAAGCTAAAAAGGGGTAGATGTTCAGGTATAGCTGAATCCAGGGGCTTAAAGGATGTTATCGGGCTTGGTGCGGTGGCTCACGCCTGAAGTCCCAGCACTTTGGGAGGCCGAGTCAGGTGGATCACCTGAGGTCAGGAGTTGGAGACCGGCCTGGCGAACATAGTGAAACCCTGGCTCTACTAAAAAATACAAAAAATTAGCCAGGCATGGTGGTGTGCCTTTAATCCCAGCTACTTAGGAGGCTGAGGCAGGAGAATCGCTTGAACTCAGGAGGCAGAAGTTGCAGTGAGCCAAGATCACACCACTGCACTCCAGCATGGATGACAGAATAAGACTCTATCCAAAAAAAAAAAAAAAAAAAAAAAAAGATGCTATGATTCTCTCTCTCTCTCTCTCTCTCCCTCTCTCTCTCTCTCTTTCTCTCTCTCTCACTCCCCCCTCTCTCTCTCTTGATTTCATTCTCAGGAAGCAATTTCCCCTGCAGTGGCAGGATGGATGACAATGACTTATTTTTTTATTATTTTTTTTAATACAAAGTCTTGTTCTGTCACCAGGCTGGAGTGCAGTGGCGTGATCTTGGCTCACTGCAACCTCTGCCTCCCGGGTTCAAGCGATTCTTCTGCCTCAACCTCCTGAGTAGCTGGGACTACAGGCAAGCACCACCTTGCTTGGCTAATTTTTGTATTTTTAGTAGAGACGGGGGTTTCACCATGTTGGTCAGGATAGTCTTGATCTCTTGACCTTGTGATCCACCCACCTCGGCCTCCCAAAGTGCTGGGATTACAGGCATGAGCCACCGTGCCCAGCCAACGATTTTTATCTTACACCTTATGCCCCAGCAGCCTAGTAATCCCAGTTGAAAGAGAGCACATTTTTCCTAATATTTATCACAAAAAGTCTTGGGATTGGCCTCCTTGGGCCAGTTTGGGTCACATGCCACCCCTAATCACTGTGACCAGAGGAGAAACATGCCAACCCCTGCAGTACTGGGGACACGTTTGCAGATGGCAAGAGCACCCAAAGCACATGGCTTGAGTGGGAGAGAGGTGACTCTGCAAAGCAAAGTCAGGATGCAGTTAACAGCTGGAAAGCAACAAAAATACAACGTGCACTACAGGTGGCAATGAGCTGATGCTGAAAGATAATTGGATTTCAGCAAACAATGACAGATGATGGAGACGGATTTGCAGTCAGGAGGCACGGTGCAAGCAAAAGTAAGGGAACAGGCAGTTTAGGAGTGATTGGGGAAGGCAGGGCATTCCAAGGTACTGGAGCACAGAGTGCCTAGGAGGAGGGAAGTAGAGTAAAATGTACAATTAGAAAAATTGCATAGCCAAGCATGGTGACCGGAGCCTGTAATCCCAGCTACTCGGGAGGCTGAGGCAGGAGAATTGCTTGAACCCGGGAGGTAGAGATTGCAGTGAGCCGAGATTGCACCATTGCGCTACAGCCTGGGTGACAAAGCAAGACTCCATCTCAAAAAAAAAAAAAGAAAAGAAAAAGAAAAGAAAAATTGCAGCCAGACATAAGAGCTTCTTTTTGTTGTTGTTTTGGTTTTTTTGAGATGGAATCTCACTCCGTTGCCCAGACTGGAGTGCAGTGGCTCAATCTTGGCTCACTGTAACCTCTGCCTCTCAGGCTCAAGCGATCCTCCCTGCCTCAGCCTCCCGAGTAGCTGGGACCACAGGCATGCACCACCACACCTGGGTAATTTTTGTATTTTTAAGTAGAGACAGGGTTTTGCTATGTTGGCCAGGATGGTCTCGAACTACTGACCTCAGGTAATCAGCCCACCTCGGCCTCCCAAAGTGCTGGGATTACAGGCGTGAGCCACCACACCCTACCAACATATGGTCTTCTACGCCACAGTAAGTTTCACTTTATTCTGGAGACCACAGGTCAGCAATGACTTTTTTGTAAATAAAGTTTTATTGGAACACAACCATATCCATATGTCTACCTATTGTCTGTAGCTGCTTTCATGATACAACATCAGAGCGAGTAACCACCAGAGACCACACAAAACATAAAATATTTACTATCTGACCCCTTACAGAAAATGTTTACTGACTCCAGCTACAGACAACAGGAAGCCATCAAGAGATTTTTAGCAAAAAAGTGACATGATCAGAACTCTGACTTAGAACATTTTTGCCAACAATGCTTATGAGGTATTGACAGACTTCTCTGATTGCAAGCAACAGAAATCAACTGTGGCTAAATAAGGAAAATAAATAATATTCTAAAAGGTGATTCTGCTCACAGAATCAAAGGAAAGTTGACCAACTCAACTTAGGATAGGGGAGGAATGAGGTGATGAGTGAAACTCTGGAAGGTATAGACATGAGGTAATGTTTAGTCTCTTGGGTTTGGCAAATTAGCTCCAAATAACGCTCCCATCCTTGATCAGCCTGCTCAAGTCCCAAACTCCCATAAGAGAATCTGATTAGTCAATTGCAAGTCACGTGCCTACATCTAAGACAGCAATGTGCAGGGCACATTGATTGACAGCAACTAAGGTGGTAAGGGAGGGATATTTCTTCCAAGGAAAACTGAGGTGCTTTTCCCAGAGGAAGGGGAAATGGATGCTGGGCTGGCCAAAACAGCCAACATCTGTTACAGAGAGGAAGAAGAGAGGCTGCTCCAGTAGAAGTAACACCTGCTTTAGGGACCATTTGTCAGGACAGTCATTAGAGCTTCTCAGTGGTTCCTCGTCTCCTTCCAAACACAGGGGAATCAGAACTTCCAGATTCAATAGGGCCATGTGATGAGGTCTTGTCAATCTGTTGTGCATGGAAGTAATATGTGTCACTCCTAGGACAAAGCATTTAATTTCCCGTGTTTTACTCTAACCTTTCGCTTTTCCCAATTTGGTGGGTTTTGTTTTGTTTTGTTTTGTTTTTAACTGAGACAGAGTGTCGCTCTGTCACCCAAGCTGCAGTGCAGTGGCGCAATCTCCACTCATGGCAACCTCCACCTCCCAGGTTCGAGCAACTGTCCTGCCTCAGCCTCCTGAGTAGCTGGGATTACAGGCACCTGTCACCATGCCCATCTAATTTTTTGTATTTTTAGTGCAGATGAGGGTCTCACCATGTTGCCCAGGCTGGTCTCAAACTCCTGGCCTCAAGTGATCTGCCCACTTCGGCCTCCCAAAGCGCTGGGATTACAGGCGTGAGCAACCACACCCAGCCCCGAACTTGGTGGCTTTGAAGCATGTGTCAAAATAGAGCCTCACTCAGCCTGGGTCCCTGAATGACCGTGAAGAACACAGACAAAATGGAGTAGTAAATCTTTATTGTTTTCAGGTTTTGAGGGTAGGCTGTTACTGAAGCATATTCTAGGCTTAGCCTGACTAATACTTAGGTGAGCTGCTATAACCATGACCTCAGCATTTCAGTGGCTCAGCACAATAAAAGTTCATTTCTGGCTTGCATCACAGTCCCATGCACAGTCGACCTTAAGCCTTTCTCACAGTGATTCAGTAGCTCCACTATTCCCTAAGGGAGAATTTCAGTGTTCTCCATTAGAGCCATTGCATCCCTCTGGCAAGTGAGGAATGAAAGAGAGTAGAAGATCATGTAAGAGTTTTTTGGGCGGGGGCCAGACCTAGAAGTGGTGCGTATTCCATCTGCCCACATTCCACTGATCAGAACTCAATCACATGACTGTCCGTAGCAGCAAAGGAGGCTGGGAAATGGAGTCCAGCATGTGCTCAGGAGGAAAGAGCTACAGTTTAGGGGAATAGAACCACTCAGGATTTATAAGAAAGGGAATAGAATCTCTTAAAATGGAAGATGGTGGCTGGGAGCGGTGGCTCATGCCTATAATCCCAGCGCTTTGCGAGGCCAAGGTGGGAGAATCGCTTGAGCCCAGGAGTCTGAAACAAGTCTGGGCAACATAGTGAAACCCTGTCTCTACAAAAAATACAAAAATTAGCTGGGCGTGGTGGCGAGTGCCTGTGATCCCAGCTACTTAGGAGGCTGAGTGTGGGGGCCTCTGAGCCACTGAAATAGGGGAATTGCTTGAGTCTGGGAGGTTGAGTCTGCAGTGAGCTGTGTTTGTGCCATTGCACTCCAGCCTGGGCCACAGAATGAGACCCTGTCTCAAAAAAAGAAAAAAAAAAAAAGCCCAGGCATAGTGGCTCACACCTGTAATCCCAGCACTTTGGGAGGCCAAGACAGGTGGATTGCTTGAGCACAGGAGTTTGAGACCAGCCTGGGCAACATGACGAGTCTTTGTCTCTGCAAAAACACAAATTAGCCAGATGTGGTGGTGCGTGTCTATAGTCTGAGCTACTAGAGAGGCTGAGGCGGGAGGATTGCTTGAGCTGGGGAGCTCAAGGCTGCAGTGACGCGTGATCATGCCACTGCACTCCAGCCTGGGTGATAGAATGAGACCCTGTCTCCAAAAAAAAAAAAAGAAAAGAAAAAAATTAGATCCAGTTACAGATACATATAACATGAAATTAAGATGTGTGGATGTGCGACACATCAAAGAAATGACTTTCTGTTAAAACTCTGCAGGTGACAGGAAACATCAGCACTGGCTGGGAGCGGTGACTCATGCCTGTAATCCTGGCACTTTGGGAGGCCAAGGCAGGCAGATTGCATGAGTCCCAGAGTTCGTGATCAGCCTCGGCAACACAGTGAAACCCTGTCTCTATGAAAAGAAGAAAGAAGAAAAAAAGAAAAGAAGAAGAAGGAGGAGGAGGAGGAGAAGAAGAAGGAAAAGAAATCACATTTCTTCACCCATGTAATTGGCAAGAACTTAAATCTCTAATAATATCCAGTGATGGGAACGGGGGAAACAGGTACTTTCATACCCAATTGGTGGGGGAATGCATTAGAAATCATTTTGGAGGCTTTTAGATAATATCTATTAAGATTTTAACCAGCAAGTTCCATTATTCTAGGAATCTATTACAAAGAAATACAGTAAAATATGCCCAAAGGTATATGGGCAGGAAGGTTCATAGCAGCATTTTTTTTTTTTTCCAAGATGGAGTTTCACTCTTGTCACCCAGGCTGGAGTGCAATGGCGTGATCTCGGCTCACTGCAACGTCCGCCTCCCGGGTTCAAGCGATTCTCCTGCCTCAGCCTCCAGAGTAGCTGGGATTACAGGCATGTGTCACCATGCCTGGCTAATTTTTGTATTAATAGTAGAGATGGGGTTTTACCACATTGGCCAGGCTGGTCTCCAACTCCTGACCTCAGGTGATCCACCTGCCTTGGCATCCCAAAGTGTTGGGATTACAGGCGTGAGCCACCGCCCCCACACAGCATTTTTTTTTTTAAGAGACAGAGTCTCACTCTGTCACCCGGCTGGAGTGCAGTGGTGAAATCATAGTCCACTGCAGCCTCGAAATCCTGGGCTCAAGCAATCCTCCACCCTGGCTTCCCAAAGTGCTAGGATTATAGGAATGAGCTACTTACACCTGGCCCATAGCAGCATTTTTTATGACAACTAAAAAAATGGAAACAATTAAATTACCATCAATTGGAATCTGATTAAATTAACCTACTCTACTCTACTCTACTCTACTCTACTCTACTCTACTCTACTCTATTCTATTCTATTCTATTCTATTCCATTCCATTCTATTCTAGCAAGGTTTTGCCATGTTGCCCAGGCTGGTCTTGAACTCCTGAGCTCAAGCAATCCACCTGCTTCAGCCTCCCAAAGTGCTAGGACTACAGGTATGAGCCATGCCCAGCCTAAATTAACACTTTTAACACTAAAATGCAATACAGTGTAACTGTGGTAGTCACAAGATAATTATGGGATTTCTGGAAAATGTTAATTCATGGGCAGTATGGTCTGGTAAGGGAACACAGATTTAAAGGTAACATCACTACTTTCTTTCAATGTCAACAGTGGGGAGTCTGTAACTGTCTGTAACAGTGAAAGGTCTAAATGTGAGACATTTACTGAAGGTAAAGGAAGGTTCGCAGGATCCCCAGGCCTCTGGGATGGGCTCGGAGTCGGGAAGTAACGAACACAGACTGAATGGTGTAATCCAGATAGAAAATGCTACAGGAGGGCGAGGCCCGGGGGCTTATGCCTGTAATCCCAGCACTTTGGGAGGCCAAGGCAGGCGAATCACCTGAGATCAGGAGTTCAAGACCAGCCTGGTAGCCGGGCATGGTGTGTGCGTCTGTAATCCCAGCTGCTCAGGAGGCTGAGGCACGAGAATCACTTGAACTTGGGAGGCAGAGGTTGCGGTGAGCCAAGATCACACCACTGCACTCCAGCCTGGGCAACAAGAGCAAGACAACGTCCCAAAAAAAAAAAAAAGAAAAAGAGAGAGACAGAGAGAATGCTACAGGAGTATTGAAGGGAGGGCACTCTTTATTATTATTAATAATAATATTATTATTATTAATTTTTTTGAGACAGGGTCTCACTCTGTTGCCCAGGCTGGAGTTCAGTGCCATGATCACAGCTCACTGCAGCTTCAACCTCCCAGGCTCAAGCTATCCTCCCACCTCAGCCTCCTGAGTAGCTGGGATTATGGGTGCAAGCCATCATGCCCAGATAATTTTCTATTTTTGTGTGTGTGGAGATAGGATGTCCCTACGTTGCCTAGGCTGGTCTTGACCTCCTGGGCTCAAGTGATCCTCCCGCCTCCATCTCCCAAAGTGTTAAGATTACAGGTGCAAGCCACTTCACCCAGGCAAGGGGGTTATTCCTTTATTTATTTATTTTTTTTAACGGAGTCTCACTCTGTCACTGAGGCTGGCTTGCAGTGGCTCCAGTGATCTCAGCTCACCACAACCTACGCCTCCCGGGTTCAAGCAAGTCTTCTGCCTCAGCCTCCTGAGTAGCTGGAATTACAGGCATGTGCCACCACGCTCGGCTAATTTTTGTATTTTTAATAGAGATGGGGTTTTGCCATATTAGCCAGGCTGGTCTCGAACTCCTGACCTTGTGATCTGCCTGCCTTGGCCTCCCAAAGTGCTGGGATTACAGGTGTGAGCCACCACATCCAGCCTGGTTTTTTTTTTTTTTTTTTTTTTGAGACGGAGTCTCTCTCTGTTGCCCAGGCTGAAGTGCAGTGCCACCATCTTGGTTCACTGCAACCTCTGGAAGGGGGCATTCTTGATTATTGGATCCACGGGAGAGAATATTAGTGAAGAGGGAGAAACAATACTTAAAGAAAGATTTAGGAAATTAAAGTGAAAAGAAAAGGATAGTCCAGAACGTGAAGATAAAATTGAAGTATAATAAGAAAAGATTTCTTTTTCTTTTTTTTTTTTTCCTGAGACAGAGTCTCACTCTGTCACCCAGACTGGAGTGCAGTGGCGCCATCTCAACTCACTGCAACCTCCGCCTCCTGGGTTCAAGTGATTCTCTGGCCTCAGCCTCCCAGGTAGCTGGGATTACAGGCATGCGCCAACATGTCCAGCTAATTTTTTTTTAATTTTTTTTTATTTTGTTGAGATGACGTCTCCCTCTGTTGCCCAAGCTGGAGTGCAGTGGCACCATCTTGGCTCACTGCAACCTCCTGGGCTCAGGAGATCCTTCCATCTCAGCCTCTCAAGTTGCTGGGACCACAGGCGTGCAGCATCACATCCAGCTAATTTTTTTTTCTTTTTTTTTTTTTGTATTTTTAGTAGAGACGGGGTTTCACCATGTTGCCCAGGCTGGTCTCAAATTCCTGACCTCAAATGATCCACCCGCCTTGGCCTCCCAAAGTGCTAGGATTACAGGCATGAACCAACACACCCAGCCAGATTAACTGCATTTTAAGAAATACATGTGTATGGCCAGGCATGGTGGCTCATGCCTGTAATCCCAGCACTTTGGGAGGCCGAGGTGGGTGGATCACTTGAGGTCAGGAGTTCGAGACCAGCCTGGCCAACATGGAGAAACTCTGTCTCTACTAAAAATACAAAAATTAACCAGGTGCGGTTGCAGGCACCTGTAATCCCAGCCACTTGGGAGGCTGAGGCAGGAGAATCGCCCGGGAGGTGGAGGCTGCAGTGAGCTGAGATCACACTACGGCACTCCAGCCTGGGAGACAGAGCAAGACTCCACCTCAAAACAACAACAACAAAAACAAAAAATACAGGTGTGTAACCAGAATTCCAATCAAGATAGAATCATTTCCTTCACTCTAGAAAAGCTTCCTTGTGCCTCCTTGCAGTCAGTCCCCACTCCCACCTCCTACCAGGCAACCACTACTCTGCTTTCAATCCCTTGAACTTAGTTTTGCCTGTTCAGAAATTTCATACAAAAGGAGCCATACAGTGTGGACTCCTTTGTGCCTGATTAATTTCTCACAATGTTATAGCTGTGAGAGTCATTCCTACTGTTGCATTGGGAATTGCTTGTTACTTTTCATTGCTGCATAACATTTCGCTGTAAGAATTTATTTATCCATTCTATTGCTGATGGACATTCCCCTTATTTCCTGTTTTGGATGATTTTGAGCAAAGTTGTTGTGCGCATTATTTTCTGATTTCTGCTGGGTTTAAACCTAGCAACAGAATTGCAGGGTGATAGGGGAGGTGTATGCTTAGACTTAGTAGATACTGCCAGTGTCAACCTAAGTAACAGAGAGGCTTAATTTTTTTTTTTTTTTTTTTTGAGACGGAGTCTTGCTCTGTAGCCCAGGCTGGAGTACAGTGGTGCGATCTCGGCTCACTGCAAGCTCTGCCTCCCAGGTTAACGCCATTCTCCTGCCTCAGCCTCCCGAGTAGCTGCGATTACAGGCGCCCACCACCACACCCTGCTAATTTTTTGTATTTTTAGTAGAGACGGGGTTTCACTGTGTTAGCCAGGATGGTCTCGATCTCCGTGACAGAGAGTCTTTCTAAAAGAAGATGATATTTATTCAGGAATAGGACGTTGCAATGGGAATATGTGTGCCATACTAAAGTGTATGTGTATTCAAGGAAATAAAGGAAGACAAAGGTTTTTAAAGGAAAAATGAGGAGAACTACATAATTGTTTTGAGATAATTATCTTTGGCTACAAAGATCAATAATAAAAGTGCACCAGTCCAAGTTTAGATAGGCAGTTGCTGGGCAGATGTCTTCGAACGAGTATTTTTAATGTAAGATTGTGATGGCCTTTGTGCAAGGTTGTGGGTTTTGCAGGCTTTTGTGATAGTTTTTGTTATCTGGCATTCGTGCATGAGAATCCTCCCTTCATCAGCTTCCCTGGCTCTGCTCGTCAAGGTGATTTTGGTTTTTGTTTTGTAACACAGATGACTCCATTTTGATTCTGACAACTTTCACACCAGTTTTCCAAAGTGGTTTGACCAATTGCACTCCTACTAGCATTGTATGAGGGTACTGACATTGACAAGTTGGAAAACTGAAAAAGGGCTAGTGTGGGGCCAGTCACGATGGCTCACGCCTACAATCCCAGCATCTCGGGAGGCCGAGGTGGGCGAATCACCTGAGGTCAGGAGTTCAAGACCAGCCTGGCCAACATGGCGAAACCCCATAGCTACTAAAAATACAAAAATTGGCCAGGTGTGGTGGCGCATGCCTGTAATCCCAGCTACTCGGGAGGCTGAGGCAGGAGAATCACTTGAACCCAGGAGGTGGAGGTTGCAATGGGCCCAGATCGTGCCACTGCACTCCAGCCTGGGAGACAGAGCGAGAGTCCATCTCAAAAAAAAATTTTTTTAAACAAAGATGCGCCAGGCGCAGTGGCTCACGCCTGTAATCCCAGCACTTTGGGAGGCCGAGGCAGGCGGATCACGAGGTCAGGAGATCAAGACCATCCTGGCTAACACGGTGAAACCCCGTCTCTACTAAAAATACAAAAAATTAGCCGAGCGTGGTAGTGGGCGCCTGTAGTCCCAGCTACTCGGGAGGCTGAGACAAGAGAATGGCGGGAACCCGGGAGGCAGAGCTTGCAGAGAGCCGAGATCGCGCCACTGCACTCCAGCCTGGGTGACAGAGGGAGACTCCGTTTCAAAAAAAAAACAACAAAGATGCATGGCTGCGGGTGGGGCCCCCAGCATGCTCTGGGCTTTCGTCTCAGCGGCGGTGAGCTGTTGCCTTTAGCCTTTCTCCCCTGTGGCCAATTTATAGGCAGGAACCAAAGCACTGGGCAGATGAGTAGGTAACATGTTTTGGCCACTTTTCATGAAGTTGAGGGGACCAAAAATTAAGTGTAAACTTGCAATGCAACATTGTTTAAAATAGTCCAAACCAGAAAACAGAGTGAATGACCACCAAGGGAACAATGATCAAGCAAATTGCAGTACATACATAAAACAAAAGACTGCACAATCATTTAAAAGAATGATGAAGTGGGCAGATCACCTGAGGTCAAGAGTTTGAGACCAGCCTGGACAACATGGTGAAACCCCATCTCTAATAAAATACAAAATTAGGCCAGGCATGGTGGCTCATGCTTGTAATTCCAGCACTTTGGGAGGCCGAGGCAGGTGGATCACCTGAGGTAGGGAGTTCGAGATCAGCCTGGGCAATATGGTGAAACCCCGTTAGCTGGGCGCGGTGGCGGGAGCCTGTAATCCCAGCTACTCGGGAGGCTGAGGCAGGAGAATCGCTTGAACCCGGGAGGCAGAGGTTGCAGTGGGCCGAGATCGCGCCACTGCACTCCAGCGTGGGTGACAGAGCAAGACTCCATCTCAAAAAAAAAAAAAAAAATTAGCTGCCTGTGGTGGCACCTGCCTGTAGTCCCAGCTACTTGGGAGGCCGAGGCACAAGAATCACTTGAACCTATGAGGCAGAGGTTGCAGTGAGCCAAGATTGCACCACTACACTCCAGCCTGGGCAACAAGAGTGAAACTCTGTCTCAAAATAAAAAAAAATAAAAAATAAAAGAATGAAACAGGAATTATCTATTTTTAAAAAATAAGGTAGATCTATATGTGCTGAGCTGGAAAAATGATTATAGGGTATTATTAAGTGAAAAAAGCAAACTGCTTTTTTTGTATGTTTGTATGTCGTGTTTCCATTTTAAAACTAAGTGTATGTTTAGACATACAGTGTGTACAGATATGCAAATATTTATATTATCAGGAAAAGCATGGACCAAACTGTCAACAGTAGTTACCTAGGAGTAGAAATTAGATGGGAGGGATTTCTTTTAAATACATTATTTTTTCTCTGTTTTCACTCCAGCCTGTGTCTCCCAAGCTGGAGTACAGTAGCACAATCACAGCTCAGTGCAGCCTCGATTTCCTGGGCTCAAGCGATCCTCCTGCCTCAGCCTCCCAAGTAGCTGGGATTACAGGTGCACACCACCATGCCCAGCTAATTTTTGTATCTTTTGTAGAGACGGGGTCTCACAATATTGCTCAGGCTGGTCTCAAACTCCTGGGCTCAGGTGATTCTCCCGCCTTGGCCTCCCAAAGTGCTGGAATTACAGGCGCGAGCCACCATGCCTTTCTTTTTGTTTTTAGACAGGGTCTCCCTCTGTCACCCAGGCTGGAGTGCAGTGGCCTGATTACAGCTCACTGCAGCCTCAAACTCCTGGGTTCAAGTGTTCCTCTCACCTCAGCCTCTAGAGTAGCTGGGACTACTGGTGTGCACCACCACACCCAGCTTAAATACATAATTTTTCTCATGTTGGATTATGGAAATGGCAAATCCGAATCCATTCATCCCACCTGTGCCCCCCACCCCCAGAAATCACATACTTACCTTTCTCTCTGGCGCAGACAGCATCAGCGACGGCTCACACTGTTCCATGGTTATAAAGCTCTGCCCAGTGCCACAGTCATTTCAGCTCCTAACATTTCCGATTGTCTCTGAAGGTCAGGGGCAAAGAATTGCAGCCACCTCTGCATCCAAGACCGACACCCCCCAAGAGGGGCTCCACCTGCAAATGGGGGGAGGCTAATGCCCCAGGGGGAAAACAAATGAGGACGTGAAGGAGCTGGCGGATAAATTGTTCACCTCCCTCCCCATACCCACCACACACTTCCCATTGCTACACTCTGCACTAACAGAACATTCTGAGATTCACTGCTTTCCTACATCCTCTCCAGAGACACCCCAGAAGACCAGCAACTGGCTGAGTGCTGGTGTGAAGTTGGGGCTGCCTCTGGGATGCTCTGTCATGAACTTACACTACCTCCTTTTTTTTTTTTTTTTTTTTGAGACGGAGTCTCTCTCTGTTGCCCAGGCTGGAGTGCAGTGATGTGATCTCAGCTCACTGCAACCTCTGACTCCCAGGTTCAAGGGATTCTCCTGCCTCAGCCTCCCAAGTAAGTGGGACTACAGGCGCCCACCACCACACCCGGCTAATTGTTTTTATTTTTAGTAGAGACAAGGTTTCACCATGTTGGTCAGGATGGTCTCGATCTCCTGACCTCGTGATCCATCTGCCTTAGCCTCCCAAAGTGCTGGGATTACAGGCATGAGCCACCGCGCCCGGCCTGCTCCCCCTCCTTTTGTGCCTCCTTCCCTTTCTCCCTCACCCTCACCTCCCTGGCATTCTCCTCTCCAATAAAGCATTAGCTCCTAATCTTCACCTCAGGCCCTGTTTTCTAGGGAACCAAAACAAAGCCATGGGTGATTTCTACTTTTTAAATATTTCTCTTTAAATGTTTTTTCTTGGCCAGGTGCAATGGCTCACACCCAGCACTTTTGGAGGCCGAGGCGGGCAGATCACTTGAGGTCAGGAGTTCGAGACCAGCCTGGCCAACATGGTGAAACCCCGTCTCTAAGAAAAATACAAAAATTAGCCAGGCGTGGTGGTGGGCAACTGTAATCCCAGCTACTTGGGAGGCTGAGGCAGAAGAAACGCTTGAACTCAGGAGGCAGAGGTTATAGTGAGCGGAGATCACGTGCCACTGTACTCCAGCCTAGGCAACAGAGCGAGACTCTGTCTCAAAAAATAAGTATATATTTATCTATTTATTTACTTACTTATTTTATATATATTTATATATATTTATATTTTTCTTTATATATTTTATATATATATTTATTTACTTATTTATTTATATATAAAAATATATATATATATTTATTTACTAACTTACTTACTTAGTCTCTCTCTGTCGCCCAGGCTGGAGTGCAGTGGCTCAAACTCGACTCACTGCATCCTCTGCCTCCAAGGTTCAAGCAATTGTCCTCCCTCAGCCTCCCAAGTAGCGGAAACTACAGGCGCCCACCACCATGTCTGGCTAATTTTTGTATCTTTAATAGAGACGGGGTTTCGCCATGCTGGCCAGGGTGGTCTTGAACTCCTGACCTCAAGTGATCTGCCCACCTCGGCCTCCCAAAATGCTGGGATTGCAGGCGTGAGCCACTGCACCTGGCCAATATTTGTTTAAATTAAGAACTCAACCATTGGCCTGGCGTGGTGGCTCACGCCTGTAATCCCAGCAGTTTGGCAGGTTGAGGCGGATAGCTCACTTGAACTCACAAGTTCGATACCGGCCTGGGCAAAATGGTGAAACCCCGTCTCTCCTAAAAATACAAAAATTATCTGGGTGTGGTAGCATGAGCCTGTAGTCCCAGCTACTCAGGAGGCTGAGGTGAGGAGGATGGATTGAGCCCAAGAAGTGGTTGCAGTGAGAAAAAATCAGACCGCTGCACCACTGCACTTCCGCCTGAGTGACAGAGCCAGACCCTGTCTTAAAAAAGAAAAGAAGAACTCAACCATTAAGGGATGAGATTCTTGAAGCACAGAAGCACAGGTTGCATTAACCAGGTTAATGCAACTGTTATGGAAAAATCTACACAAATGTAGCATTAGCATTTACTGGTAATCTCTCTTCAGAAAGAAGCAGACATTGAAATTCAGCAAGTGTGCCCAATGCAGGTAAAATCCAGTTGCTAAGTTTCTTGTTTCCCAAGATGGGTTTTGGGGAGTCTGATCATATCTCTCATACAGTGTCCTTGGGGATGGGGTCTGGCAACTAAGGAGAAGGCAGTGCAGAACAGACCGTGAGTGCTAAATGACATTTCTGGTGCTTAAAGATGCCGTGATGGCCGAGTGCGGTTGCTCACGCTTGTAATCCCAGCACTTTGGGAGGCTAAGGCAGAAGGATTGCTTGAGCCCTGGAGTTCCAGACCAGTCTGGGCAACATAGTGAGACCCTGTCCCTATGAAAAATTTTTAAAAATTAAAAAACAATGCAGCCAGGCATGGTGGCTCACGCCTGAATCCCAGCATCTTAGGAGGCCAAGGCGGGTGGATCACTTGAGGTTAGGAGTTCGAGACCAGCCTGGCCAACATGGTGAAACCCCATCTCTACTAAAAATACAAAAATTAGCTGGGCATGGTGGTGCGTGCCAGTAATCCCAGCTGCTCGGGAGGCTGAGGCAGGAGAAGCACTTGAACCCCAGAGGTGGAGGTTGCAGTGAGCTGAGATTGTGCCACTGCACTCCAGCCTAGGTGACAGAGTGAGACTCTGTCTGAAAAAAAACAAAAAACAAAAAAACACAATGCAATGAGGACATCAAAATTAGTCATGACCCCCCCAAGACTGTCAAAGTGAAGGAGGAAAAGGAGGAGGAGATGGAAGAGAATAAACGAAGAGCCGCAGCAGCAACTGTGGAAAGTCACGAAGAAGTGTGTGGGTGGGCAGCTATTTCAGATTGCCAGGCCTTGTAATCTAGCCCTGGGACAGGACAGGTAAGGCAGGTGGCCTGATGACTGCTCAGACTCCTGAGAAATGTTGGTGCTCATGAGAGTCCCCTGGCCAGGCGCGGTAGCTCCTGCCGGTAATCCCAGCACTTTGGGAAGCCGAAGCAGGAGGATCGCTTGACCCCAGGAGTTTGAGCCCAACCTGGGCAACAAAGCGAGACCCTGTCTCTACAAAAAATCTAAAAATTAGTTGGGTGTGGTGGCACGTGCCTGTAGTCCCAGCTACTCAGGAGGCTGAGGCAGGAGGATCGCTTGAACCCAGGACTTTGAAGCTGCAGAGTCATGATCACCACCACACCCCAGCCTGGGAGACAGAGTAAGACCCTGTCTCAAATAAATAAATAAATAAATAAATAAATAAATAAATTTTAAACAAAAAAGGAGGCTAGGCACAGTGGCTCACTCCTGTAATCCAAGCACTTTGGGAGGCTGAGGCGGGCAGACCACTTGAGGCCAGGAGTTCAAGATCAGCCTGGCCAACATGGTGAAACCCCATCTCCACTAAAAATACAAAAATTAGGCAGGCATGGTGGCACATGCCTGTAGTCCCAGCTACTTGGGAGGCTGAGGCAGGGAGAATCGGTTGAACCCGGGGGGTGGAGGCTGCAGTGAGCTAAGATCGTGCCACTGCACTCCAGCCAGGGCAGCAGAGCGAGACTCCATCTCAAAAAAATAAAAATAAAACAACAGGAAGAAAGAGTCCATTGGCCACAGCACAGGCAAGCTACACTCAAGTACCTGCCGTCGTCTTTCTATTCCTAATGTGGTTTCTCAGGCCCCTGTGGCCTGATTTTCCAGGAAGCAGTGACTTCTCCTTCCACAGAATCACTGCTTCTCTCTGCCACATGCCCTGCCCTAGTGCCTCACAGAGGGAGGAACCATCTGTCATCTGTCCACAGCTCTTCCTCCTGCCCCTAACCATGGTGGTCCCCTGCATCTAGCCCTGAGATCCCCAGTGCTGTCCCTTAGAGCTCATTTTTTTTCTCCAAATCTGTTGGAGAAATCAACAGATCTCTGTTGGTGGCATCAAATCTTCTCTCTCTTTTCTTTCTTAATCTTTCTTTCTCTTTTTTTTTTTTTTTTTTGTCTCACTCTGTTGCCCAGGCTGGAATGCAGTGGTGATCGTAGCTCACTCCTGGGCTCAAGCAATCCCCCAACCCCTCCTCAACCTCCTGAATAGCTGGGACTACAGGCGCTTGTCACCACATCCAGATAGGTCTTTCTTCTTTTATCCATGGTAAAAGTAAGTCTTGTGGTCATTCCAGACATGCTAATACTTTGTCACTCCTTCAAGTCCATAGTTTTTGTTTGTTTGTTTGTTTATTTATTTGTTTTGACGGAGTCTTGCTCTGTCGCCCAGGCTGGAGTGCAATGGTGCAATCTTGGCTTGTGCAACCTCTGCCTCCCCGGCTCAAGCAGTTCTCCTGCCTCAGCCTCCCGAGTAGCTGGGATTACAGGCATGTGCCACCACACCTGGCTAATTTTTGTATTTTTAATAGAGGCGGGGTTTCACTGTGTTGGTCAGGCTGGTCTCAAACTGCTGACCTCAGGCGATCCACCCACCTCAGCCACCCGAAGTGCTGGGATTACAGGTGTGAGCCACAACGCCTGGCCCCCAGCAGACTATTTTAAAGTAATTCCCAGACATTATATTATTATATTTAGAAATATTTTAGTAAGCCCACAGTCTTTACATAGTTGTTGCAGGTTATTTAGAGGGGAGGTTGAGTACTAGTGTTACCAGCAGGTGTTTGTTCTTAGAGCTCCCAAGATGGCGACGGGCCACTCCCAAGATGGCGGCAAGCCTTTTGTTCTCTGACCTGGGGTTCTCAGCCTCACGGATTCCAAGGAATGGAACCTTGGGCCATGCGGTGAGTGTTATAGCTCTATTAGAAGCCATGGGTCACGGAAGAGAACCGTGGACCCCCGCGACTAGTGTTCAGCTCGATTAGGACGAACCCGGGCACTTAGCCACGCAGGAACAATGGCGAGCCTCTAGCCCCATCCAGAGCAGCAGTGGGTGCCTCGCTGGATCAGAAGCACAGCAGACACCCTGCCGGATCCGGACGGCTAGAAGTCAGCGGCGGGTCTGCAACGGCGGCAATCAGCAGTGGTGGACTGTGAGCGAAAGCTCAGCTTGAGCCGGAAGAAACACGGACCAGAAGAGTGCGCAGTTGCAAGATTTAATAGAGTGGATTCCTCAGGGATCTAGAACTAGAAATACCATTTGACCCAGCCATCCCATTACTGGGTATATACCCAGAGGACTATAAATCATGCTGCTATAAAGACACATGCACACGTATGTTTACTGTGGCACTATTCACAATAGGAAAGACTTGGAACCAACCCAAATGTCCAACAATGATAGACTGGATTAAGAAAATGTGGCACATATACACCATGGAATACTATGCAGCCATAAAAAATGATGAGTTCATGTCCTTTGTAGGGACATGGATGAAATTGGAAATCATCATTCTCAGTAAACTATCGCAAGGACAAAAAACCAAACACCGCATGTTCTCACTCATAGATGGGAATTGAACAATGAGAACACATGGACACAGGAAGGGGAACATCACACTCTGGGGACTGTTGTGGGGTTGGGGGAGGGGGGAGGGATAGCATTAGGAGATATACCTAATGCTAAATGACGAGTTAATGGGTGCAGCACACCAGCATGGCACATGTATACATATGTAACTAACCTGCACATTGTGCACATGTACCCTAAAACTTTAAGTATAATAATAATAATAAATTTAAAAAAAGATTTAATAGAGTGAAAACAGAGCTCCCATACAATGGGAGGGGACCCAAAGGGGGTTGCCACTGCTGGCTCAAATGCCTGGCTTATATCCCGGTCATTGTCCCTCCCCCTATGCTCTCAGGTGATAGATGATTGACTATTTCTTTACCTCCTGCCTTTAGCCTAATTGGTATTTTAGTGAGCTCTCTTTACTACCTGATTGGTCGGGTGTGAGCTGAGTTACAAGCCCCGTGTTTAAAGGTGGGTGCAGTCACCATCCCCAGCTAGGCTTAAGAATTCTAAGTCGGCCTAGGAAATCCAGCTAGTCCTATCTCTCAGTCCCCCCTCTCAACAGGAAAACCCAAGTGCTGTTGGGGAGGTTGGCCGATGACCACTCTAACTGCTTCATGCTGAATTGGGGTGTAGCAGGGGTCGTGCAGTTGATATTTCCTTGGGATGGTTGCCTTTGATGTCATCAACATCAGAGCATAGGCTAGGAGGCCGGTCCAGGGGTCTGTGGTAGATCTTAGTCACGGATTGCATCTGGGGCTCCATTTGAAGAACCATTTGTAGTTTTACAGCTTCGATTCTGGAAGAGACAAACTTAACAAGGAGGTTAAAGATACAGGGATTGAAATATATGGCCTGAGTGCAGGGGGAGGCACATCCAACAGTTAGTAGGGTTTTGGGCCAAGGCTTCATGGAGCCCAATGAGGGTGGTATTAAATAGGCTTACCAGGTGAGTATGGGTATGGAGGGTTTCATGTAGCTTTGAGAGGTCTAGTCCTTTGTAGGGGATAGGGGTGCTATCTATGTACCTGCGTCAGCTGGGAGATTACTTCCTTTACGTGTTTTTCTCTTGCCTGATCTTGAACTCCACTCCCATCAGACATACCAGTATGGGTGAAGTAAGTCCAACAGACAGTGGCTCCAAACCCTCCAGGACAACTAGGATTAATTATTTTCCCTCTCCAATAATGAGTATTTGCATGCATGCAAAGAGTAGCAGAGTTATAGCAGTTGTGGGGCATACGGGTGTGGGCGGTGAAAGTGGGGTTTCCTTTAGAAAAAATCCTATACGATGGGGCGTCAATATTTCTGGGAAGCTACATTGTTCATAGAAGCTCTTGGTAAGGGGAGCTTCTGACAGTACAGTGGCATGGATAAGGTGCAGTGAGAGTGAAAGGGGGTAAGAGAACAGTAAAGAGAAAAATATGAGAAGGGAGGGCCATGGGGATCTACGATTCTAGTTACTTTCCTCACGGTTGTCTCTTGAAGAGCAGGCGCAGATCCTCTAGAGGTTCACAGGAATAGCTAGCAATGTCTCCTGGATTTTCGGGTTCCTCTGGCACTATCCAGGGTTTGACTCGAGTGTGATGTATCCAAGATTCCAATCCAGCCACTTTAACCACGGTTGGGGTAGATAAAATGACTGGGTAGCGTCCTTTCCAGGATGTATCTAGGGATGGGGAATTAGAGGGAAGGGACTTGACCAATACCATGTCACCAGGGTGGAATAATTCCTTTCCCTCCTCTCCGGGACAGGTTCCCTGTAATGTGTGGTTTTTTTGGTTTGTTTGTTTGTTTTTGAGATGATGTCTCGCTCTTGTCCCCCAGTCTGGCATGCAGTGGCACGATCTCGGCTCACGGCAACCTCCACCTCCCGGGTTCAAGTGATTCTCCTGCCTCAGCCTCCCGAATACCTAGGATTACAGGTGCGTACCACCACACCCAGCTAATTTTTTGTATTTTAAGTAGAGATGAGGTTTCACCATGTTGGCCAGGCTGGTCTCGAACTCCTGATCTCAGGTGATCCACCCGTCTCGGCCTCCCAAAGTGCTGGGATTACAGGCATGAGCCACTGCGCCCGGCTGGTTCCCTGCAGTGTTTTAAGAACTTGTTGATATTTGGCTAAGGAGGTGATGTCTGCAACTAAGTCGGCCATCTCTTGGTCAAGCACAGGGTCATTGGTTAGGAAGGGCTGTCCATACAGCAGTTTGTATGGGCTAAGTCCCACTTTTTGGGGAGAGTTTTGGATTCTTAATATGGCTATAGGCAACAGAGCAGGCCATGCAAGGCGGGTTTCTTGGGTTAGCTTTTTTAGATGTTGTTTGAGTGTTCCATTCATTTTCTCGACTTTTCCTGAGGATTGTGGCCTCCAGGCATGGTGTAAGTGATATTGTATGCCTAACTCCTCGGATACTCCCTGGGTTCCTACAGCCTTGAAAGCGTGGCCGCTGTCACTCTGTAAGCCTTGGGGAAGTCCAACTCTGGGAATTATTTAATGAATTAGTGCCTTTATTATCTCTTGGGCCTTTTCTGTCCTACAAGGGAAGGCCTCTGCCCAACCAGTGAAAGTATCCACCCAAACTAGTAGATACTGAAATCCCTGAGATTTGGGCATGTGGGTAAAATCTAGTTGCCAGTATTTTCCTGGGTAATGGCCTGTTCTTTGTTCTGAAGGAGCCTGGCAATAAGGTAGGGGATTATTTCTTTGGCACACTTCACCGGCCCTGACTATCTGCTTGGTAGTTTTGAAAAGGCCTGGTCCAGTAAATAATGATTCGGCCATCTGATGGGTGTTATCAATGCCTAAGTGAAAGGTTGGGTGAAGGGTTTTAAGTAATTTCTATTGGTTAGCTGCAGGCAAAAGTATTTTTCCTTCTTCAGTGGCTAGCTATCCTGAGGGGAGGAAGCTATGTCCTCATGCGGTTCCCCATTCTATTTCTCCTGCTGAGTACTGGGGCTTGGTTTCCTGGAGGGGATTACCCCATACTAGGGGCCCTTCTATAAGCATTTCTAATGGAGGGTCCCACCTTGCGGCTCTTTTGACTTCAGTATCCGCTTGGTGGTTCTCTTCTATTTCCCTTTCCTTTCCTTTCTGATGACCCTGGCAGTGTAAGACTGCCACCTCTTTAGGTTTCTGTACCGCCAATAATAATCTCCTAATGTCTTCCTGATGTTTGATAGGTCTTCCCTTGGAAGTTAGGAATTCCCTTTCTCTCCATATTGCTGCGTGGGCATGGAGGACTAGGTAAGCATACCTATAGGCTGTATATATATTTACTCTTTTTCCTTCTCCTGTGTTCTAGTGCCCAAGTGAGGGCTATTAGTTCTGCCAGCTGAGCGCTAGTTTCTGGAGTGAGGGGATTACTTTGAAGTATTCCATTGTCACTCACCACTGCATACCTCGCCTTTCGAAGTCATTTTTCTACAAAGGAACTTCCATCAGTATACAAGTTGATGTGGGGACGTGGGGATCAGTCAAGGGAACCTCTAGAAGGTCCCCTTGAGTGGCATAGGTTTGAGCAATCACTTGTTGACAGTTATGCTCTATCTTTTTTTCATTGTCTGGAAGAAATGTGGCTAAGAGTTGCACAAGTGTGCAGTTGCAGCACTGGCCCTTCAAGTAATAGACTGGCCTGATATTTAAGCAAATGGTTGTCTGACAACCCGAAGTCCCCTTTAGCAGTGAGTATGCCATTCACATGATGAGATGTCCACACAGTAAGATCTCTTCCCTGTATCATTTTAACTGCTTCAGATACTAAGACTGCTACTGCTGCCACTACCCATAAACAATGAGGCCAGCCCTTTGCCACTACATCAATTTCCTTACTCATGTATGCCACGGGTTGCAAGCTGGTCCCTCGGACTTGTGTAAGGACTCCTAGAGCTATTCCTGTTTTTTCTGTGACATATAAAGAAAAGTCTTGCCCCGTTGACAAGCTTAACACTGGGGCTTGGGTTAGGGCCTTCTTTAGGGCCTGGGAAGCTGCTTCTGCTTCAGGTATCCATTCTACTAAATGAGTGTTGGCTTTCTGAGTTTCCTTAATTAGTGTGTATAATGGCCTGGCTATTTTGACATACCTGGGATTCCATATTCGGCAGAAGCCTGTTATGCCAAGGAACCCTCCTAATTGCTTCAGGGTTTTGGGATGAGGATAAGCCAGTATAGGCTGGATGCATTCCTCACTGAGGGCCCTGGTGCCTTTGGATAATTTGAGCCCTAAGTATTTAACCTGCTGTGAGCAGAGCTGAGCCTTTGGTTTGGAAACCTAGTAGCCACAGGTGGCGAGGAAGTTTAAGAGCGCTTGGGTGGCTTGATGGCACAAGGTTTCTGAACGGGCAGCTAAAAGTAAATCATCCACATACCAAAGGACAAGAGTGTCCAAGTATAAGAACTGGCTAAAGTCTTGGGCTAATGCCTGGCCAAATAGATGGGGGCTATCCCTGACCGCTTGGGGTAAAACAGTCCAGGTGGGTTGAGATGTTGGGTTCCAAGGATCTTCAAAGGCAAACAAGAATTGAGAGTCAGGATGTATAGGGATGCAGAAAAAGGCATCTTTAAGGTCCAGGACTGTAAGCCACTCTGCTTCCTCTGGTATTTGGGAAAGCAGAATATAAGGGTTAGGTACAGCTGGGTATATAGGGACAATGGCCTCATTGATAATCCTGAGATCTTGCACTAACCTCCACTGTCCATTGGGTTTCTGTACTCCTAAAATTGGAGTATTGCAGGGGCTATTGCATGCTTTTACTAGGCCTTGGGCTTTTGGGTCCTTAACAATCTTTTGGAGTCCTTGTTGGGCCTCGGGTCTAAGTGGGTACTGCCTTTGGTAGGGAAAGGAGGCGGAATCCTTTAGTTTAACTTGAACAGGACAGGCATTCTTCCCTCGTCCAATTGTCCTTCTGTTGCCCAGGCTTCAGGATTAATTCCTTCCTCAAGTAGGGGACAAAAAATGGGTGTTCCTTCTCCTATGTTCAGGTGTATAATGGCCCCTGCTTTTGCTAGAATGTCTCTCCCTAACAAAGGAGTGGGGCTTTCAGGCATAATTAGAAAGGCATGTGAAAAAAGTTCCCCAGTCACAGCTTAGTGACTGGGAAAAGTATCTAGTGACTGCCTGTCCTAGGACCCCTCGGATAGTGACAGATCTGGAGGACAGTTGTCTGGGACAGGAGAGTAAGACTGAGAAGCCTGCACTGTCCAGAAGACAGTTAGCCTCCTGGCCCTCAATGGTCAAGCATACCTGGGGCTCTGTGAGGGTGATGGCATGGGATGGCGCTTGCCCCAGGCACCCTCAGTCCTGCTGCTGGATCATCTGGTTAGTGGCTTCTGACTCAGAGGACCTTCGTACCCTGGGGCAGTGGGCCTTCCAGTGATTCCCGTGACATAAGGGGCATGTACGAGGGGGCGGCTTATTTCTATTCAGACAATCTTTTTTTTTTTTTTTTTAGAGGGAGTCTTGCTCTGTCACCCAGGCTGGAGTGCAGTGGCCCAATCTTGGCTCACTGTAACCTCCGCCTCCCGGTTTCACGCCATTCTCCTGCCTCAGCCTCCCGAGGAGCTGGGACTACAGGCGCCCGCCACCACACCCAGCTAATTTTTTGTATTTTTAGTAGAGATGGGGTTTCACTGTTTTAGCCAGGATGGTCTTGATCGCCTGACTTTGTGATCCACCTGCCTCAGCCTCCCAAAGTGCTGGGATTACAGGCGTGAGCCACCGCGCCCGGCCAGACAATCTTTTTTAAAGCGTCCTTGTAGACTGCACTGGAAACAAACCCTATTAGGCATTCTATTTGCTGAGGCTTTCCTTTCTCTAGAGCCTCCGAAGTCCGCTTGCCTTAGGGCCATGACTAAAGCGGTGGCTTTTCTTTTTAACCCGTTTGTCCCATTCCACCTGCTCCTCCTGATCTCTATTATTAAAAACCGAGGTTGCCAAGTTCAATAGGGTTTCTAAGTTTTGTTCCAAGCCTAAGGCAGACTTTTGAAGTTTCTTTCTAATGTCTGCAGCTGACTGAGTGATAAACTTATCCTTTAAGATTAGTTGGCCTTCAATAGAGTCAGGTGACAGAGAGGTATGCTTCCTCAATGCCTCCCTTAGTCTCTCCAGGAAGGCAATAGGATTTTCTTCCTTTCCCTGTGTTATAGTGCACATAATTGAATAATTCATAGGCTTCTTCCTAGTTTTCCTTAGTCCTTCTAGCATGCAAGTTAGCAAATGTCTGCGGCACCAATCTCCATGTTCTGATTCTGTGTCCCAGTGAGGGTCTACACTGGGAACTGCCTGCTGGCCTGTGGGGAATCATTCTCTTTCCTCTGTTATCATCCTATCATTGAACTGACTGAGATACCAGAGATCACCAAACTCTCAGGCTGCAGTTATGGCAGCACTTCTCTCATTTGGGGTTACAGTTTGATCTAGCAGTAACATTATATCTCTCCATGTCAGATCAAAGGATTGTCCTAACCCTTATAAAACATCAATATAGCCATCAGGGTTATCTGAGAATTTATCTAGGTCTATTTTAGTTTGTTTCAAGTCTGAGAGGGAAAAACGGTACATGCACTCTGACTGGGCTGAATTCTCCTCCTCCCACCGCTTGGAGGGGGCATAATCGGGGAATATTGGCACTCTGGGTCATTGTTTACCCCTTTGTCTATCTCCTTTTGGACGGTTTGGGTTGAAGGGGGGTCCTTATTAGTTGGGGAAGGAGCCGGGGGAACATTTCCCATCTGAAAAAAGAACATAGGAATGCCAGCACCCCTAGTCATTTTCCGATGAGCATTAGTCCTAGAGTGTCCTCTATGGTCCTAACGCTTATTCCTTTCCAGGGTGTGTGACCAGCCATGGACCTCTGCTTATCGGATTAGTTATGCTCACCGATGTAGCAGTCCTGCACCTGTTTTCCTGCCTTTCTTGACCACAAAGAAAGGGGTCCAGGCTGCTGGATTCTAGTGGTCCTTTACCAGTGTGCCCAACATCACCTTTGTGCTCAGGGGTGAGTTCTAGAGCTGGGCTGGTTTCCTGAGTATTTCATAACAACCCAGTTGCCCCATCTGCAACCCAGTTGCAACCCAGTTGGTCCCATAAGCAACAGTTCCTATGCAAATTCATTTCAGAGAGGGTGTAAGTAACTTTTTGAGTCAGGATTGAGATAGAATTTTTCCCCACTAGGGCCTTTATCCTTCTTTTCCTTTGCAGGAATATGCCCTAATTATCTATCTTAAACCTCTTGTTGCCCCAGATTAAGTCCTTTTGGGTAAGAAATAGGAGAGATGGATCCTGTTTATCTTGTGTGCCTTTTTCCTACGAGAAGGAGAGCAATGAGAAAAGGATGGGCTTGCTGGGTTTTTTTTGTTTTTTTTTTTTTTTTGAGATGGAGTCTTGCTCCATCACCCAGGCTGGAGTGCAGTGGCGTGATCTTGGCTCACTGCAACCTCTGCCTCCCAGGTTCAAGTGATTCTTCTGCCTCAGCCTCCTGAGTAGCTGGGATTACAGGCGCCCACCACCACACCCGGCTAATTTTTGTATTTTTAGTAGAGGCGGGGTTTCACCATGTTGGCCAGGCTGGTCTCGAACTCCTGATCTCAGGTGATCCACCCGTCTCGGCCTCCCAAAGTGCTGGGATTACAGGTGTGAGCCACCATGCCCGGCGTGGGCTTGCTGGTTTTTATGTGCTAAAGTCCAGTTAATAAACTTCTGGGCACTATGTTGTCCTTCCAGTAGTATTGACTTACATAGAATCACTAGGCAAAGCTGTGAAAGAGATAATTCCTCTCTTGGTAGATGGATTTTGGGAACACAGTGGAAGGACGTTCGCTCGTTGCCCCCATTTGCCGTTATAGGAATATGTGCCTCCCTTTAATTTACTCAATTCGTTTTCATCCTGATCTATTATGTTGTCATAGACCCAGTTCCAATTATTAAAGTACTGGGTCATCAGTTCTAAGGCCCTGGCCAAGGAGCCAAGGCTTGGAGATTGTATTACAGGGTGGGTAAACTGGGTAGAAATTGGGGGAGAAGAACATCTTACACAGTGGAAGATCAATCCTCCTAGCCATTTACAAACTTGGTCCACAGCTCATAATAGAACTTGGGGCCCTGGCTAGTGTGGTGGGGAATGGATCCCACATAACTGCCCATGTCGAGAGCTGTATACCTAAATTGGGAGAGACACCAGGGACAAGATTCCCTGCATTCATAGCCTAGGTGCCTAAGGATGCAGTGTAGAGCTTCCTTAGATCCCTTTGGAGATACAACTTGCTCTAATACTTGGGAAAGGAAGTGAAAGCCTGAAGCATTAGTACCTAGGAGACAGGGATAGGAGGAAGTAGATACAGAGGTAAGGAGAATTTTGGGGCTACACTTTCAAGAAAGTCATGGTCAGGACCCAGGAGGTATGGGTCAGAAGGAGAGGTAGGGGCACACGCATGGACGACTGTTGAGTAGAGACTTCTGGCTGCACCATGATCTCAACTGGCCAATGCCAGGAGTTCAGGACGACAGCTTTCTGCCTCTAGTTGGCCCTCGGCTTCCCCCAGGAATATTGTGAAAACAGAAGCTGGTTCCAGGCAGACCAATGCTCCCAACACAGAAGGGTTGGGGGTTGTTAGAAAGCCTTTTTCCAGAAAGCCTCACTCCGGCGGCCACGCTAATCATTTTTAACCAGCCGATAGGTGCCCTATATTTTCCTCCAATTCCAAGGAAGGATAGGACAGAATAGCAAGCAAAAATGGCCCAGTATTACTCACCACTTTGGAGAATCCCCATATGGGCCACCAAATGTTACAAGCGGGTCTTTGTTCTTAGAGCTCCCAAGATGGTGGTGGGCCGCTCCCAAGATGGCAGCAAGCCTTCTATTCTCTGACCTGGGGTTCTTGGCCTCATGGATTCCAAAGAATGGAACCTTGGGCCATGTGGTTAGTGTTATAGCTCTATTAGAAGCCATGGGTTATGGAAGAGAACCGTGGAACCCAGCGACTAGTGTTCAGCTCGATTAGGATGAACCCGGGCACTTAGCCATGCAGGAACAATGGCGAGCCTCTAGCCCAGTCAGGAGTGGCAATGGGTGTCTCACTGGATCAGAAGAGCAGCAGACACCCTGCCAGATCCGGAGGGGTGGAAGTCAGTGACGGGTCTGCGACGGTGGTGATCAGCAGTGGTGGATGGCAAGCAAAAGCTCAGCTCAAGCCGGAAAAAACACGGACCAGAAGAGTGTGCAGTTGCAAGATTTAATAGAGTGAAAACAGAGCTCTCATACAATGGGAGGGGACCAAAAGGGGGTTGCTACTGTTGGCTCCAATGCCTGGGTTTATATCCTGATCATTGTCCCTCCCGCTGTGCTCTCAGGCGATAGATGATTGACTATTTCTTTACCTCCTGCTTTTAGCCTAATTGGTATTTTAGTGAGCTCCCTTTACTACTTGATTGGTCGGGTGTGAGCTGAGTTACAAGCCCCATGTTTAAAGATGGGTGCAGTCACCTTCCCCAGCTAGGCTCAGGAATTCTTAGTTGGCCTAGGAAATCCAGCTAGTCCTGTCTCTCGCTAGTACTCTGTGTGGAATGAATGAATAAAGTTGTTCTCCTATGGAGCAACCTTGAATCTCCTTTCTATTGTCCCTAGCAATTCTGCTCTGGCCTGCACTTGCATGCTCTCCTCAACAAGTCACATGTTGTTTCCTGCTCAGCATCTGAATGCCCTTCCTAATTGTGAGCCGTGTCTGTCTTGGTGAAAACAGGGCTCTGTTCCTTCTACAGATGATGAGAAGGTTAAATCCTTGCTTTCCCTTATCCTCATGCCCGGGGCACAGCTTGTGACCCAAGCTCAGCCATTCAGATGCTTTCACCAAAATTTTGATTTTGGAACAGACAAATCATGGTTCAGCTGGGCATGGTGATACATGCCTGTAGTTCCAGCTACTCAGGAGGCTGAGGCAGGAGGATCATTTGAGCCCAGGTTGAGGCTGCAGAGAGCTATGATCACACCACTGCACTCCAGCCTAGGTAACAGCAAGACTCTGTTTAAAAAAAGAAAAAAATCTGGGCATGATGGCTCACACCTGTAATCCCAGCACTTTGGGAGGCTGAGGCAGGTGGATTGTTTGAACTCTGGAGCTTGAGACCAGCCTGGGTAACATGGCAAACCCCATTTCTACCAAAAATACTAAAAAAAAGTAGCTAGGTAAGGTGGCGCTTGCCTGTGGTCCCAGCTACTCAGGAGGCTGAGGTTGGAGGATCACTTGAGCTGGGGAGGCAGAGGTTGCAGTGAGCTGAGATTGCGCCACTGCACTCCAGCCTGGGCAATAGAGTGAGACCCTGTCTCAAAAAAAAAAAAAAAAAAAGACAAGGAGAAAAGATAAATCATGAATCACAGACGATGGCTGGTGCTTAGAGAGTGAGGAGATAGGTATGATATGAAGATGGTGAAGTAGACACAGAAAGTCCATGTTGGCCATGGTAAGGACCAGGGGTTTCATTGTAAATTGGCATGGACACCTGATGTGATGACATTTACGTTTTTCAAAATCAAGATTACTAGTTCTGTGTAGAAAAGAGACGATGAGGGGCCAGGCGTGGTGTCTCACACCTGTAATCCCAGCACTTTGGAAGACTGAGGCTGGCGGATCGCTTTAGCTCAGGAGTTTAAGGCCAGCCTGAGCAACATAATGAGACCATGTCTCTACAAAAAATACAAAAATTAGCTGGGTGTGGTGACATACACCTGTAATTCCAACTACTGGGGAGGCTGAGGCAGGAGAATCACTTGAACCTGGGAGGCGGAGTTTACAGTGAGCTGAGATCACACCACTGCACTCCAGCCTGGGTGACAGAGTGAGATCCTGTCTCAGAAAAAAAAAAAAAAGAAAAGAAAAAAGAAAAAGAAAAAAGAAAACAGATGATGAAGACAAAGAGATGAAGCAGATAATCAGTCAGAAGCCTACTGTAGCCTTTCAGTAGGTGAAATAATAGTAAACTGGGCCAGGGTAGTAGCAAAGAGGTGGAGAAAAGTGGATGGATTTGAGAGAAATTTTGGAGGTAAACTTGATAAGACTTGGTTTCCCTAATGTTCTAATTTCTCTAGCAGTCCTTCATACCACAATTGGACATCCGTGTTGGTTCCACGATGTTCTGAATGAAATGCTTCAGTGGTAGCAATAACAGCAAATGTAATAGTAATGACAATATTGATCATCATGGCAATCACTAACATTAACATAGCCCTTACTGTGTGCTAGCCTGTGTTCTAAGGACTTTACACGTCTTAATTCATTTAATTTTCACAAAAATCCTGGAGGGAGGTACCATTGAGATTACTCCCATTTTACAAATGAAAAAACAGAAACAAAGAAAAATTCAGTGACTTGCCTGAAGTCACACAACATTCCTACTATAGCAAATGTGAACTTGTCCCCACAATTTCTGATTCTGTCTTCAAATTCCTTTCCCTTGGTTCCCCAGCCTGCCCCATCCAATCCAGCCCCAGCCTGCTGACTCACACACACACAGAGCCTATTCTGCCCCTGGGCCTCACCCACAGACTTAGCAGCCTCTTTTCTCCCCTCTGCACCTCCAATCCCTCTCCTCCAGGAAGCCATTCCTGATTATGCCACATAGTTTGGCTTAAAGTTGGATACAAATAAAATAAAAATAAAAAACCAATAAAGTTGGATACAGTATTCACATGTATGACTATTGTTTATGTGTTACCTTTGGGGAGAATAAAAAGATGGGTTTTGCCTGGCAACAACTTATGTTCACTGTATATCATTGTATATCCTTCTATGATATTTGCTTTTTTAAGCAGGGACAGTAAGTCATCATTAACATCATCGATAGGTTTTTGGAAACTGCAATTTTAAGTAAAACGATGTGTAACAAAACAAATTTTACCATAGGCTAATTGATATAAACAAGGGTTGAGTTCCTAGGCATATTTCTGGTCACAAAATCATCACTTAACTTCTAAATCAAGAAACAAAACACTTACAATATTAAACATTGAAATAGATTAGGTGTGATGGCTGATGCCTGTAATCCCAACACTTTGGGAGGCCAAGGCAGGAGGATAACTTGAGGCCAGTTTAAGACCAGCCTGGGCAACATAGGAAGATCCTGCCTCTACAGAAAATAAAAAAATTAGCCAGGTATGGTGGCACGTGCCTGTGGTCCCAGCTACTTGGGAGGCTGAAATGGGAGGACTGCTTGAGCCCAGGAGTTGGAGGCTGCTGTGAGCTATAGTCATATCACTGCACTGCAGCCTGGGTGACAGAGAAAGACCCTGTCTCAAAAACAAATAAACAAACAAACAAGACAAACAAAAAAACAGAGTACCCAGAGAAAACCCACAGAGACAAGGGGAGAACGTGCAAACTCCACACAGACAATGGCCCCAGCTGGGGATCGATTTTTTTTCTCACCAATGTTATAAGAAAACAATGTTGAATGAAACAACGCCATTTGAGGACTTAGTGTATATGTTTTACCTTAAAACTTTTTTTTTTTTTTTCCCCGAGACAGAATTTCCCTTTGTTGCCCAGGCTGGAGTGCAGTGGCGCCGTCTCGGCTCACTGCAACCTCCACCTTCCCAGTTTAACAGATTCTCCTGCCTCAGCCTCCCAAGTAGCTGGGATTACAGGCGCCCACCATCACACCCGGCTAATTTTTGTAGTTTTTAGTAGAGACGGGGTTTCACCATGTTGGCCAGGCTCGTCTCCAACTCCTGACCTCAGGTGATCCACCCACCTCGGCCTCCTAAAGTGCTGTGATTACAGGCGTGAGCCACCGCGCCCGGCCAAAACATTTTTTTAAGATAGTTTTGAAGTCAGAGAGTCTTCCAGGATTTCATGAGGATTAAATAAATTTAAATGGACAAATGCTTAGAATGGAGCCTGGTACATATAAGAGCTATCCAAGCAGGGATTTGGAAATTAGCCAGGTGGGATGGCTCACGCCTATAAACCCAGCACTTTGGGAGGCCAAGGTAAGAGGATCCCTTGAGCCCAGGAGTTCGAGATGAGCCTTGACAACATAGCAAGACCCCCATCTCTACAAAAATATTTAAAAATAAATAAATCAAAAGGAAACCAGGTTGTGCTAATGTAGTAGCTAAAAGATGTTCATCGACTTGGGCAAGTTACTTAACTTCTCCGGGCCTCTGCAGCTTCCTTTTCTGTAAGTGGGATAATAAAACCTAAAGCATCGGATTTATTTATAAAGTACCTAAGACAGTCCTTGAAATAAACCTGAAATAAACATTCAATAAATAGTTACAATTATTATCCCTATACTATAAACTCTTCAAAAAGAATTTTGGGGTCGGGCGCAGTGGCTCACATCTGTAACCTCAGCACTTTAGGAGGCCGAGGCAGGCGTATCACTTGAGGTCAAGAGTTTGAGACCAGCCAGGCCAACATGTCTCCACTAAAAATACAAAAACTAGTTGGGTGTGGTGGCATGAGCCTGTAGTCCCAGCTACTTGGGAGGCTGAGACAGAAGAATTGCTGGAACCCGGGAGGCGGAGATTGCAGTGAGCCGAGATCACGCCACTGCACTCCAGCCTGGGAAACCCAGCAAGACTCCCTTTCCAAAAAAAAAAAAAAAAGAAAGAGAAATGAATTGTAGGCCGGGCGCAGTGCTTCATGCCTGTTATCCCAGCACTTTGGGAGGCCAAAGTGGAAGGATCGCTTGAGGCCAGGAGTTCAAGACCACCCTGGGAAACACAGGGAGATCCTATCTCTACAAAAAGAATTTTTAATTAAACAAAAAAATTAGCCTAATGTAGTGGCATACACTAGTAGTCCTAGCTACTCCTGAGGCGGAGGCAGGAGGATCACTTCAGCCCAGGAGTTCGAGGCTGCAGTTAGCCATGATCACACCACTGCACTCCCCACCAAAAAAGGAATTGTGTTCTTGCATTAGTCAGTGTCCAGGCAGGAATAAGAAAGCATATTCAAAATGAGATTATTTGCAAAGAATTTAATAAGGAGACTGTTTTAGTAGTGTGCTGGTAAACTAGTAAAGTGGAGTGCGGGGGCTGTGATTTGTAGCACTTGCCAGTTGCCATGGTTTACCAACCTCCAGCACTTTCCAACTCTTTCACTGCAGAGTTGGGTAGGGTTGCAAACAAGAGGCTCTCACAACTTGGTACAAGCCAGCTCCAGCACACCACTGGGACTCTGTACAGAGGTGTGAGAGAGTGTAGGGGAGCCAAAAGGGGTGGTGCAATACCTTGGAGGTAGCAACAGCTGGGAGCTGTTACTTGGTGGCTCAGGCCTGTAATCCCAGGACCAGGGACTGAAGAGACAGAACCTGAGACAGAGAGAAGGGTGGAGATCCTCATTGGATTGGAGGATGAAGGCAGCCAGCCCGCAGTGACCCCGCAGCAGCAATCTGGGGAATTAAGATTCCCATCGCACTCTCCTCCCACTCCCCAGTCTCCTAATGAGACTCTCCAGTGGACAACGCCAGCTGAAGCTGGCCAGGAAAGGAGGCTGCTGACCTGAGCACATAAGACAGCTTCCTGGGCCACAGATCAGGGAGTAGAGGAGGGAGAGTGGAGGGGCAGACGGAAGATGTCCAGCATTGTTTTATAGTGCTTTGGCCTACACATATAAAAATATTGTATTTGTCGGCTGGGCGTGGTGGCTCACGCCTGTAATCCCAGCACTTTGGGAGGCCGAGACCGGCAGATCACAAGGTCAGGAGATCAAGACCATCCTGACTAACACGGTGAAACCCCGTCTCTACTAAAAATACAAAAAAAAATTAGCTGGGCGTGGTGGCAGGCGCCTGTAGTCCCAGCTGCTCAGGAGGCTGAGGCAGGAGAATGGCATGAACCCAGGAGGAGGAGCTTACAGTGAGCTGAGCTTGCGCCACTGCACTCCAGCCTGGGCGACAGAGCGAGACTCCGTCTCAAAAAAAAAAAAAAAAATTGTATTTGTCAGCCAGGTATGGTGGCTCGTGCTTGTACTTTAGGAGGCCAAGGCAGGAGGATTGCTTGAGGCCAGGATTTCTAGATTTGCCTGGGCAACATAGTGAGACCCTGTCTCTACAAAAAAGAAAAAATTAGCCAGGCAAGGTGGCTCACACCTGTAATCCCAGCACTTTGGGAGGCTGGGGGTGGGTTGGGTGGTGCATCGCTTGAGATCAGGAGTTTGAGACCAACCTGGCCAATATGGTAAAACCCCATCTCTACTGAAAATATGAAAATTAGCCAGTTGTGGTGGCGCATGCCTGTGGTCCCAGCTACTTGGGAGGCTGAGGCAGGAGAATCACTTGAACCCTGGAAGAGGAGGTTACAGTGAGCCGAGATCATGCCATTGCACTCCAGCCTGGGCATCGCAGCAAGACTCCGTCTTGAAAAAACCACAAAAAACAAATAAAATATCCACAGTTGAAAAGATACTGTGTCTGGTACTATTGCAGCTGAAGAATGCTGGCTGGTACCCCTGGTTTTCGTGATAAGCTCATTTCTTTTTTTGTTGTTGTTGTTTTTTGTTTGAGACAGAGTTTCGCTCTGGTGCCCAGGCTGGAGTGCAGTGGCGAGATCTCAGCTCACTGCAACCCCCGCCTCCCAGGTTCAAGCGATTCTCCTGCCTCAGCCTCCCGAGTAGCTGGGATTACAGGTTCGTGCCACCACACCCGGCTTATTTTGTATTTTTAGTAGAGACGGGGTTTCTCCATTTTGGTCAGGCTGGTCTCAAACTCCCGACCTGAGGTGATCTGCCCTCCTCGGCCTCCCAAAGTGCTGGGATTACAGGCCACTGCACCGGGGCTGATATACTCATTTCTTAATTTTCCTCCTCTTTCTTAACCCACTCTTGCTCTGTCAGAAATTAGGTTTTATTTGTTGTTGTTGTTATACCTGTTCACTGTCTATTTCCCAGGAAAGCAGTAATCCTATCTCTCTGGCTTATTGCCAGATTCCACAGATGTAGCATACTACCTGGCCTGTATTTTTTTGTTTCTTTTGTTTGTTTGTTTGTTTTGAGACAGAGTCTCGCTCTGTCGCCCAGGCTGGAGTGCAATGGCGCGATCTCCGCTCACTGCAAGCTCCGCCTCCCGGGTTCAGGCCATTCTCCTGGCTCAGCCTCCCGAGTAGCTGGGACTACAGGCGCCTGCAACCACAACCGGCTAATTTTTTGTATTTTTAGTAGAGACAGGGTTTCACCGTGTTAGCCAGGACGATCTCGATCTCCTGACCTCGTGATCCACCCCCCTGGGCCTCCCAAAGTGCTGGGATTACAGACATGAGCCACTCACAGGGTCTATTATTACTGCCGAAACCTAGAGGATGTATCCTTCTTGGGTGTAGATATAAATGTCCAGCTGACAGCTGGAAATGTGGAAATTGAGTTCAGAACTAAAGAAGCTGTGATTCGACCTACATTGACTTCATTCATAGAGTAAATATTTAGCTCTTTTTTTTTTTCTTAAACAGGGCCTCACTCTGTCACCCAGGCTGGAGTGCAGTAGCGTCATCTCAGCTCACTGCAACCTCCACCTACCGTGCTCAGGCGATCCTCCCATCTCA
The DNA here is from genome assembly GCF_000001405.40 of Homo sapiens. Lineage (NCBI taxonomy): Eukaryota > Metazoa > Chordata > Mammalia > Primates > Hominidae > Homo > Homo sapiens. The sequence continues at coordinate 123,541,429 of NC_000012.12, read as the reverse complement.
GCCCCTCAAGTTGCTGGGACCACAGGCATGCACCGCCACACCTGGCGAATTTTTTTGTATTTTTAGTAGAGATGGGGTTTCACTATGTTGGCCAGGTTGGTCTTGAACTTCTGGGTCAAGCGATCCACCTGACTCTGCCTCCCAAAATGCTGGGATTACAGGCGTGAGCCACCAAGCCAGGCCAATATTTAGCTCGTAATACATGCCAGGTAGGGCTGGGCTCGATGGCTCACTCCTTTAATCTCAGCACTTTGGGAGGTAGAGGTGGGTAGAGGCCCACACTTCGGGAGGCCAAGGTGGGAAAATGGCTTGAGCTCAGAAGTTTGAGACCAGCCTGAGCAACATAGTGAGACCCCATCTCTATGAAAAGAAAGTTAGCTGGTGTGATGGTGCATGCCTGTAGTCCCACCTGCTGGAGAGGCTGAAGCGCAGCCCAGAAGGTCGAGGCTGCAGTGAGCTATGATTGCGCCACTGCACTCCAGCCTGGAAGATAGAGCGGGACACTGTCTCTAAAAAGAAAATAAGGCCAGGCACAGTGGCTCACGCCTGTAATTCCAGAACTTTGGGAGGCCAAGGTGGGCAGATCACCTGAGATCAGGAGTTCAAGAGCAGCCTGGCCAACATGGTGAAACCCCGTCTCTACTAAAAAAAGAAAAAAAAAATAGCCAGGTGTGGTGGCACACTCTTGTAGTCCCAGCTACTTGGGAGGCTGAGGCAGGAGAATTGCTTGAACCTGGGAGGCAAAGGTTGCGGTGGGCCAAGATCGAGCCACTGCACTCCAGCCTGGGCGACAGAGTGAGACTCTGTCTCAAAAACAAAAAAGAAAGAAAAGAAAAAAGAAAAGAAAAGAAAACAGAGGGGTGGCTCTGGAAGCTTACCCACTAGGCTCAACTACTCTCCCACCCTATTTTGTCACCATTCTCCTAAGGACTCAGATGGACTCCTGCCTCCCCTTTCCCTCCTTGAAGTAATTTCCATCTCTCACACCCTCCCATCCCTTTCCCACCCCCTCCTAAGGCACAGGCTGCAGGGTGCCACTGTCCTTCTTAATCTTTATTCCTCCTTCCAGCAGACTCTTAATACATCTTTGTTGCCTTCAGTGCAAAGTTGCCCAATTTGGGTATTTACTATTTATTCTTTCATTCACCACAGGCACACACTGGGTTCAGCTCCCTGCTTTATCCCTTGCAGCTGTGGGACAAGTTACTAATCCTTCTGTAGTGGATTGAATGGTGAACCCCTACCCCAGCCAAAAAAACAGGTACATCCTTGTCATAATTCCTAGAACCTGTGACTGTGACCTCATTTGAAAAATGGGTCTTTAGGCCGGGCGTGGTGGCTCACGCCTGTAATCCCAGCACTTTGGGAAGGCTGAGGCAGGCAGATCATGAGGTCAGGAGATCGAGACCCTTCTGGACAACATGGTGAAACCCCATCTCTACTAAAAATACAAAAATCAGCTGGGCGTGGTGGCGCATGCCTGTAATCCCAGCTACTCGGGAGGCTGAGGCAGGAGAATCACTTGAACCAGGGAGTCGGAGGTTGCAGTGAGCCAAGATCGTGCCACTGCACTCCAGTCTGGTGACAAAGCGAGACTCCGTCTCAAAAAAAAAAAAAAAAAAAAAGCGAGACTTAATTTGAAAAAAAAAAAAAGTGTCTTTGTAGATGTGATTAAATTAAGGATCTCCAGATGAGGGGATCATCTTGGATTATCTGTGTGGAACCTAAATCCAATGACACGTGTCCTTATATGAGACACAGAGGAGAAGACACACAGAGCAAAGGAAATGTGAAAACAGGCAGGAGAAGTCTGGGCAACATGGCAAGAACCCATCTCTACAAAAACACAAAAATTAGCTGGGTGTGGTGGCATGTGCGTGTAGTCCCAGTTACTTGGGAGATTGAGGCAAGGGGGTCGCTTGAACCTAGGAGTTCGAAGCTGCAATGAGCTGAGACGGCACCACTGCACTCTAGCCTGGGCGACAGAGGGAGACCCTGTCTCAAAAACAAAAAGAAAGCAAACAGGCAGAGAATTGAGTGATGCGGCTGCAAGCCAGGAAACACCTAGAGGCACGAGAAGCTGGAAGAGGCAAGGAAGGGTCCTCCCCTGGCGCCTTCGGAGGGAACGTGGTAGTTCTAATGCTTTGATTTAGGACTTCTGGACTCCAGAACTGTGAGAGAATACGTTTCTGGGTTTTTGTTTTTTGTTTTGGGTTTTTGTTGTTGTTGTTGTTGTTTGGTACAGCATCTCACTCTGTTGCCCAGGCTGCAGGGCAGTGGTGCGATCATGGCTCACTGCAGCCTCGACCTCCCAGGCTCAAGCAGTCCTCCCACCTCAGCCTCCCAAGTAGCTAGGACTACAGGTGAACACCAGCACACCTGGCTAATTTAAAACAATGTGTTTTTTTGTTTGTTTTTTTTTTTTGAGACAGGGTCTCACTTTGTCCCCCAGGCTTGAGTGCAGTGGCAGGATTGTGGCTCACTGCAGCTTTGACCTCCCAGGTTCAAGCAATCCTCCTGTCTCAGCCCCCTAAGTAACTGGGGCTACAGGCACATGCCACCATGCCCAGCTAAATTTTTGTATTTTTTGTAGAGATGGGGTTTCTCCATGTTGCCCAGGCTGGTGTCCAACTCCTGAGCTCAAGCAATCCACCTGCCTTGGCCTCCCAAAGTGCTGGGATTATAGGACTGAGCCACCACACCTGACCTAAAAACTTTTTTTATAGAGATCGAGTCTCACTACACTGCCCAGGCTGGTCTCCAACTCCTGGGCTCAAGTGATCCTCCCTCTTCCACCTCCGAAAGTGTTGGGATTACAGGCGTGAGCCACTATGCCCAGCTAGTTTTGTTTCAAGTCACCAAGTTTGTGGCAATTCGTTATAGTAGCTACAGGAAATCAGCACACCTTTCCCTGCCTCCCTGTCTTTAACTTAGAAAGTGGACAGCAAGGCCAGGCGTGGCTCACACCTGTAATCCCAGCACTTTGGGAGGCCGAGGGGGGCAGATCACGAGGTCAAGAGATCGAGACCATCCTGGCCAACATGATGAAACCCCATCTCTACTAAAAATACAAAAATTAGCCAAGTGTAGTGGCACATGCCTGTAGTCCCAGCTACTTGGGAGGCTGAGGCAGGAGAATCGCTTGAACCCTGGAGGCAGAGGCTGCAGTGAGCCGAGATCACGCCACTGCACTCCAGCCTGACAACACAGCTAGACTCAATCTCAAAAAAAAAAAAAAAAAAAAAAGAAGAAGAAGAAAAAGGGGACAGCACTGGCCAGGCACAGTGGCTCACACTGTAATCCCAGCACTTTGGGAGGCCAACGTGGGTGGATCACCTGAGGTCAGGAGTTCGAGACCAGCCTGGCCAACATGGTGAACCTTTGTATCTACTAAAAATACAAAAATTAGCTGGGCATGGTGTCAGGTGCCTGTAGTCCCAGCTACTAAGGAGGCTGAGGCAGGAGAATTGCTTGAACCTGGGAGGCAGAGATTGAAGTGAGCTGAGATTTTGCCACCGCACTCCAGCCTGGGTGACAGAGCGAGAATCCGTCTCAATAAAAGAAAAAAGAAAAGAAAGGGGACAGCAATAATATGTCAGCTTCATTTGGGTTGTTGGAAGGATCCAGAAGGTTTAGAGTGCTTAGCACGTGTAAGGAACAAGGATGAGAAGGTTATGGCACAGACTCGAGGCCAGACTGCGCAGGTCTGACCCTGAATTTACCTTCACCAGCTGCCTGGCTTTGGGTGAGCCTTTTAACCTCTCTGTGCCTCAGTTTCCTCATTTGTAAAATAAGATAATAAAATTTACCTCTTAGGATGTTATAAGGCAGAAGTTCTGAAACTTTTTGGCCTCAGAGCCCCTTTACACTAAAACAATATTTAAAGAGTTTTTGTTTGTTTGTTTGTTTTTGTTTTTTTTTGTTTGTTTTTTTGAGACAGAGTCTCACTCTGTTGCCCAGGCTGGAGTGAAGAGGCATGACCTTGGCTCACTGCAACCTCCGTCTCCTGAGTTCAAGGAATTCTCGTGCCTCAGCCTCCCTAGTAGCTCGTATTACAGGCACGGGCCACACACCGGCTAATTTTTATATTTTTAGTAGAGACAGGATTTCACCATGTTGGGCAGGCTGGTCTCAAACTCCCGATCTGAGGTGATCCGCCCACCTCAGCCTCCCAAAGTGCTAGGATTACAGGCGTAAGCCACTGTGTCTAGCCTTGAAAGAGCTTTTGTTAGGTGAGTTATATCTGCTCATATCTACTGTAAATAGAAATTTATAATCCCAGCTAACTCAGGAGGCTGAAGTGGGAGGACCGCTTGAGCCCAGGAGTTTGAGGCTGCAGTGAGCTACGATCGCACCACTGCACTACCTTGGGCAACAGAACTAGACCCTGAAAAGAAAGAAAGAAAGAAAGAGAGAGAGAGGGAGGGAGGGAGGGAGGGAGGGAGGGAGGGAGGGAGAGAGAAAGAGAGAGAAAGGAAAGAAAGAAAGAAAGAAAGAAAGAAAGAAAGAAAGAAAGAGAAAGGAAAGGAAAGGAAAGGAAGAAAGAAAGGGGAGGGGAGGGGAGGGAAGGGAAGAAGAAGAAAAAGAAAAGAAAAGAAAAGAAATTTAAACTGATGCTTTAAAAAATATTAATTAAAAAATAGTCCGGGAGGATGGCTTATGCCTGTAATCCCAGCACTTTGGGAGGCTGAGGCAGGCAGATTGCCTGAGGTCAGGAGTTCGAGATCAGTCTGGCTAACATGGTGAAACCCCCTCTCTACTAAAAATACAAAAAAATCGGCCAGGCATGGTGGCATGCGCCTGTAATCCTAGCTACTTGGGGGCTGAGGCAGGGAAATTGCTTGAACCTGGGAGGTCGAAGCTGCAGCGAGCTGAGATCGAGCCACTGCACTCTAGCCTGGCGACAGAGGGAGACTCTGTCTCCAAAAAAAAAAAAAAAAATTAGTAAACACATTACACGTTAACATAAATTTTTTTAACTTTTTATTTTTTTAGAAACAGTCTACCTACATTGCTCAGGCTAGACTAGAACTCTTGAACTCAAGGGATCCTCCCACTGGAGTAGCTGGAACTACAGGCTCACGCCACCGTGCTAGATAACGTATGAGTTTTTTTGTTGTTTTTGAGACAGGGTCTCCCTATGTCACCCAGGTTGGAGTGCAGTGGTGTAATCACAGCTCACTGCAACCTCTGCTCCCTGGGACTCAAGTCATCCTTCCACCTCAGTCTCCCGAGTAGCTGGGACTACAGGCACTTGCCACCAGAGTCGGGTAATTTTTATTTAATTAATTAATTAATTTATTTATTTATTTATTTTGAGACAGAGTCTCGCTTTGTCACCCAGGCTGGAGTGCAGTGGCACGATCTCGATCTCAGCTCACTGCAACCTCTGCCTCCCGGGTTCAAGTGATCCTCCTGCCTCAGCCTCCTGAGTAGCTGGGATTACAGGCGCCTGCCACCACGCCTGGCTAATTTTTTTTTTTTTTTGTATTTTTAGTAGAGATGAGGTTTCACCATGTTGGCCAGGCTGATCTTGAACTCCTGACCTCAACTGATCTGCCCCCCTTGGCCTCCCAAAGTGCTGGGATTACAGGCATAAGTCACTGCAACCAGACTTTTTTTTAAATAGAGACGGGGTTTTGCCATGCTGCCCAGGCTGGTCTCGAAATCTTGGGCTCAAGTGATCCTCCAGCCCTGGCCTCCCAAAGTGCTAGGATTACAAGCATGAGCCACTGTGGCCAGGAGTATTTATTTTTATTTTTTATTTTTCTGAGACAGAGTTTCGCTCTGTCGCCCAGTTTGGAGCATAGTGGTGTGATCTCAACTCACTGCAACCTCTGCCTCCCAGGCTCAAGGGATCTTCCCACCTCAGCCTCCCAAATACCTGGGACTACAGGCTCTCACCACCACGTCTGGCTAATTTTTTTATTTTACTTTTTTTTTTTTCTTTTTTTTTTTTGAGACGGAGTTTCGCTCTTGTTGCCCAAGCTGGAGTGCAGTGGCACGATCTTGGCTCACTGCAACCTCTGCCTCCCAGGCTCAAATGATTCTCGCGCCTCAGCCTCTTGAGTAGCTGGGATTACAGGCACATGCCACCATGTCTGGCTAATTTTTGTATTTTTAGTAGAGGCGTGGTTTCACCATGTTGGCCAGGCTGGTCTCGAACTCCTGAGCTCTAGAAATTTTCCCACCTCGGCCTCCCAAAGTGCTGGGATTACAGGCGTGAGCCACCCCGCCTGGCCTTAATTTTTTTTTTTTTACTATTTATTTATTTATTTATTGTATTATATTATTATTTTGAGATGGAGTCTTGCTCTGTCACCCAGCCTGCAGTGCAGTGGCGCGATTTCGGCTTGCTGCAACCTCCGCCTCCCGGGTTTAAGCAACTCTCTGCCTCAGCCTCCTGAGTAGCTGGGATTACAGGCATGCGCCACCATGCCCGGCTAATTTTTGTATTTTTAGTAGAGACGGGGTTTCACCACCTTGGCTAGGCTGGTCTTGAACTCCTGACCTCGTCCACCTCAGTCTCCCAAAGTGCTGGGATTACAGGCGTGAGCCACCGCGCCCGGCCAACTTTTAGATTTTTAATCAATACGTGCCACGTTGGGGTGCGCTTTATGGCTACAAGGGCATTAAGATTTCTTCCCTCAAGGAGCCAAGATCTGACGGTGGAAACCTACCTGCAACCACACGGTGAAAACTCAGGATGCTAAGAGCAATCCTGATGGGGCAAGCAGGGGACTGTGAGTTTGCAAGGGGGTCCTTAACTCCTGCGTGGGGGGCGGGGAGGGTGGATGGGGTTCTGGGTTCAGGAAACGTTCTCCCGGGAGTGGGAGGGGGTCTGATGGACAAGTGGATTTGGCCAGCCCAAATGGACAGGGGGCCTTGGGACAAGAGAACTCGTGGTGCTGGAATGCCAAGCGGGCTTCGCTCTACTGTGAAGTGGCGTTCATGTCACAAGGAGCCAGTGATGGATGTGGCTCGGGGAGGCGCGCCCTGGGGCTCCGGGGATCCAGCATTCCTCGACACGTCGGCCCCTCTCCGGGCGCCTCTGCAAGTCCGCCTGGTGGCCGGGTCTGCGCGGAGTGTCTGCGGGCCGGGGGGGGTCCCCGTTCTCTTCCTGGGATGAGCCCCAGCCCGGGGACCTCCTCGTGACCCCTCCATCCCTCTCCAAGGCCGGGGCCGCTACCCGGAGCAGCGAATCGTCCCGCGAGACCAGCGCCCCCGGCCCCCTCTCCCGGGGCGGCCTGGACCCCTCCCGGCGGCCGGGTGGTGGGAGGAGTCAGCGCCGGGCGGGGGAGGGGCGGCCGGGGCACGGGTGAGGGGCGCCGCGGGTCCGGCGGCTGGAGAGGGGGGCCCGGAGTGCAGGCCGCGGAGTCGGCGCTTGGGGGGGTACCCCGGGGCGCCCCCGGGCGGCGGAAAGCGGGCGCGCCCCTGGCCAGGCCGGGATTGGGGCGGGGCGCGCGGCCTCCCTGTGGGGAAGCGATCACCCGGCCTCGCAGCCGCCGCCGCCAAAGTTTCCCGGAGGAGCCGCGGGCCGCCCTTCCTCTCCGGCCCCGCGCTCTGCCGCCCCTCAGGCCCGCACCGCCCCGAGGCGCCCGGCCCGGCTCCATTGAGCGCAACTCGGATCCCAACTTGGGAGGCGCCGCGGGCCTGCGCACGCGCGCGCCCTCCCCGCTGCCGCCGCCGCCGCCGCCGCCGCCGCCGCCCACTCGGGAGCAGCTCCGGGCCGAGCCGGGCGCCCAGACCCCGGGCCCGCACACCCCGCGCCGCCGCCCGTGCCCGCGCCCGCGCCCGCCGCCCGCTGCCCGCTGCGCCCTCGCCCCAGCGCCCGCTGAGCGCGCCCGCCCGCGGCCCAGGCTGGGCCCGGCCGGCCCGGCCCTCGACAGCGGCAAGTTTGGGAGTTGCACGAGTTTGCGGGGCGGGGGACAGGCCAGGAGGGTGGCCATGGAGGAGGAGCGGGGGTCGGCGCTGGCGGCCGAGTCGGCGCTGGAGAAGAACGTGGCCGAGCTGACCGTCATGGACGTGTACGACATCGCGTCGCTTGTGGGCCACGAGTTCGAGCGGGTCATTGACCAGCACGGCTGCGAGGCCATCGCGCGCCTCATGCCCAAGGTCGTGCGCGTCCTGGAGATCCTGGAGGTGCTGGTCAGCCGCCACCACGTCGCGCCCGAGCTGGACGAGCTGCGCCTGGAGCTGGACCGCCTGCGCCTGGAGAGGATGGACCGCATCGAGAAGGAGCGCAAGCACCAGAAGGTGGGCGGCGGCCTCGGTCTGTCCGTCCGGGCAGTGGGACCGCGGGGACCCAAGGGCTCTTCCGCATTGGGCAGCTGTGGGTGCGCACGTGTGTGTGTTCAGGGACCGGACCAGAGGAGACCCGACGTGGGGAGGGAGGGAGGCCCTGGCCTTCTTTTGCCCGACCAGGGGTGGCTGGCAGATACCACCCGAGAGATTAAGAGCTGTTCTCTGGAGTTCCAATCCCACCTTTACCGTTTAATAGCTGTGTGACTTTAGGTAAGTTACTTAACCTCTCTGTGCTTTATTTCCTCACCTGTCAAATGGTAATCATAATAGGACCCACCTTAGAAGAATTAAATGGGACCATATAAGCTAAGTGCTTAGACATATTATTCTCTTCCAGACATGAAATAAGCCTCTTGGCCTCCCGAGTTACCAAGAAGATGTGACATCAGGCCCAGGACCCTTTCTTCATCCCCCCCCCCCCCAGTCTCCCCAGAGCAAAGGGAATGTGACCTCCAGCCACTGAGCTTCGTGACCCCTAGTCTTCGGGTTCATATTTGCAACTTTCTTCCCGGGACTCCCCTAGCTTATGAACCTGTGGTAGCCCGTGTTCTCTCCTCTGATTTTATCCTTAATCCTCACAGGACTCTATAGAGACTATCTTCATTTTACAGATAAAGAAACCGAGGGTCACAGTGGGAGGAGCAATTTGTCCCAAATTAGTGGTGAGAGAGTCCCAGCCCCCGTGTCTCCTCCCCACCCTGTTTGAATTGGGGGAAAGGGATGATTTGGGGTGGCTTTAAGGCTAAGCCTCTGCCCTGTGATCAGGAGTCTCTCTGAATCAGGGCCTCCCCACTGGGCCTGGAGTTCAGACGAGGTTTCTGGAGAAAAGGAAGTGAAAGACATGTGGTTTCCTGCCCTAACCTCAGCCAGGGATGCTCTTGGCAGCCCCTTCAGACTGAGAATGGGAGGAAACACCTTTCCTTGAGGGATCAGGGTGCCTGAGCAGTCTCCAGCTTGCTGTTCAGCCTCAGGAAATACAGATGGCCTCTCTGAACCTCAGGGGCAGGCCATCCCTTATTGTGTACTTTGATGGATCTCTGTGTTTTGGAGTAAAATAGCCAAAGCTGGGTCTGAACCCTTTACCTGAGGGCAGACCCACAGGTAGGTAACAGCACCATTGCCATGTTTGACTGTGCTCGTCCTCATGGGTCCCTATGCCCTAGGGGCAGGAAGGAAACTCAGGCTCCCAAGAGTTGAGCAGCATTTCCGAGGTCACTCTGGGAGCCTGAAAATGCTTTGACCTGTAATTAATTTCAAGACTCCTAGAAGCTAGGACTTTGGAGCTAGACAGCCTGGTTTCAAACCCTACCACTTGCAGGCTGTGTGATCTTGGGCAAATCACCCAGCATCTCTGTGCTTCAGTTTCCTCAGTTCTAAAATGGGATAGTAATAGTACCCCCATTAGAATGTGATGAGGTTTAAAGAGTTAATATAAATACATATAAAGTGTTCAGGACAGAGCCTGCCCATAGCAAGGGCTTTGCAAGTCTTAAAATTCTTTTTAGGCCTGGAGAGACATTCATTGAGGTGCTCACAGGCTCATATTAGGAAACCGTCCCCACCCCAAGCACCTCTACTCCTACCCTAGAGGCCTCCATCTCTCATAGAGGGTCAAGGAGGCAAGGGACCTTGGAAATTCTCTCGTGTGGCGCCTCTTATTAACAGGGACCAAGGGGCTTTGACCAGATCACACAGAAGTCCTGGCACCTATACTGTCCCCCAACTGGGGCTCTTTAGTTCTGTTGCGGGGGAGCTGGGAGAAATCCTTGGAAGCCATCGGAGGCCACCAGGTCTGAAGTCACATGGAATTGTCAGCAGCTGCACTTGTTGCCTCTGGAAAGTGTTCAGCTGGGAAGTGAACACCGTGCGCTCAGGGCCAGGGCTTGTTGACTTACATTGAGGATGACCTCTCTAAATCAAGGATGCAATTCTTTTCCCACCCCAGCCCCAGACCCGTTTACTTCACATTCTTGGGATGGAGAGAGACTTGTATGATTTTTTTTTTTTTTTCCTGCAGAGTCTCAAAGGCTCTTCAAGGTGATATTTCCACAAAAATGTTTTTGGCATGTCCTGGTTTAGTCTGTCCACCTCCATTCCTCTTCCCTTTCCCCTCTTCTTCCCTACCCCTTCTTCCTTGTCTCTCTCGCTTTCAGCAATTATGGCTCCAGTAAAGGACATACACTTTCTTCCCCCTACTCCTCCTCTCAGTAGACCCACTCACTCACTTCCACTCATCACTCAGATGCAGGCCACAGTTGTGTCATGTTCTGTCTCATTACTCAGTCTGCAACTCTGATGACAGGCCATAGCGAGCACAGTGCCCTTCTTGGTACCATGGCTCTGCAGAGAAAAGCAAAGTCTCATGTCAGGCAGCAGGCGGGTAACAGGGAAGAAAGGGAAAACACAAATAAATTCTAGAAAGCAATGGCTGGGCTGATACACTCGCGTGTAACATACCAGACTATGCTATTCATTCACTCATTCAGCGAATATATTTACTGAGAACCTACTGTGTGCCATGCATTGTTCTGGGCACTGGGAAGACAGTAATGACCATGACAGATGAGGCCTTGGCCCTGATGAGCCTGACTTTTTAGTGTAGTGCTATACCATAGAAATATTATGCAGCTTTGCCATGTTAATAAAAAACAGTGAAGTTGGCTGGGCGCGGTGGCTCACACCTGTAATCCCAGCACTTTTGGGGGGCCAAGGCGGGTGGATCACTTGAGGTCAGGAATTCAAGACCAGCTTGGCCAATATGGCAAAACCCCATTTCTACTAAAAATACAAAAATTAGCCGGGCATGGTGGCGAGTGCCTATAATCCCAGCTATTCAGGAAGCTGAGGCAGGAGAATCGCTTGAACCCGGGAGGCAGAGATTGCAGCGAGTCGAAATCACACCATTGCACTCCAGCCTGGGTGACAGAGTGAGACTCTGTCTCAAAAACAACAACAACAACAAACCAGTGAGGTTAATTTTAATATATCTTATGGGACCCAGTAGATCCAAAATATTTTCATTTCAACATGTAATCAGTATAAAAACTTATCATTTGATATTCTGCACTCTTTTTTTCCTACTACATCTTTGAAATCTGGTGTGTCTTTAACCCCTGCTGCACATTTCCACTCAGACCAGCCACATGTCAAATGCTCAACAGCCACGTGTGGCTACTGACTTTCCATGGGATGGTGCAATTATTCTAGCATGAGGAAGAGATAGAGATTTTTTTTCTCCTTTTTTTTTTTTTTGAGTCAGGGACGTACTCTGTCATCCAGGCCAGAGAGCAATGATGGCATCACGGCTCCCTGCAGCCCTGAACACCTGGATTCAAGTGATCCTCCTGCCTCAGCCTCCTGAGTAGCTAAGACTACAGGCACACTGTAATTTTTTTTTCCTTTAGAGACAAGGTGTCACTATGTTGCCCAGGCTAGTCTTGAGCTTTTGGGCTCAAGCAGTCCTCCTGTCTTGTCCTCCCAAAGTGCTGGGACTACAGGTTTGATCCACTGTGCTTAGCCAGGATAGATTAAAAAAAAAAAAAAAATTCAGGCTGGGCACAGTGTTTCACACCTGTAATCCCAGCACTTTGGGAGGCCGAGGCAGCTGGATCACTTGAGGTCAGGAGGTCAAGACCATCCTGGCCAACATGGCAAAACCTCATCCCTACTAAAAATACAAAAATTAGCTGGGTGTGGTGGCGCACGCCTCAGGAGGCAGAGGCAGGAGAATCGCTTGAACCTGGGAGGTGAAGGTTGCGTTGAGCCGAGATCATATCACTGCACTCCAGCCTGAGCAACAGAGCGAGACTTTGTCTCAGAAAAAAAAAATCAGCTTATAATAAGTGCCATAAAGAAAATAAAACTGGGAGACATGAAAGAGACTGACTAGGGTGGTAGTCTAACAGATGGGGCAGTCAGGAAGTCTTCCCTGAGGAGGTGACATCTGAGCTGAGATCTGAATGAAGGATAGGATCCAGCCACAGATTGATCTGGGGGAGAGGCATTCTAGGCAGAAGACGTGGCTAGTGCAAAGGTCCTGAGGTAGGAATGCACTTGGCATGTTCAAAGAACACAGAGTCGGTGTGGCTGGAGCAGAGCAAGTGAGGAAGAGGACTGGGAGATGAATCAGGAAGGTGCCGGGGCTTGTAGGCTCAGATGAGGAATTTGAGGACTCTTGGTGCTGAGGGAAGAACGTGAAGGAGATGATTGATCAGGGCTGACTTCTCCGGAGAACCACTGGGCTGGTATGGAGGCAGCATGAGATTCTGAGTGGTCAACTCAGAGGCGAGAATCAGCAACCCCAGCATCAACTTCAGTTCGTTGAGAGAAGAAAAAAAAAGAATTTAGGGTTAAAGTCTGTATTCATTCCCTGTGGCTGCTGTAACAAATCAACACAAACTGGTCGGGCGCGGTGGCTCAAGCCTGTAATCCCAGCACTTTGGAGGCTGAAGCGGGCGGATCACAAGGTCAGGAGATCGAGACCATCCTGGCTAACACGGTGAAACCCCGTCTCTACTAAAAATACAAAAAATTAGCCGGGCGTGGTGGCGGGCGCCTGTGGTCCCAGCTACTTCGGAGGCTGAGGCAGGAGAATGGCATGAACCCGGGAGGCGGAGCTTGCAGTGAGCCGAGATCGCACCACTGCACTCCAGCCTGGGTGACAGAGTGAGACTCCGTCTCAAAAAAAAAAAACAAACAACAACAAAAAAATCAACACAAACTTAGTGGCTCAAAACAGCAGAAATGTGTTATCTTTTTTTTTTTTTTGAGACAGCATCTCACTCTGTTGCCCAGGCTGGCGTGCCGTGCGTGACCATTGGCTCACTGCAGCTTCAGCCTCCTGGGCTCAAGCAATCCTCCCGCCTCAGCTTCCCAAGTAGCTCAACTGCAGGCATGTGCCACCACACCCAGCTTAATTTTTAGCAGAGATGGGGTCTTGCCATGTTGCCCAGGCTGGCTGCAGACTCCTGGGCTCAAGTGATTCTCCTGCCTCAGCCTCCCAAAGTACTAGAATTACAGGCGTGACCCACCATGCCTGGCCAGAAATGTATTGTCTTATTGAACTGGATAATCCAATATTATGGATACAATGTCATACAGTATTATGGAGGCATATGTGTAATTATCAATATAAATAATACTGGAGAAATTTCCGGACGTCAGAAGTCGGAAATGGCTCTCACTGAGTTCAAATCAAGGTGTTGGGAAGGCTCCACTCCTTTGGGGGGCTGTGGAGGAGGATCCATTTCTTTGCCTTCCCCAACTTATGGACTCTGCATTCCCTGGCTTGTGGCCCCTTCCTCCATCTTCAAAGCCAGCAGCGTAGCTTCTTCCCATCTCCCTCATATTCCTCTAACGCTGACCTGCCTTCCTCTTACGAAGACCCTGGCATGACATCGGCCCACCAGATAATCCAGCCAGATAATCCAGAATCATCTCCCCATCTCACAAGCTCTTTTTTTTGAGACACAGTTTCAGTCTGTCACCCAGGCTGGAGTGCAGTGGCATGATCTCGGCTCACTGCAACCTCTGCTTCCCTCAGCTCACTGTAACCTCTGCCTCCCAGGTTCAAGTGATTCTCATGCCTCAGCCTGCTGAGTAGCTAGGATTTCAGGTGCACGCCACCATGCCCAGCTAATTTTTGTATTTTTAGTAGACAGAGTTTTGCTGTGTTGTCCAGGCTGGTCTCGAACTCCTGACCTCAAGTGATCCTCCTGCCTTGGCCTCCCAAATTGCTGTGATTATAGGCGTAAGCCATCATGCCCAGCCTCAAGAGCCTTTTTTATAAAAAAAAAAAGTTGGGGTCTTGCTCTGTCACCCAGGCTGGAGTGCTGTGGTGCAATCACAGCTCACTGCAGCCTCAACCTCCGGGGCTCAAGTGATCCTCCCACCTCAGCCTCCCAAGTAGCTGGTACTACAGGCATGCACTACCACGCCCAGCTAATTTTTGTATTTTTTATAGAGACAGAGTTTTGCCATGTTGCCCAGGCTGTTCTCAAACTCCTAGCCTAAATCAATGCTCCCACCTCAGCCTCCTAAATTACAAGGATTATAGGTATGAGCCACCGTGCCATGCCTAAGATCCTTAACTTAATCATCTCTGCACAGTCCCTTTTGCCATGTAAGGTAACATATTCTCAGGGATTAGGACTTGGATGACTTTAAGAGCCATTATTCTCCCTGCCCCAGCCAGTTACACTTGACTGATATTCTCTGAGCCCCGTGTGAGCCCAGCCTATGCCAATTGGAAACAGAGAGGAACAGGGCTGGATGAGCCTCTTTCTGCTTCCAGGCCCCATCTGCTTATGGGAGGTCAACATTCCCTCTCCATCCCTCCACCACCACTTCCACCCCGGCCCTGCCCTTCACCTCCCCTGGTGACCTTGCGCCCTCTGTGCAAATACTAGGCTATTACTCCTCTCTTCCCCAATGCAGCAGGCTTCTGACAAAGGAGGTGGGTCTGAGAACTTATTTAGAAGATGGACAGAGGCCATGCCTAGCATCCGGCCACCTGGCCGCTTGTGATGAATTGTAGGGATGGGACAGAGATCAGCACACACATTGTTAGTGCTTTCTGGGTGCCGGGCATATTCCAGGCGCTTTACTTATAGTAACCATTTAATCCTCACACCCACCCTTCCCGGCAGATACCACACTAGTTTCCTCATTTGTGGGGCACCAGAAGGCTGAATAACTCGCCAAGGTCAGCTAGTAAGCAGCAGAAACAGGATTCAGACTTAGGGCGGCAGGCTCCAGTGTCCATGCCTTGAACCACTATTTTATTTTATT
Organism: Homo sapiens; assembly: GCF_000001405.40. Lineage (NCBI taxonomy): Eukaryota > Metazoa > Chordata > Mammalia > Primates > Hominidae > Homo > Homo sapiens. The sequence goes on along the minus strand of NC_000012.12, from coordinate 123,526,336 downwards.
TTTTATTTATTTTATTTTAATTTTATTTTTTGACATGGAGTCTCATTCTGTGCCCCAGGCTGGAGTGCAGTGGCTTGATCTCGGCTCACTACAGCCTCTGCCTCTCAGGTTCAAGCAGTTCTCCTGGCTCAGCTTCCCAAGTAGCGGGGATTACAGGTGCCCACCACCATGCCCGGCTAATTTTTGTATTTTCAGTAGAGACGGGGTTTTGCCATGCTGGCCAGGCTGGTCTCAAACTCCTGACCTCAAGTGATCCGCCTGCCTTGGCCTCCCAAGGTGCCAGGATTACAGGTGTGAGCCACTGCGCCTGGCCCTTAAACCACTGTTTTATACAGACAACAGCAACCCTGCTTTGTGAGCTAGCTTACGGTTTTACCAAGTACCGTTTTTTTGTTTGTTTGTTTGTTTGTTTGTTTTTTGCGGGGGTGGAGGGCTACCAGCTTTATCAATATAATTCAGATACCATAACACTCATTTAAAGTGTACACTTCTGGCTGGGCACGGTGGCTCACGCCTGTACTCCCAGCACTTTGGGAGGCCAAGGTGGGAAGATTGCTTGAGCCCTGGAGGTTGAGACAAGCCTGGGCAACATAGCAATACCCCATTTGTTTCTTTTTTTTTTTTTTTTTTTTTTTTGAGACAGTGTCTCACTCTGTCACCCAGGCTGGAGTGCAGTGGTACAATCCCAGCTCACCACAACCTCCACCTCTGAGATTCAAGCAGTTCTCCTGCCTCAGCCTCCTGAGTAGCTGGGATTACAGGTGTCTGCCACCACACCCGGCTAATTTTTTGTATTTTTAGTAGAGACAGGGTTTCACCATATTGGTCAGGCTGGTCTCGAACTCCTGACCTCAAGTGATCTGCCCACCTCGGCCTCCCAAAGTGCTGAGGTTACAGGCATGATCCACCACACTCAGCCAGCAATACCCCATCTCTAAAAAAAAAAAAAAAAATTAGCCAGTCATGGTGGCGTCTGCCTGTAGTCCCAGCTACTGGGAGGCTGAGGTGGGAGGATCACTTGAGCCCAGGAGTTCAAGGCTGCAATGAGCTATAACTGTGTCACTGCACTCCAGCCTGGGTGACAGAACAAGACCCTGTCTCTAAAAATAAATAAATAAGATGTACACTTCAGTGGTTTTTAGAGTTTTGCAGCCGTCATTATGATCACCATCAATTTTATTTTATTTATTATTATTATTTTTTCCAAGACAGAGTCTCACTCTGTCACCCAGGCTGGAGTGCAGTAGCATAATCTTGACTCACTGCAAACTCCGCTTCCCAGCTTCAAGTAATTCTCCTGCCTCAGCCTCCCGAGTAGCTGGGATTACAGGTGCCCACCACCACACCCAGCTAATTTTTGTATTTTTAGTAGAGATGGGGTTTCGCCATGTTGGCCAGGCTGGTCATGGACTTCTGACCTCAAGTGATCCGCCTGCCTTGGCCTCCCAAGTGCTGGGATTCCAGGCGTGAGCCACCACGCCCTGCCACTATCAATCTTAGAACATTTTCATCACCCCCCAAAAGAAACTCCGTACCTATTCCCAGTCATTCCTCGTCTCCCCTCTAGCACTCTGGCTCTAGACAACCACCCGTCTGCTTCCTATCTCTATGGATTTGCCAATATTAGACATTTTGTAAAACTGATCATATAACATGTGACCTTTTGTGTCTGGCTTCTTTCCATAATGTTTTCAGGGTCCACCTATGTTGTAGCATATGTCAGGCTTTCATTCCTTTTCATGGCCGAATAATGTTCCATTGTATGGATGTGCCATGTTTATTTACCCATTCATCAGCTGATGGACACTTGGCTCCTTTTGGGTACTGGGAATAATGCTGCGAGGAACATTCACCTGCACGCGTTTTCATGTGGACATTGTGTTCATACCTCTTGAGCCGATCCAAGGACTGGAGTTGCTGGGTCCTATGGTAACTCTGTGTTAATGTTTTTGCGAAACTGCCAGAGTGTTTTCCAAAATGTCCGCAGCATTTTCCATTCCCACCAGCAGTGTAGGAGGGTTCCAGTTTCTTCCTATCCTTGTCAGCACTTGTTATTGGCTATTTCTTTGACTGCAGCCACCCACAAAATAACTTTAATAGACTGATTTTATTTATCCTCACATTCACTTCGTGAGCCTTTGTTTTGGTTCCACCACTGAGGGAAACTGAGGCTCAGGGTGATCGAGTCAGTGGTTGAAGACCCCATGGAGAGATACCTGGATCAGATACCTAAGGAACGCTGGGGCAGGGGGCCCCGTCTGCCTCGGCATCCCCAGGATTCTCGAGGCCTCTGGCTCCCTTGGAGAAAGGTTTGTCCCAACTGTCTGTCCAGAGATCAGGGGGTGTGCCCCCCAGAGGTTAGGAACGTTCGGACCCCCGTATCCTGGGGCTGCTCTGTCTACTCTGAAGAGAGCTCCAAGATGCGGCATTAGCTTTGTGGTTGTCCTTGGGGGCAGTTCTAACTGAGCCAGGTCCTAACAGCATAAACGCAGGCATCTGCCCCAAAGAAGGGTGGCTTCTGTTTCTTGCAGAGGTGCCATATGGGACTCGTGGTGGCCTTGCCGGCCCAGTTCTCACGAGGAAGGGGATGGCCCAAAGTCCCAGCAACCCAAGCTGCCCCTGAGGGTCGGAGTGGGTGGGGCGGCTGCTCTGGGCAGGCAGTGACCCCATGCTGTCCCCTTGCCTTGGCAGGAGCTGGAGCTGGTGGAGGATGTGTGGCGAGGGGAGGCGCAGGACCTCCTCTCCCAGATCGCCCAGCTGCAGGAGGAGAACAAGCAGCTCATGACCAACCTCTCCCACAAGGATGTCAATTTCTCAGAGGAGGAGTTCCAGAAGCATGAAGGTAAGTGGGGGTCGGCGCCAATGCAAGGGGGCCGGCCATTCCTTTTCTTATTGCCCACATCAGCGATTGTCGCCACCACCCCTGGACGCTGATGCGGTGCTGGCTGATTCCCAAAGCCCTTTGCCTTCTGTATTGTGTTGATTTGCACCATAACCCTGCCAGAGAAACATCACGTAGCCTCAGTTTACAGATGGTAACACAGAGGTCCTTTCAGCAAACTGTCACAGGTTCCCCTCTGTTTGTCAGGCTCCTCTCTTGGCCCTGGGATATGTGTTAAACGTGACAGAGACCCTGCCCTTGGGAAGCTTGTGTGCTGTGCAGAGGAGAAAGGGGCTTAACATGTAAACACACAGACACCATAGTTCCAGGGGGCGGCCGTGCTCTGGGAGAGCGGCAGTGGGGCATGTGATAGAGTGACTTGGTAGGGACATCTTTGGATACAGTCATCAGGGAAGGCCTTCGAGGAGGTCACATTTGAACCCTAATGAAGTAACAGAGTGAGCCACGCAAATATCTGCATTTGTTGGGTCGGGGGTTGCAGGGGCAGTCATGCAAAGGCCCTGGGACATGAGCATTTGGGGGAAACCAAGAAGGCCGGTGTAGGCCGCGCGCAGTGGCTCACACCTGTGATCCCAGCACTTTGGGAGGCTGAAGCAGGAAGATCACTTGGAGCCAGGAGTTTGAGACCAGCCTGGGCAACATAGACCCCGTCTCTACTAACGATTTTTTTAAAAATAAGCCAGGTGCAGTGGTGCACACCTGTAGTCTGAGCTACTTGAAGGCTGAGGCGGGAGGATCACTTGAGCCCAGGAGGTCGAGGCCACAGTGAGCTGAGATCATACCACTGCGCTACAGCCTGAGCGACAGTAAGATGAAAAAAATAAAGAAGGCTAGTGTGTCAGAAGATGATTGAGGCCTCAGGAGGCTGGAAATGAGGTCACAGGGGTCAGTTCATGTAGCTCCTTAGAGGCTGAGGTTTGGATTTTATTCTAAGTGTGCTGGGAAGAGATTGGAGGCTCTTATCACAGGCAAACGCTTACCAGTGAGCAGCCCGGGATGGCATCCCAGACCTGAATGGCACTGGAGCCCCTGAACTGTCACTTATCCAATAAGCACTTGTTTAGAACCTTCATGCAGGGCCTCTGCTGGTGCTGGGAAAAGGACAAATGGGCCGCAAGATTCGGGCCAGGCGGGGCTGTGGGCGGCATCTGCTCTGCTCAGCCCTGCAGCTTCCTGCCCGCTAAAGCAGGGGTGCCTCCTGCAGCTCACCCCAAGGAAAGCTCAGAGTCAATACTTCTGAGAAACTCCTTAGCTCCCCACATGAGCCTCTTCCTCATGTTTGATGGAACGGGGACGGACCTGGGGTGGGTGCCCAACTTCAGAATGTGTGGTGACCTCTCTGCAGAATCAAGTATGGCACTAAAGGCCAGGCACAGTGGCTCACGCCTGTAATCCCAGCACTTTGGGAGGCCAAGGCAGGTGGATCATTTGAGGTCAGGAGTTTGAGGCCTGGCCAACGTGATGAAACCCCGTCTCTACGAAAAATACAAAAATTAACTAGGCCTGGAGGCGGGCGCCTGTAGAGTCCCAGCTACTCAGGAGGCTGAGGCAGGAGATTCGCTTGAACCCAGGAGATGGAGGTTGCAGTGAGCTGAGATCGCAGCACTGCACTCCAGCCTGGGCGACAGAGCAAGACTATGTCTCAAAAAAAAAAGTATATATACACATATATGTGTGTATATATATATTTTTATATATATACATATATGTGTGTATATATATATTTATATATATATACATATATGTGTGTATATATATATATTTATATATATACATATATGTGTATATATATACACATATGTGTGTATATATATACACATATGTGTGTATATATATTAATATATATATACACATATGTGTGTATATATATTAATATATATACACACATATATATACATATATTTATATATATATATAAATTTATAAAAACATATATGGCACTGAAAAGGACTGTGGGAACCAAGGAAAAAGGAAAAGTTTGATCCAGGTCTGGATTCTCTTTTCCTTGGATTTCCTTTGTTGAGATTTGATTAGTAACAATGAAAACAAAAGTTCTCATGATTCTAAGCAGTTTCTGGAGCCAGGCGGCCCAGGTTTGAGTCCTGACCCTGAAACCTCCCTGCTATGTGACTTTGATCAAGTCACGTGACCTTCATGTGCCTAAGTTGCACCCCCATGTAAAAATGGAAGAAATGACCATACCTCCCTCATAAGCTTGTCATGAGGGTAAAATCAATGAATCTGTACAGACCGCTTAGAATCTTACCTGGTTCGTAGAAAACACTCAGCAAGTATTAGCTCTTATTACTACGGGTTATCATTATCCAGTCCAACCTACTGATTGAACAGATGAGAAAAGTTTAGACTGAGAGAGGGAGAGTGATTTGTTCAAGGTCACACAGCAAGTTAGTGGCAGAGTCAGAAGTGAACCCAGATCAGCTGAAATCAGCTCCCTGAAGGAAGGCTTCTGTCTCTCTGGGACCCTTTGACCCAGGGCTGCTGGAGACCCTGTGGTTAAGGCTGGTGGGGAGACTGAAATCACGCGCACCATGGATTGATCCGCCGTGGTGTTCCACTGCCCAAGAGCTTACGATTCCAGACAGAGGCCTGCCATGCATTCCTTTGCTCACCCTTTGTCTCCCTTATCTCTGATGGAGTGCCCACTCTGTCCCTGTTCTGGGCTTTGCCAGGTTGGAGGCAGGGCAGGGAGGCACATTCTGGGGCTTGCGTCTCCCTGCCGCGGTGACTTGGACATTAGAAAGTTTTCTAGCAGCAAAGTAAGCCTGGGCCTGGAGGACCCCGGAACCCTATCCCAATTTCCTTCAGCCCAAGAAGGAGGACTTTTTTGTTTGTTTGTTTGTTTGTTTGTTTGTTTTGAGACGGAGTCTCACTCCGTCGACCAGGCTGTAATGCAGTGGCGCAATCTTGGCTCACTGCAACCTCCACCTCCCAGGTTCAAGTGATCCTCCTGCCTCAGCCTCCCAAGTAGCTACGACTACAGGTGTGTGCCACCACGTCCATCTAATATTTGTATTTTTAATAGAGACGGGATTTCACCATGTTGGCCAGGCTGGCCTTGAAGTTCTGACCTAAGGTGATCTGCCCACCTTGGCCTCCCAAAGTGTTGGGATTACAGGCGTGAGCCACCACTCCCAGCCTTGCCTTTTCATGTCCGAATTGTCTGAATCATATTCCGTTCTATGGCCATACTGCATGTCGTTTGCCCACTCATCTATGGATGGACCTGTGAGACGTCACCACCTTTTGGCTGTTGTGAATCGTGCTGCTGTGAACATCGTGCTCAAGCTTTTGTGTGGACCTATGTTTTCAGTTCTTTGAGGTGTGTACCTAGGAGTGGAATTGCTGGGCCATAGGGAAACTATGTTAAACTTCTGACACTTCTGCAGGGCGCCTGGAGGCCTTGGACCCACAGGGCCTGGACCTGAGGGCTCTGAGCCGCTTCCCTGTGCATCAGTGCACGCATGCTCGCAGCGCCCTCCACCCAGGGAACTTTGCTTCCACAGCCTTCCAGATCCCTGCTGGGCTTGTCATGAATCAGCCCACACGTGAGCAATCTGAGACACACTTAAATGGCATCTAGCGTGGGTCCGGCTCCCAAAGGGTTAGCTCAGGAGGAGCACGGCAGCAGCCCTCCTGCCTGAGTGGAGAGACGGGGCAGATGCCAGGCATGCCTTTCGTGGTTATTTTTATTTTGCATGGGAAACCATGGGAACACAACAAGGAGAAGGCATGTCTTCCACCTGCTAGGGGAACAGACCTGGGACAGACAGGGTCCTTGGGAGAAGGTGGAGCCCGGGAAGTGACGGCTAAGAATGTGCTGGGCAGAGGCCAGGGGTAGACCGAGGACTTGGGGGTGTGCAGTCGTCCGATTCCTATGTGGGGGGTGAGGGGGTGCTGAGAGGAGCCAGCCCCGCATGGAACAGTGTGGCCTTCCCAGCAGTTCAACTTGGACACTGTGCTCAGAGGCACCTGGCAGGCTCCTGTACCCCCGGAAGTCTCCAGATTAAAAAGCACTTTGCTCCCGGCTGTTTGTGGCAATCCAGTTTGTCAGCTGGAGGGCAGCGCGCAGAAACTTGTTAGCACAGGCAGAAATGAATGACAGGTATGCAAGCCATCGCGCCGGGGGATGGGGTGTGAAGATTTGCTCATGGGTCTGGAAAAAAATCTTTGGGCTCTAAAGGAACAGCTTAGTCACCAGGGGAAGAGGAAAACTGACCACGTTGTCATTTTCTGAAGGGCATTACAGAACAACACTGCAACAAAAGAGAAGTCATTGTCATTCTTCTACTTGGCACATTCAAAAAAGTAAAACAGATGAAGTAATTTCTTTTTTCTTTTCTTTTTTTTTTTTTTTTTTGAGATGGAGTCTCACTCTGTCGCCTAGGCTGGAGTGCAGTGGGGCAATCTCGGCTCACTGCAACCTCCACCTCCCAGGTTCAAGTGATTCTCCTGCCTCAGCCTCCCGAGTAGCCTGGACCACAGGCACGTGCCACCACGCTCAGCTAATTTATGTATTTTTAGCGGAGACGGGATTTCACCGTGTTAGCCAGTATGGTCTCGATCTCCTGACCTCATGATCCGCCTGCCTCGGCCTCCCAAAGTGCTGGGATTACAGGCATGAGCCACCGCGCCCGGCCAGATGAAAGTATTTTCTATAATATATTTTACTGAACCCAGTAGATCCAAAACAGTAAGTATCCTTGTAACATGTAATCAATATAAAAATTATCAATGAGACTATCAATGAGATATTTTGCATTTTTTTCATATTAAGTCTTTGAAATGTGGTAGAATACATATGTATGTATGTGTGTATATGTGTATATATTCATATTCTATTGTGAAAAAATCTAACGTACATTTTACATAAAATTTACCATCTTAACCGCCATTCTCCCTTTTTTTTTTTTTTTGGACAGGTCTCTGTCTTCAACGCTGGAGTGCAGTGGCGCAATTATAGTTCACCATAGCCTCAACCTCCCAGGCTCAAAAGATTCTCCCACCTCAGTCTTCTAAGTAGCTGGGATGACAGGTGTGCACCACCACGCCTGGCTAAGTTTTAAATTTTTTTGGTAGAGACGGGGGTCTCACTATGTTGCCCAGGCTGGTCTGAAACTCCCGGCCTCAAGCAATCCTCCTGCCTTGGAGTCCCAAAGTGCTGGGATTACAGGTGTGAGCAACCGCACCCGGCCCTGTCTTAATCATTTTTAAGTGTACAGTTCAGAGGCATTAAGTACATTCACAGTCTTGTGCAGCCGCCACCACCATCCATCTCCAGAACTCTTTTCTCTCACAAAACTGAAACACTGTCCCCATTAAACACTAATTTCCCACCCACCACGCCATTGGCCCCTGGCACCCACCATTCTACTTACTGTCTCTATGGATTTAACTACTTGAGGCGTCTCCTATATAAGTGGAGTCATATCGTATTTTTCCTTTTTTGTCTGGCTTATTTCACCTAACATGTTTTCGAGGTTTATCCATTTTGTAGCCCATGTCAGAATCTCCTTCCATTCTAAGGCTGAGTACATTCCATTGTGTGCAGGCCCTACATTTGTTTATCCACCAGCTGACAATGGCAATGTGTGTTTTATGTTTGCAGCATATGTCCATTTGGAGAGGCCCCATTTCAAGTGCTCAGTGGCTGCTGGTGGCTACCGAATTGGATACGTTGAGCTCAACGGTGCTCTCAGAAGCGCGGTGGCTCATGCCTGTCATCCCAGCACTTTGGGAGGCTGAGGCGGGTGGATCACTTGGGGCCAGGAGTTTGAGACCAGCCTGGGCAACATGGCAAAGCCCCATCTCTACAAAAAATACAATAAGTAGCCAGGTGTGGTGGCGTGCACCTGTAATCCCAGCTACTCGGGAGGCTGAGGCACAAGAATTGCTTGAGCCCGGAAAGCGGAGGTAGCAGTGAGCCGAGATTGCCACCGCTGCGCTCCAGCCTGGGCAACACAGCGAGACTCGCAAAAAAAAAAAAAAAAAACAATAACAACAAAATTGCTGTGCCCTCTCTCTGGGCCTTTCTCCGTATGTTTGCCATATTGGCTTCTTGGGGCTGTCATAATAAATGACCACAAATTGGGTGACCAAAAACAGTTTACTCTCATAGTTCTGCAGGCCAGAGATTCATAGTCGGGCATCAGCAAGGCCATGCTCCCTCCAGCGCCTCTCAGCAGGAGTCCTTCCTTGCCTCTGGGGGCTGTCGGCATCCTCACCTGTGGCTACACCATCCCAGTCTCTTCCTCTGCAGCCAAACGTTCTCCTCCGTGTCTGTGTGTCTCAGCTCCCTCTCCTTTATCTTTTGTTGTTTAATGGGATTTTTTTGTTTGTTTTTTGTTTTGAGACAGGGTCTCACTTTGCCCCGCAGGCTGGAGTGCAGTGGTGCGATCTTGGCTCACTGCAACCTCCTCCTCCCTCACCTCCTGCTCAGGTAATCCTCCTGCCTCAGCCTCCCAAGTAGCTGGGACTACAGGCATGTGCTACCATGCCCAGCTAATTTTTGTACTTTTTGTAGAGATAGGGTTTCACCATGTTGCCCAGGCTAGTCTCAAGCTCCTGGGCTCAAGTGATCTGCCTGCCTCAGTCTCCCAAAGTGCTGGGATTACAGGCATGAGGCATAGCGCTCAACTTCCTTTGTCTTATAAGGACACCAGGTATTGGATTTAGGGCCTACCCCTCATCCCCCCTCATCCACCATGACTTCATCTTAACTAATTACATCTGCAAATACCCTATTTTCAAATAAGGCCGCATTCCAAGGTTCTGGGTCGCTGGGATTACAGCGATCTAGAGCCACCATGCCCAGAACTGTTTAGGTCAGATTCTTCCAGGAGGGAATCTGAGACAGGGATTCCCACGCAACTGACTTATGAAAGAAGTGCCCCCAGAGGGGAGGGAGTGGAGGAAGCAGGACAGGGAAAGCAAGAGGAAGCGGAGCAGGGCTGTGATCTCAGCAGGGTCCGGCAGAGGGCCGTGGTCTCAGCAGAGTCCGGCAGGGTGGCCTCAGCCTTAGCCCCTGGGGAGTCTGGAATGTAAGTTACACCTCAGGGTTTTCCTGCCCTTAGGCGAGGAGCTGGACTTCTAGTGCAGAGCCTGCCAGCCAGGATGCCTGAGGTAGCAAAGGCACATCAAAGAGCAGTGGTGTAAACACGGGCCCAGGTGATCCGAGACCAACTTCATGAGAAATGTGAGCTGTGGTCATCATCGTTCCCATGTTGAAGGTGCTTTGCTACCTCTGATGGGCTGAGAAACACACTGGTCTGATATGAAGAGACCCAGATTACAGCTCCTACATGACCACTAACTAGCAGTGAGATTTGGGCCAAGTTGCTCAATCATCTCGGGGCATTTTTTTTTTTTTTTTTTTTTTTTTTTGAGACAGAGTCTCGCTCTGTGGCCCAGGCTGGAGTGAAGTGCTGCAATCTCAGCTCACTGCAACCTCCGCCTTCTGGGTTCAAGCCATTCTCCTGCCTCAGCCTCCCAAGTAGCTGGGATTACAGGCCTGTGCCACCACGCCTGGCTAATTTTGTATTTTTAGTAGAGACAGGGTTTCTCCATGTTGGTCAGGCTGGTCTTGAACTCCCGACCTCAGGTGATCTGCCCCCCTAACCCTCCCAAAGTGCTGGGATTACAGGCGTGAGCCACCACGCCCAGCCTGGTGTTTGGCTCGGTGGCTCACACCTGTAATCCCAACACTTTGGGAGGCTGAGGCGGGCGGATCACGGGGTGAAGAGATAAAGACCATCCTGGCCAACCTGGTGAAACCCCGTCTCTACTAAAAGTACAAAAAAATTAGCTGGGCATGGTGGCGGGCACCTGTAATTCCAGCTACTCAGGAGGCTGAGGCAGGAGAATCTCTTGAACCCAGGAGGCAGAGGTCGTAGTGAGTTGAGATCGCGCCACTGCATTCCAGCCTGGCGACAGAGTGAGACTCTGTCTCAAAAAACAGACAGACAAAAAAAAAACACTGTAGTATATATTCACTCTTACTGCGTAAGAGTCAGATAAAACTAAGCACAAAACGTGACACTCCCCTTTGCTTCACCCCCACTGCACTGCCAGAGGGAAAACCTTCCCTTTCTATCTACACACAAATTTGTTTATTTTGTTTTCAAAATAAAAGAAATTGTGCTATGAATTACTTGTCCTTTTTTATAAATTAAAATTATGTATTTTAATTAAAATTCTGTATTTTAATTTATAAAATTAAACACTTTGGGAGTCTGAGGCAGGAGGATTGCTTGAGACCAGGAATTTGGGACCAGTCTGGACAACATAGTGAGACCCTGTCTCTACAAAAAAATTTTTAAATTAGCTGGGCATGGTGGTGCACACCTGTAGTCCCAGCTACTCAGGAGGCTGAGGTGGGAGAATCTTTTGAGCCCAGGAGGTCAAGGCTGCAGTGAGCCTTGATTGCACCACTGCACTCCAGCCTGGGCAACAGAGCAAGACCCTGTCTCTTAAAAAAAAAAAAAGTATTTATGTATTTATTGTTTGGATTGTCTATTTTTTAATTGAGGTGAATTCATGTAATATACAGATAACAATTTTAAAGTGCACAGTTCAGTAGCATGTGGTATATCATTTAATTCAGTAGCATGTAGTATATCATTTAATTCAGTAGCATATAGTATATCATTTAATTCAGCAGCATGTAGTGTATCATTTAAGTTATTCATAATGGGCTGGGGGCGGTGGCTCACACCTGTAATTGCAGCAGTTTGGGAATCTGAGGTGGGTGGATCACTTCAGGTCAGGAGTTGGAGACCAGCCTGGCCAACATGGTGAAACCCCATCTCTACTAAAATACAAATATTAGCCAGGCATGGTGGCACATGCCTGTAATCCCAGCTACTCGGGAGGCTGAGGCAGGAGAATCGCTTGAACCCAGGAGGCAGAGGTTGCAGTGAGCTGAGATTGCGCCACTGTACTCCAGCCTGGGTGACAGTGAGACTCTCAAAAAAAAAAATTTTTTTTTTTAAAATCATGACAGTGTTGTACAACCATCACCTGTTTTGTTCCAAAACACTTTCACCACCTTCCTGAGGTGACTGCACCTGGCAGGTCTCTCCCCAGCCTCTTGTCTCTGCCCTCCCTCCCTGCAGGTACAACCACTGGCAGCCTCTAATCTGCTTTCTGCCTCTGTGGATTTGCCAGTTCTGGATATTTCCTATCGATGAAATCACACTGTATGCAACCTTGGGGTCTGATCTTAGACCCCACGTCATTTTTGAGGTTCATCCGTGCTGTGGCGTGTCAGAGCTGCTTTCCTCGTTATGGCTGAATTGTCCTCCACTGTGTGGACTGAGCGCGTTGTGCTTATCCATTCTTAGCGGGGGGACATTTGGGTGGCTTCCATCTTTCATCTGCTACAGATAGTGCTGCTGTGAACTTTGTCACTTAACAGTCTATCTCAGTGTTTTCGACGGCACATCGTGTCTCATGGTGTCCCACTGCCTGGACAGTGCCTTGCTGGTGGACAGTAGCTCACTGCCAGATTCTCACTCCCACACGTGTGGCTGCTGTGGCTGGCCACGGACGAGCTTCTCCATGGTGCCCCTGCCCAAGTGTCTCTTAAAATCTAGGTCCCTAGATCCTGAATTGCTGGGTGTGTATGATGGCTCACAACTCTTCCAGCTTTTAACAGTGTCTGTTAAGAATACTTGGCCTTCTCTTAGTTTTCCAAAGCACTCTTGTACTTTCTCTTAGCAGTGACCTGTGAAGCGGGGAGGCCTGGTCTTTCCGTATCAGGATAAAATGACTTAGACACTCTGGCCCTGGGCCCCTCTGTTGTGAGCACTTCACATCGATGAAGCGTGCACAGGCCTCTCGAGAGCACCGAGGCCTGAAGGGAAAGCAACTAAGAGGCCGAAGCTGGGATAGGAGTCAGGCGCCAGGCTTCTGCCTCGGTCTCATAGCTCCTACGGCTGCCGCCCAGGAAGGTGATGAGGCTGCTGGGCTTCCACATAGACCCAGCCGCCCCTCTCTCCTCATGCTCGCCTCCCGCCCACCTCTCGGGGAGCCAAGGCAGCCCCAGCAAGGAGTAAATGAGTGAGTGGGTCCTGGCGCCCCAGGACAGGGCATGTCGGGACAAGTGTTCAAATGGCAGGCGGGGGGTCGGGAGGAGTTTGTGGCTTTGGCACTGACTTCTGTCTACATGGGACCTCAGCCCCCAAACACACACGACACACACATACAACACCCACACAGACACACACATACACCCACTCACACACGCCACACACACAGACCTCACACCACACACACACGGACCTCACACACCACACACACACAGACGCCACCACACAGACATACACGCACTCACACTGCACACAGCACACACGCAGACCTCACACACAAACCTCACACACCACACAGACCTCATACACACAGATCTCACACCACACACAAACCTCACATACCACACACAGACCTCACACACACCACACACACACGGACCTCACACACCACACACACACAGATGTCACCACACACATACACGCACTCACACTGCACACACCACACACACACAGACCTCACACACCACACACACACAAACCTCACACAGCACACACAGACCTCACACATACACAGATCTCACACCACACACACACACAAACCTCACACACCACACACAGACCTCACACATACCACACACACACACAAACTTCACACACCACACACAGACCTCACACACACCACACACATACAAACCTCACACACCACACACAGACCTCACACACACACAGCTCTCACACCACACACAGACCTCACACACGACACACAGACACAGACCTCACACATACAGATCTCACACACCACACACAGACCTCACACACATACAGACCTCACACACACACCACACACAGACCACACACACACAGACCTCACACACACACAGATCTCACACCACACACACACAGACCTCACACACAGCCCTCACACACACATACAGACCTCACACACCACACACACAGACCTCAGACACACCACACACACACAGACCTCACACACCACACACACAGACCTCAGACACACCACACACACACACACACATACAGACCTCACACACCACACAGAGACCTCACATTGACACCACACACAGACCTCCACACAGACCTCACACACCACCCACACACAGATGCCACCGCAGATACACACACACTGCACACACCACACACACACCACACACAGACCTCAGACACACCACACACACAGACCTCACACACCACACACACACAGACCTCACACACCACACACACAGACCTCACACACACCACACACACACAAACCTCACACACCACACACAGACCTCACACACACCACACACACACAGACCTCACACACCACACACAGACCTCACACACACAAACCTCACACACTACACACACAGACCTCACACATACAGATCTCACACACCACACACAGACCTCACACACACACAGATCTCACACCACACACACACACAAACCTCACACACCACACACAGACACAGACCTCACACATACAGATCTCACACCACACACACACACAAACCTCACACACCACACACAGACACAGACCTCACACATACAGATCTCACACACACACACAGACCTCACACACCACACACAGACCTCACACACACCACACACACACAAACCTCACACACCACACACAGACCTCACACACACCACACACACAAACCTCACACACACACAGATCTCACACCACACACACACACCACACACCACACACACAGACCTCACACATACAGATCTCACACACACAGACCTCACACACCACACACAGACCTCACACACACCACACACACAGACCTCACACCACCCACAGACCTCACACATACCACACACACAGACCTCACACAGACCTCACACACACCACACACAGACCTCAGACACACCACATACACACATACAGACCTCACACACCACACACACAGACCTCACACACACACCACACAGAGACCACACACACAGAGACCTCACACACAGACCTCACACACACAGACCTCACACACCACACACACAGACCTCACACAGACACCACACACAGACCTCACATTGACACTACACACAGACCTCACACACCACACACACAGATGCCACCGCACAGACATACACTCACACTGCACACACCACACACACACAGACCTCACACACACACCACACACAGACCTCAGACACACCACACACACACATACAGACCTCACACACCACACACACACAGACCTCACACAAACACCACACACAGACCTCACACACACCACACACACACATAGACCTCACACACCACACACACAGACCTAACACACACACCACACACAGACCTCACACACACACAGACCCCACACACCACACACACACAGATGCCACCACACAGACATACACTCACACTGCACACACCACACACACAGACCTCACACACACCACACACACACAGACCTCACACATCACATACACACAAACCTTACACACACCACACACACACAGACCTCACACAATACACACACACACAGACCTCACACACACACTGCACACAGACCTCACACACCACACACACACAGACCTCACACACACCATACACAGACCTCACACACTACACACACACATCACACACATATACCACACACACACAGACCCCACATTCACACACACAGACCTCACACACACACCAGACACAGACCTCACATTGACACCACACACAGACCTCACACACCACACACACACAGACCTCACACACACCATACACAGACCTCACACACTACACACACACATCACACACATATACCACACACACACAGACCCCACATTCACACACACAGACCTCACACACACACCAGACACAGACCTCACATTGACACCACACACAGACCTCACACACACCATACACAGACCTCACACACTACACACACACATCACACACATATACCCCACACACACAGACCCCACATTCACACACACAGACCTCACACACACACCAGACACAGACCTCACATTGACACCACACACAGACCTCACACACCACACACACACACACACACCACACCCCCCACATGCCCAAGGGTCGCCTTTCTGGGAAGCGTTAGCCGTGTCCCCGGGTCCCACCAGCTAAACCCAGCACTGCTCTGCAGCAGTGTCCCTGGGGCATAGAGAGGAGAGAGGGCACAGGCGGGCCCCCCACATGGCCCGGGAATCCCTCACAGGACCCACAGCCGGAGGCAGGAGAGCAGAGCTGACGGGGAGAGGGTCCACTTCACAACTGCAAGCGGGGGGCCCGGCTTGGTTGCCGGTTCTGTGCTTAGAGAAAGTGGACGCAGAGCAACTCCTGCGGCCACCTGCTGACACCCTGCCCTGCCGCTGGGCTCCCCAAGGGTCCAGGGGGGCCTTCCCCTGTCTTTCCCACCTTCCTCATCGGGAGCCCCTGCCCCACACATGCCAGGCCTCGGCTCCAGGGACTGGCTGTCCTCATCTTCCCCCATCAGCAGGCGGAGATGAATTGTACCAGTAGGGCCCTTGGCCAGCTAGTGTTTCTTATCTTTTCCTTTTAAACATTCTGGTGGAAAACATGTCGCAGAATTGCCCCTCTGTAACCTGTGTGAGTGCACAGGGCAGCGGTGTTTACTGTGTGCATGAGGGTGGGCAGCAGGGCGCTGGACCCCTTTCATCTTGCTGACGAAAACGACGTCCACGTCTGTGGTCTGACTTCTCTAGGGAGCTCCTCCTGGAAGTGGAATCATACGGCGTTTGTCCCTTGTGCCTGGCTTTTTCACTAAGCATAAGGTCTTCAGGGTTCATCCACGTGGCAGCATGTGACAGGATTTCCTTCTTTTTTTTTTTTTTTTTGAGACGGAGTTTTGCTCTTGTTACTCGGGCTGGAGTGCAGTGGCACGATCTCAGCTCACTGCAACCTCCACCTTTCAGGTTCAAGCAATTCTCCAGCCTCAGCCTCCCAAGTAGCTGGGATTACAGGCATGCGCCACCATGCCTGGCTAATTTTGTATTTTTAGTAGAGATGGGGTTTCTCCGTGTTGGTCAGGCTGGTCTCGAACTCCCAACTTCAGGTGATCCACCTGCCTCAGCCTCCCAAAGTGCAGGCGTTGTAGGCGTGAGCCACCATGCCCAGCCGATTTCCTTCCTTTTTTAAGGCTGAGTAACATTCCGTTGTATGGACAGACCACATTTTCTTTATTCCATTCTTCCGTTGATGGACATTTAGCTTGCTTCCACTTCTTGGCTATTTTTGTTTGTTTGTTTGTTTGTTTGTTGTTTTGAGACGGAGTCTCACTCTCCTGCCCAGGCTGGAGTGCAGTGGTGTGATCTTGGCTCACTGCAACCTCTGCCTCCTGAGTTGAAGCGATTTCCAGCTCATTTTTGTATTATTAGTAGAGACGAGAGGTTTCACCATGTTGACCAGGTTGGTCTCCAACTCCTGACCTCAAGTGATCCGCCCTCCTCAGCTTCCCAAAGTGCTGGGATTACAGGTGTGAGTCACCGCGCCCAGCCTTGGCTATTGTTTTTTTTAGCAACTTTTTTTTTTTGGAGATGAGGGCTCACTTTGTCACCCAGGTGGAGTGCAATGATGCGATCATAGCTCGCTGCAGCCTGTAATTCCTGGGCTCAAGCAATTCTCCTACCTTGTCCTCCCAAAGTGCTGGGATTACAGGCACGAGCCACTGTGCCCGGCCTTAACATTTTAAATTGAGGTATAACTTAGAGTGAAGTGAACACATTTTAAGTGTACAGCTCTATGAATTTTTGCATGTATGTTCAGATCAGGATAGAGAATAGTTCAACACCCCAGAATGCACCTTCTCATCCCTTACCAGACAAAACTTCACAAGGTCACCCTGACTCTGACCTTTTGTCTCCAGAGATTAATTCAGCCTTGTTTTGAACTTCATATACATGGAATCATACAGTGTATGCTTTTTGGAAATTGAGAAATCATAAGATTCATCCTTTCAAATGTGGACAACTCAGTGGGTTTTTTGTTTTTTGTTTTTTGTTTTTTTTGAGGCAGGGTCTCTCTCTGTTGCCCAGGCTGAAGAGCAGTGGCACAATCATAGCTCACTGCAGCCTCGAACTCCCTAACTCAGGTGATCCTCCTACCTCAGCCTCCCAAGTAGCTGGAACTATAGGCGTGGGCCACCACGCCTGGCTAATTTTTTTATTTTTAGTAGAGACGAGGTCTCAATTATTTGCCCAGGTTGGTCTTGACCTCCTGAGTTCCAGTGATCCTTCTGCCTTGGCCCCCCAAAGTGCTGGGATTACAGGCATGCGCCACCATGCCTGGTCCAACTCAGTGGTTTTTAGAATATTCACAAAGTTGTCCAACTATCACTACTGTCTGATTTTTGGAAGTTTTTGTCATCCCAAAAGCAATCCCCCATTCCCCCTATTCCCCCTAGCCCTAGGCAACCACTGGTTTTCTCTTTTCTTTTTTTTTTTTTTTTCTTTTTTTTTTTGAGATGGAGTTTCACTCTCTTTGCCCAGGCTGGAGTGCAGTGGCGTGATCTCAGCTCACTGCAACTTCCACCTCCCGGGTTCAAGTGATTATCCTGCCTCAGCCTCCTGGGTAGCTGGGATTACAGGCATGCACCACCACGCCCAGCTAATTTTGTATTTTTAGTAGAGATGGGGTTTCTCCATGTTGGTCAGGTTGGTCTAGAACTCCCGACATCAGGTGATCCACCCACCCCGGCCTTCCAAAGTGCTGGGATTACAGGCGTGAGCCACCGTGCACGGCCTAGCTGTACCATTTTACATTCCCATCAGCAGTGTATAAAGGTTCTAATTTCTCCAAATCCCCATACATACACACATACATCTTTTTTTTTTTTTTGAGACAGTATCTCATTCTGTCAACCCAGGCTGGAATCCAGTGGCACGACATAGCTCATTGCAGCCTCGAACTCCTGGGCTCAAGCAGTCTTCTTGCTTCAGCCTCTTGAGTAGCTGGGACTACAGGTGTGTGCCATCACACCCAGTTAGTATTTTTTAATTTTTTGTAGAGACGAGGTCTCCCTGTATTGCAGTGGCTGGTCTCGAACTCCTGGGCTCAGGCAGTCCTCCTGTCTTGGCCTCCCAAAGTGCTGGGATTACAGGCATGAACCACTGTGCCTGGCCTCAGTCTTTCAAATAGCTGCACAGTGTGGGTTGTACAGTGGTTAATTTCACCATCTTCCTCCTGAGGCATGTGGGCACACCTGCCTGTTGAGGGCCCCCCACGATACAGTTGCTAGAGTGCGTGTGTGAGCTTTAGCAGGTAAGGCCAAACGAATTTCCATAGTAGCACTTCCAGCAACAAGGCACACGTCTTCCAGCTGCCCCACTTTCTCACCAGCACTTGGTGGTGTCAGTCCTTCTCATTTTAGCCATTCTGGTGGCTAAATGGATTCTTGCCCCTTCTTTTCATCCCTGCCTCTGCACACCAGCCAGGGCTGACGTCTCTGTGGGGTCTTAGGGCTTTTGTGGAGCTCTCTGCCTCAGAGCTGAGCAGGACCCAGGAGGTACTAGAAGAAACCCGAGTGGTCATTCAGCTTGAAGGGCTGCACTCATGCCCCCCATGGCCATCGGTGGGAGGATGCACCATCCAGTTTCATGGCTTTGTGTAGCTTTCTACTATATGTACTTTACATGAACAGCATCATCAGAAAGGTGGAGAATGGAAAAATAATTCACGTGCCCATTTTGCAGATGAGTGAATAGAGGCTCAGAGAGGTGAGCGTCACTTCAGAAGTCATAAGCCGTGAGGCTCGATGGCAGCAGGTGGTGGAGCTCAGCTTTCTGTACCGCTCTCCGGGGCCTCCCAGTGCCTTGGTGCCCTGTCCACACTTCCCATAATTCCCTGCACTGCAGGGTCCTTTCCCTCCAGCCATGTCATGTGCATACAGAGGACGCCCACCCCTGCTGGAAGTCTGGAAGTCTGTCCTCTCTGGCTGCCCCTTCCTGGTCTCCTCTGCCTGACCCTCCTGCCTTGCACAGCCCCTACATGTTGAGACCCTGAGGCTCCTGTTGTCCCTGCAGGGGATAATCCAACCCCTGACCCATGCCTTAAGGCACTGTGTGGCCTGGGCTTGTTTTAGCTCATGCGTGCATCACCCCCATGGCCTCTGCGCCTCAGCCCGCATTGCCCTCATCCCCCGATGCAGCCCCTCCCCCAGGGCCTTTGCACTCACTGCCGCCTGTGCTGCGCTGTCCTTGCCACCAGGCCTCCTTTCCTCTGTGGCCTCTGGTCTCAGCGGAAATGACCCCTGCCCTGAGAGGCCTGCCCTGCACCCATGGTCTGCATGGGGTCTCCCTGGTCACTTTTCTCAGCCCCTGTCACATCCGTCACGGCACTCAACTTGGTCTGTAATGGCACGTGCCTGTCTGACATCTGTAAACCAGTGAGAGCAGAATCAGGTTTCATTTATTCACCACGCTGACCCTCATGACTAGTTCGGTGTCATGTACACAGAAGGTGCTCAATAAACACTTGATGGCCAGGTGTGGTGGCTGATGCCTGCCATCAGGGCCCTTCGGGAGGCCGAGGTGGGAAGATCGCTTGAGCCCAGGAGTTTGAGATCAGCCTGGGCAACGTGGCAAGACCTTGTCTCTATAAAAAAAGATTCAAAAACGAGCCAGCTGTAGTGGTGCATCTTTATAGTCCCAGCTACTCAGAGGCTGAGGTGGGAGGATCACTTAAGCCCAGGAGGCAGAGGTTGCAGTGAGCTGTGATCCTGCCACTGCCCTCTAGCCTAGGTGACAGAGACCCTGGGTCAAAAAAAACAGAAAACAAAAACTCGATGGCCGGGCACAGTGGCCCACACCTGTAGTCCTAGCACTTGGTGGGACTCAGGTGGGAGGATTGCTTGAGGCCAGGAGTTCAAGACCAGCCTGGGTAACACAGTGAGACTTAAAAAAAATTTTTTTTAATTAGCCAAGTGTGGTGGTGCACGCAGTGGTCCCAGGTCCTGGGGAGGCTGAGATGGGAGAATCACTTGAGCCTGGGAGGTCAAGGCTGCAGTGAGCTGTGATCATGCTACTGCACTTTAGCCTAGGTGACAAAGCAAGACCCTGTCTCTAAACAAACAGGCTGGGCGCAGTGGCTCACGCCTGTAATCCCAGCACTTTGGGAGGCTGAGGAGGGCAGATCACTTGAGGTTAGGAGTTCGAGACCAGCCTGGCCAACATGGTGAAATCCTGTCTCTACTAAAAATACAAAAATTGCCAGGCGCATGCCTGTAGTACCAGCTACTCAGGAGGCTGAGGCAGGAGAAGTCCTTGAACTGAGGAGGTAGAGGTTGCAGTAAGCCAAGATCGTGCCACTGCACTCCAGCCTGGGCAATAAAGTGAGACTCCGTCTCAAAAAAATAAAAAAAAAAACAAAAAAACTTGATGGGTGAACATTCTGATGGGGGTACACATATGCAAAAATATGTGAGGGCACCCCCAGAAGGTGGCTCTGTCTGGGAGAAAGTGGGGACTAGAGTCTGCCCCGTGGTGACACATTCTGGTGACCTTAAGAGAGCCTTTTGCATCTCGTGCCCTGGTGACAAGGCAGCTTGGTATCATGGAGAAGACACGGGATCTGGAGTCAGAAAACCTGGGCTTGAGTTTTTGGCTGTAAGACTTTGAGAAAAAAAAATATCTCTGGGCCTCAGTTTTTCATATATGTAAAATGAGACTGATGTTAGAAACAACAGTAATGATAATAAGACCCATTTCCAGTGGTTGGGAATGAGAATGAAATAAGGTCCAGGGTGTAAAGCAGTTTATCCTTCCTGGGCTTGGCAGGAGTACGTTGCCCTTTGGGAGTGCAGAAGAAGAACCAGTTCCCGTTCACTGGCCAGCCTCAGGCATCTGTCATGTGTGGGGCCCTGGAATACAGAGACGAATGAGACAGGCTGATGCCTCTAGGACGATCATATAAAATCCCAAGCTCAAGCTCAGGACCCAGGCCTTACCTGGCTTTGTGGCACTGGCATCGTCGCCTGCTGTTCTGGAAACACACCAGGGATGCTTGTTCATGGTGGTGACCACCAAGACAAGAGAGAGGAGGTCAGCGGCAAGGACTCTGATGCAATGGCGCACCCGGGGGGGAAAGTCATGCCAAAGAAATAGCTGAGGGGTTGCCTCTGTGCTTTCTCCTCATGGGATTAGATCTGGCTGCATGTCCTGAGTCCCGGGGGCTAAGGAGGGACGTTTCCCCCTTGTTCACCTCGGATTGAGCCTGGCCATTGCAGGCCAGCCCAGGCTTCACGGAGCAGGTGTGCACTGGCAGCCCCAGCACCTACGGAAGGCTGAATAATGGCCCCAAAATATCAGGTCCTAGTTCCTAGAACCTGTGGATGTCACCTGATGTGGTAATGTCTTTGCAGTTGTGTTATTTCATTCCAGATCTTTCTTTTTTTTTTTTTTTTTTGAGATAGAGTCTCGCTCTATCACCCAGGCTGGAGTGCAGTGGCGCCATCTCGGCTCACTGCAAGCTCCGCCTCCTGGGTTCACGCCATTCTCCTGCCTCAGCCTCCCGAGTAGCTGGGATTACAGGCGTGCACCACCATGCCTGGCTAATTTTTTGTATTTTTAGTAGAGACAGGGTTTCACCGTGTTAGCCAGGATGGTCTCGATCTCCTGACCTCGTGATCCACCCGCCTCAGCCTCCTAAAGTGCTGGGATTACAGGCATGAGCCACCACTCCCGGCCAGATCTTGAGATGGGGATGTTATCCTGGCTTACTTGGGTGAGCCCAGAATGTAATCACAGGTGTCCTTGTAAGATGGAGGCAGGGAGAGATTTGGCACTGACAGAAGAGGAGAAGGCCACGGGACCACAGAGGCAGAGACTGGAGAAATGTCACCACAAGCCGAGAAGTGCTGGTGGCCACTAGAAGCTGGAAGAGGGAAGGAACGAAATCTCTCTGGGCCAGGCACGGTGGCTCATGCCTATATAATCCCATTGCTTTGGGAGGCTGAGGCGAGTGGATCGCTTGAGGTCAGGAGTTTGAGACCAGCCTGGCCAACGTGGTGAAACCCCATCTGTACTAAAAATACAAAAAAATTAGCCAGGTTGTGGCAGGTGCCTGTAATCCCAGATACTTGGGAGGCTGAGGCAGAAGAATCGCTTGAACCGGGGAGACAGAGGTTGCAGTGAGCTGAGATCGCGCCACTGCACTCCAGCCTGGGCTACAGAGTGAGACTCTGTCTCAAAAAAAAAAAAAAAAAAAAAAAAAAAAAAAAGGCCAGGCGTGGTGGTTCACGCCTGTAAATCCCAGCACTTTGGGAGGCCAAGGTGGGTGGATCACAAGGTCAGGAGATCGAGACCATCCTGGCTAACATGGTGAAACCTGACTCTCCTAAAAATACAAAAAATTAGCCGAGCGTGGTGGCGGGGACCTGTAGTCCCAGCTACTTGGGAGGCTGAGGCAGGAGAATCACTGGAACCCAGGAGGGGGAGGCTGCAGTGAGCCGAGATCTCACCACTGCACTCCAGCCTGGGTGACACAGTGAGACTCTGTCTCAAAAAAGAAAAAAAAAATCTCCCTTAGAGGTCCAGAGGAAGCATGGCCCTGGTAACACCTTGATACCTTGATTTCAGGTTCATTTGGACCTTCTGGCTTCTAGAGCTATGAGAAAATAAATTTCTGATGTGTTAGGATACCACAATTATTGGTCATTTGTTACAGCAGGTGCAGGAAACTGACATAGCACCCATCCTCACAGGTCATTAATTCAACAATAACTTAATGGGCACCTGCGGTGTGCCAGGCACCATATGGGGCCCAGGGAATGTAACAGTGACTAGGGCAGATAGGGCCTTGCCCTCCTGTGGCTGACAGTCTAGTTAGGGTTAGGGATGAGGGGTGGGCCTCACCCGCCTGCGGTGTGCCAGGCACCATCTTCAGGGCTCTGTGTGTATTAACTGTGAAAGTTGTCTGAATCAAAATGGGGTCACCAATGTTACCCAAAACCCTGACAAATGGAACCCGGGAAAGCCATGAAGAGAGGGTTTTCACGCTTGCATGCCCGATAACAAAAAAGACTCTGGAAAAACGACAGCTTTGCACAAAGGCCTTTGTAACCTTACACAAAAAGACTTCTGCTACGACGTCTGCCCGGCAGTGGCCGGTCCAGCCTCAGACTACAGTCACCCTTGTTATTGATCTTTGTAGCCAAGTATAATTATTAATATTTCAAAACAATTATGTAACCCTCCTTATTTTTTCCTTTAAAAATCGTTGTCTTCCTTTACCTCCCTGAATACACATAGTTTACTATGGCAGGTGGATTCCCATTGCAACGCTCTACTCCCAAATAAGTAGCTTTTCCTTTTTTTTTTTTTTTTTGAGACGAAGTTTCACTCTTGTTGCCCAGGCTGGAGTACAGGGGTATGATCTCAGCTCACCACAACCTCCACCTCCCCTCCCAGGTTCAAGTGATTCTCCTGCCTCAGCCTCCCGAGTAGCTGGGATTACAGGCATGCGCCACCACGCCTGGCTAATTTTGTATTTTTAGTAGAGACGGGGTTTCTCCATGTTGGTCAGGTTGGTCTCGAGCTCCCGACCTAGGTGATCTGCCTGCCTGGGCCACCCAGAGTGCTAGGATTACAGTTTTTGTTTTGTTTTTTGGGGTTGTTTTTTTTCTTTTCTTTCTTTTTTTTTTTTTTTGAGACAGAGTCTCGAACTGTTGCCCAGGCTGGAGTGCAGTAGCGTGATCTTGGCTCACTGCAACCTCCGCCTCCCGGGTTCAAGCGAGTCTCCTGCCTCAGCCTCCCGAGTAGCTGGGACTACAGGCGCTCACCACCAGGGCTAGCTAATTTTTGTATTTTTAGTAGAGACGGGGTTTCACAGTGTTGGCCAGGATGGTCTCGATCTCTTGACCTTGTGATCCGCCCACCTCGGCTTCCCAAAGTGCTGGGATTACAGGCGTGAGCCACCGGCACCCAGCCTGAGGTTTTTTGTTTGTTTGTTTGTTTGTTTGTTTTGAGACAGGGTCTTCTGTCACCCAGGCCTGGAGTACAGTGGTGCAATCAGAGCCCACTGCAGCCTCGAACTCCTGGGCTCAAGTGTTCCTCCCTCGTCAGCCTCCTAAGTAGCTGAGATTACAAGTGGACACCACCACGCTTGGCTAGTTAAAAAAAAAAAAATCTTTTTGTAGAAACAGGGTCTTGTTATGTTGCCCAGGCTGCTCTCAGACTCCTAGCCTCAGCGATCCTCCTGCCTCAGCCTCCCAAAGCACTGGGATTACAGGTGTGAGCCAAGATGCGTGGCCATCTTTTATTTTATTTTATTTTTAAATTTTATTTACTTTTTATTTTTGGGACAGAGTCTTGCTGTTGTCACCCAGGCTGGAGTCCAATGGCACGATCTCGGCTCACTGCAACCTCCACCTCCCAGGTTCAAGCAATTCTCCTGCCTCAGCCTCCCGAGTAGCTGGGATTACAGGTGCCCGCCACCATAGCCGGCTAATTTTTTTTTTGTATTTTTAGCAGAGAGGGTTTCACCATGTCGGCCAGGCTGGTCTCAAACTCCTGACCTCAGGTGATCCAACCGCCTCAGCCTCCCAAAGTGCTGGCATTACAGGCATGAGCCACCACGCCTGGCCCATCTCTTATTTTAGAGAACCTTTCTCTGTTCATCATTTAGGTTGACATAATCAATCCTCACAACAGCCCTATGAGTTGCGGGGACTGTTATCACCCTACTTTATAGGGTGGAAACTGAGGCATAAAGAGGCTAGCTCCAAACCAAACTGCTGATAAATAGGAGAGCCAGTGTCTGAGCTTGAGCCCAGCCTGAATCACTGTGCAGCGTCATCTTTCGTCAGATAAAAGAATGTAAGAGGCTGGGTGCGGTGGCTCACGCCTGTAATCCCAGCACTTCGGGAGGCCGAGGTGGGCGGATCACTTGAAGTCAGGAGTTTGAGACCAGCCTGGTCAACATGGCAAAACCCTGTCTCTACTAAAAATACAAAAATTAGCCAGGCGAGGTAGCACATGTCTGTTGCCTCGAGCTACTTGGGAGGCTGAGGTGGGAAGATCACTTGAGCCTAGGAGGCAGAGGTTGCAGAAAGCCAAGATTGTACCACTACACTCCAGCCTGGGCAACAGAGTGAGAATCTGTCTCAAAAAAAAAAAAAAAAAAAAAAAGAAAGGGACACATAGGAACTGTAAAAAGTGCCATAAAGGTAATACATGAGGCCGGGCGCGGTGGCTCACGCCTGTAACCCCAGCACTTTGGGAGGCCGAGGCGGGCGGATCACGAGGTCAGGAGATCGAGACCATCCTGGCTAACACGGTGAAACCCCGTCTCTACTAAAAATACAAAAATTTAGCCGGGCGTGGTGGTGGGCCCTGTAGTCCCAGCTACTCAGGAGGCTGAGGCAGGAGAATGGTGTGAACCCGGGAGGAGGAGCCTGCAGTGAGCCGAGATCGCGCCACTGCACTCCAGCCTGGGCGACAGAGCGAGACTCCGTCTCAAAAAAAAAAAAAAAGTAATACATGGTGGGTCAGGGATGGAGAGAAGCGAATGAATGAGGTGTGGGGGAGGTAGAGGCTGTCACTGAGTGGTCAGAGGAAGGGAGGCCTCTGTGAAGAGGTGACATTTGGGCTGAGGCCTGAAAAATGAAGCGCGCCAGCCACAGGGAGATGAGAAGGAAGGGACTGATGGGCAAGGAAGAGGCCTCAAGGTGGGAATGACCTCGGGGGGAATCAAGGAATAGAAAGCAGGCACCGGGGAGGGCGAAGGGCGTGAGTGGAGAGTGGAGAGGATGAGGCTGGGGAGGAGGCCGGGGGGCCACTAAGACCTCAGTTTCATCCTCAGCAGAAGTGGTGGATGATTTCAACATAGGAGTAAGGCGGGCTCACCTGCCGGTCTCACTTGCCCACCCAGGCATGTCAGAGCGGGAGCGACAGGTGATGAAGAAGCTGAAGGAGGTGGTGGACAAACAACGCGACGAGATCCGCGCCAAGGACAGGGAGCTGGGCCTGAAAAATGAGGACGTTGAGGCTGTGAGTGACACACCCCTGACCTGCGTCCACCCTCCCAGCCAGTAGGTGCCAGCCAGAGACCAGACCCTCCACTCAGCAGGCCCCTTCTCTCCCTCACTCTCATTCTTGGGGCTCCGTGGGGTGTGGATCCTGCTCATGGCTTGGCGGGCCCAGCCTGGAAACTTCAAGTCTTCACTGGCAGAGCAGGAGGAAACGTGGCACTGCCCGGTGAGCAGGCTCCTCCCGCCTCCTGGGAAGGTCCCGAGGCCTGGGCAGACTTTGCTCTGACCCCAAGGCCTCCTCCAGCCCCACCACTTCATGCCTCTCTGTGAGCAGACTTAGCAGGGTCCAGCGTGCTCCAGGAACCCATACAGTGTCTCTGTGTAAATCAGAAAAAAATGCCCCTTTCTGAAGGCATGTTACTTCCATTTGTTGGGAAATTTTCATAATGTATTAATTCTAGCAAGACACCCTTCCATCTGCCATAAAATTATCATAGAAAATACACAAATTGCCCATCTCTAGCATCATCAGCTATAAGAATACGAACAACTTTCAAACAAAGATGTCTGCAATGTAAATGGCACACCTATGGATGGTTTGCCGTTGTGCAGTGTACAACCTGAGCTACCGCAGGTGGCAGCCCCGCACAATGGTCTCCCTTTTTCTACAGTTACAGCAGCAGCAGACACGGCTGATGAAGATCAACCATGACCTTCGGCACCGGGTCACGGTGGTGGAGGCCCAGGGGAAAGCCCTGATCGAACAGAAGGTGGAGCTGGAGGCAGACCTGCAGACCAAGGAGCAGGAGATGGGCAGCCTGCGAGCAGAGCTGGGGAAGTTGCGAGAGAGGCTGCAGGGGGAGCACAGCCAGAATGGGGAGGAGGAGCCTGAGGTGAGCAGGAAGCTGGGTGCAGAGGTGGTAGCAGAGGGTCAGTCTGGGGGTTGGCTTAAGGCAGGCAGGGTTGCCTTGTTTTCCCCATTATACTTCAGAAAATGGCCAACCTGGGCAACATAGCAAGACCCCAATTCTCTACAAACATTTTTTTTAATTAGCCACGCGTGGTGGTGCACACCTGTAGTACCAGCTGCCTGCCTGGGAGGCTTAGGCAGGAGGATCACTTGAGCCCAGGAGTTCAAGGCTGCAATGAGCCATGATTGCACAACTGCGCTGCAGCCTGGGTAACAGAGCCAGACCTGTCTAAAAAAAAAAGAGAGAGAGAGAGAGAGAAAAAACGAGAGGCTCAGAGAGAACAAGCTACTGGCCTGAGGACACACAGCTGAGGGGTTGGAACCCCAGACTCCCAGCATTCTCCCATCTCAGTGATGGTTATTAGGCACCTGCCATTTATTTATTCATTCATACCAATGATTGTTGACTGTGTAGCCGGCCCAGAGGATAAAATAGCGAGCAAAATACAGACATGATCCCTGTCCACATGGAGCTTACAGTTTAGTATGGGAGGCAGACATTAGTTAGTCCAGACCTTAATCATTAATCACACAGTACCATATGACCCAGCAATTCCACTCCTAGGCACATATCCAAAAGAATTGAGAGCAGGTGTTCAAACTTTTACATGAAGGCCAGGTGTGGTCACCTGCACTTGTAATCCCAGCCCTTTGAGAGGCTGAGGCAAGGGGATCAAGAAGATCACTTGAGGCCAGGAGCTCAAGACTGGCCTGGGCAACATAGCGAGGTCCTATCTCTACAAAAAATTCTTTAAAAATTAAAAACTTGCTTTTGGGCTGGGTATGGTGGCTCACACCTGTAATCCCAGCACTTTGGGAGGCTGAGGTGGGCAGATGACTTGAGGTCAGGAGTTCAGGATCAGCCTGGCCAACATGGTAAAACCCCGTCTCTACTAAAAAAAAATACAAAATTAGCTGGGTGTGGTGGTGGGCATCTGTTATCCCAGCTACTTGGGAGGCTGAGGCAGGAGAATTGCTTGAACCTCGGAGGCAGAGGTTGCAGTGAGCTGAGATTGCACCACCGCACTCCAGCCTGGGCAACAGAGTGAGTCAGACCCCATCTCAAAAAACAAAAAAAGAAAATCTTAGGTATGGTGGCATATGCCTGTAGTCCCAGTTACTTGGGAAGATGAGGCAGGAGGATCACTTGAGCCCAGGAGTTTGAGGATGCAGTGAGCCATGATTGAGCCATTGCTCTCCAGCCTGGGCAACAGAGTGAGACCCTATAGCAGCACTATTCACAGTCGCCAAAAGGTGGAAACAACCCACATGTCCATCAGCAGATGAATGGGTGAACAGTGGTCTCTCCATACAGGGGGATATGATTCAGCTCTAAAGAGGAATGCAGCCCTGGCCACGCGGCAGCACGGATGAGCTGCAAAAACATCACGCGGAGTGAAAGAAGCCAGGCCCAAAAGGCCAGTGTGTGACTCCATTTGCACGAAATGTCCCAGAACAGGCAAATCCATAGAGCCAGAAAGTAGACTGGTGTCCGAATGGGGCTGGGGGAGGGAGGAATGGGGAGTGACTGCCGATGGGCATGGAGTTCCCTTTGGGGACGATGGAAATGATCCGGAATTAGAGAGCGGTGATGGTCGCACAACACTGTGCATGTTACTGTCCGCGTGGCCAGAGCTGTCCATCACAGCTGCAGCTAACATCCAGGTAGGCCCAGGGCTACAAAGTGGGCACTAGCGGTGTCTGTTCCTTAAATGTGCCCCCAGACTGTGCCAGGAACACAGAGGGTGAGATCGTTCATCCTGGCAGAGGTGGGGAGGTGGGGTTTCAGGGAAGAGCTGTTCCTGAAGCCGGGCGTCAGTGTTAACAATGCTGAGACTTTGACAGATAGAAATGTGGACAATGGAGATGCTGTTTCAGAAAAGTATAGTGAACTTTAGGGACACACTCAGGCTTGTGTTTTCTCCCAGCAGATGTTTATGAGCTGTTGAAAGTTTGCAGACGCTGCACTAGTAACCTGAGTTACAGGTAGGGGAGGTAGGACAGACAAGCTCACAGTCAGGTGGGTTCAAGTCCCAGTAGTCATTAGGTATCCTGTGAATTTGGTAGTTACTTCCAGGTTTGCTGTAGGACAGGACAGGCATCTGGGATACAAATGAGGAAGGTCAGGGAGAGAAGTCTTAAAAGGGAGTAGTTGCCAGGCATGGTGGCTCACACCTGTAATCCCAGCACTTTGGGAGACCGAGGCAGGCAGATCACTTGAGGTCAGGAGTTCGAGACCAGCCTGGCCAATATGGTGAAGCCCCATCTCTACTAAAAATACAAAAATTAGCTGGGCGTGGTGGTGCACACCTGTAGTCCCAATTACTTTGGGGGGCTGGGACAGGAGAATTGCTTGAACCCGGGACGTGGAGGTTGTGGTGAACTGAGATCACGCCACTGCACTCCAGCCTGGGCGACAGGGGTGAGACTCTGTCTCAAAAAAAGAAAAAAGAAAAAAAAAGGAGTGGTTAAGGGCTGCTTTTGGCTAAAAATGACATAAGCCTAAGTTAAAATGGTTTAAGAGTTGGGAGGCCAAGGCAGGCCGATTTCCTGAGCTCAGGAGTTCAAGACCAGCCTGGCTAACGTGGCGAAACCCCGTCTCTACTAAAATACAAAAAATTAGCCAGGCATGGTGGTGTGCGCCTGTAGTCCCAGCTACTCGGGAGGCTGAGGCAGAAGAATTGCTTGAACCCAGGAGGCGGAGGTTGCCGTTAGCTGAGATCGCACCACTGCACTCCAGCCTGGGCAACGGAGCGAGACTCTGTCTCAAAAAAAAAAAAAAAAAAAAACTGGGGCCAGGTGCGGTGGCTCACGCCTGTAATCCCAGCACTTTGGGAGGCCAAGGCAGGCGGATCACAAGGTCAGGAGATTGAACCCATCCTGGCTAACATGGTGAAACCCCATCTCTACTAAAAATACAAAAAATTATCCAGGCATGGTGGTGGACACCTGTAGTCCCAGCTACTCGGGAGGCTGAGGCAGGAGAATGGCGTGAACCCAGGAGGCGAAGCTTGCAGTGAGCCGAGATCGCACCACTGCACTCCAGCCTGGGTGACAGAGTGAGACTCTGTCTCAAAAAAAAAAAAAAAAATGTTTAAGAGGGAAAAAACGAATTTATTGACTGTGTAACTAAAAGCTCTTAGGGGTAGCTTCAGGTACAGCTGGCTCCAGGTGTTCATGAGCTGCTCTCAGGAATGTGGCTCCGACCTTCTCAGGCCCTGCTTTCCTCTGTGCTGTTGTCATTCTCAGCCAGGCTCTTGCCTACAGTTGCCACTAGTATTTGACCAGCATAGCAACCCCAGTCAAAAGAAATGGCCTCTTTCCCTAGAGTCCCAGCAAAAGCCTCAGGAAATCCTCATTGGCCTATCACCGAAACAACTACTGTGGCCAGAGACCTAGAATATGCATGTTTATTCCTGAGTCACATGGCTGCGACTCAAGCCACATGGACTAAAAGTGGGAGGGAGGTCTTTCTCCAGAAGAAAACGGCAGTGACTTAGCGCAAAGACCTGAGGGAAGGATAAAGGCCAGGCAGAGACAACAGCTGTCGTCTGCAGTGCTGGGGAGTCGGCACCCAGGGACCACACAGAGCTCTGAGTAGTAGGGGTGCGGGTCCCTCGCAGGGGTTCAGCAGGCGAGCGATACACTCAGCTGTTTCACTGGAGGACAGGGAAGGAGCTTGTGGCAGACATGGTTGGCAGGAGCCCTTTGCAATAACCCAGGTGAGAATGTGAGGGCTGAACTCAATCTATGACAGTGGGAAGGAAGCTGGTGCCAAAGACAACCTCCAGGCTGAGGGTGGTGCGGTCGCCACCTCTGCCCTGCTCCCTGCTCCTAGTGTGCCCCTTCCAACCTTCAGGCCCCACGGGAGCTCAGGCTGGTCTCCTGGCCAGGCAGGGCCTGGCCCACACCGGGGTCTCAAGAACATCGAGACTCCCAGCGCTGTTCCAGGACTCTTGAGCAGCAAGGGACATTTCACACCACCTTGGCGCGACTGCCTGTCAGTTTCAGCTTCCCTGTCTGGCAGCCAATGGGGCAGGGAAGAGAGGAGGGAGTAAAATCAGGCTGCGGTAATGTGAACCCTCCAGGCTGCTTTGCAGTGCGCTTTCCCAGGCTCGGGGCAGCTTTGCTGGGTTCGCATCTATCCCTTGGAGCTCTGTGAGTTCAGGATGCCTGTCAGTCACACAGGGGAGCTGCAGGTTGTGGTGGTTTCATCACTTGCTGCTGTGTGACCTAGGCCTGTCCATCTCTTTGGTGGTCAATTTCGTCATCTGACAAGTGAGGGGAATGAGCTTGACTCAGTAGGTTCACTGTTTCGCGCAGCTGGGAGAGAGGAGTATAAGATCAGGGGAGGGCTTGGTGAAGTCAAGAGGCAGGGACAGGGCCAGGCGCAGTGGCCCACACCTGTAATCCCAGCACTTGGGGAGGCCAAGGCGGGTGGATCACCTGAGGTCAGGAGTTTGAGACTAGCCTGGGCAACATGATGAAACCCCCGTCTCTACTAAATATACAAAAAAAGCCAGGCGTGGTGGTGGGTGCCTGTAATCCCAGCTACTCAGGAGGCGAAGGCAGGAGAATCGCTTGAACCCGGGAGGTGGAGGTTGCATTGAGCCGAGATCAAGCCACTGCACTCCAGCCTGGACGACAGAGCAAGACTTCATCTCAAAAAAAAAAAAAAAAAAGAGGCAGGGCCTCAGGACAGATCTTGAAGGCATCGGGCCGGGTCCTGTGTCCCAGGGTGGACTATGGACAGGCCATTCCAGGCAGAGGGAACAGTGAGCTAGGCCGGAGAACGTGCAGCATGTGGCTGGGGTCAGGGGTTTGTCCCAGGGCAGGATTTGGAGGACATGAGAGCTATGGAGGGTTGCAGAGCTAGAAAGGAATCTGTCTCATTGAAGGGGTGGGTTGCCCCTCCACACCTGTGGGTGTTTCTCATAAGGTGGAACGAGAGACTTGGAAAAGAAAAAGACACAGAGACAAAGTATAGAGAAAGAAATAAGGGGACCCAGGGAACCAGTGTTCAGCATATGGAGGATCCCGCCAGCCTCTGAGTTCCTTTAGTATTTATTGATCATTCGTGGGTGTTTCTCCGAGAGGGGGATGTGTCAGGGTCACAAGACAATAGTGGGGAGAGGGTCAGCAGACAAACACGTGAACAAAGGTCTTTGCATCATAGACAAGGTAAAGAATCAAGTGCTGTGCTTTTAGATATGCATACACATAAACATCTCAATGCTTTACAAAGCAGTATTGCTGCCCGCATGTCCCACCTCCAGCCTTAAGGCGGTTTTTCCCTATCTCAGTAGATGGAACGTACAATCGGGTTTTATACCGAGACATTCCATTGCCCAGGGACAGGCAGGAGACAGATGCCTTCCTCTTGTCTCAACTGCAAGAGGCATGCCTTCCTCTTTTACTAATCCTCCTCAGCACAGACCCTTTACAGGTGTCGGGCTGGGGGACAGTCAGGTCTTTCCCTTCCCATGAGGCCATATTTCAGACTATCACATGGGGAGAAACCTTGGACAATACGTGGCTTTCCTAGGCAGAAGTCCCTGTGGCCTTCCGCAGTGTTTGTGTCTCTGGGAGCATGCTGCCTTCAAGCATCTGTTTAAACAAAGCACATCTTGCACCGCCCTTAATCCATTTAACCCTGAGTGGACACAGCACATGTTTCAGAGAGCACGGGGTTGGGGGTAAGTCATAGATTAACAGAATCTCAAGGCAGAAGAATTTTTCTTAGTACAGAACAAAATGGAGTCTCCTATGTCTACTTCTTTCTACACAGACACAGTAACAATCTGATCTCTGTTCCTTTCCCCACATCTCATCATTGCCATGCAGTTCTTTCTAAGCTGTGTCACTGTCATTGCAGTGTGATCACCAGGAGACAAGGCTCTTTCTATTTTTATAACTTCCTTATTGAGATGTAATTCATATGCCATGCACTTCAGCTATTGTGTCCTCATCACCACTGTCCAGAACATTCCCATCACCCCCATCAGAAATCCCTGCTCCTGCGGTAGCTGCCTCCTCCCTTCCCCAGCCCCTGGCCACCAGCAGGCTGTTTCCCTCTGTGTATTTACCTGTTCGGGACATGGCATCAGTGGGATCCTACAACATGTGGTCCTGCCTGGCTTCTTTAACTTAGCATGTTTTCTTGTTAATCCAGGTTCTCATATTTCAACTCAAGGTTTCCTGCCTTTCACAGATTATATGTATATATATATATTTTTTTTTCTTCTTTTTTTTTGAGACAGGGTCTCAGGCCGGGGTGCAGTGGCACAATCTCAGTTCACTGCAACCTCCACCTCCCGGGTTCAAGCCACCATGATAGGCTAATTTTTGTATTTTTAGTAGAGACAGGGTTTCCCCATGTTGGTCAGGCTGGTCTTGAACTCCTGACCTCAAATGATCTGCCTGCCTCTATTTTATTTTATTTTATTTATTTATTTATTTTGAGTCAGGGTCTCACTCCATCACCCAGGCTGGAGTGCAATGGCACGATCTTGGCTCACCACAACCTCCGCCTCCTGGGTTCAAGCAATTCTTGTGCCTCAGCCTCCCGAGTAGCTGGGATTACAGGTGTGCGCCACCACACCCAGCTCATTTTTGTGTATTTTTAGTAGAGACAGGGTTTTACCATGTTGCCCAGGCTGATCTCGAACTCTTGACCTCAAATGATCCGCCTGCTTCGGCCTCCTGCTGGGATTACAGGTGTGAGCCACCGCGCCCAGCCACACGTTTTGATTTCGTAGCAGGTTTTGTTTTTGTTTTGTAAAGTGCGGGCTGCCTGCATAGGGAAAGCAGACAGGCGTATGCTGGCTGAAAGGCGGGCAGAATTTATGCATTGAATTTATGCTAGGCCTGGTGGTGCCAAGTGTGACCAGAGCACAGTCGTTCCCCATTGCTGGGCCAGGGGCTGCTGAGAAGTACTGTGAAGGGGCTGCCGTGGGAGGGCAGGGTGCTTTGAGGCACCCAGGCAGTGAGGAGCATTCCTAAGGCCTCGGGATGGAGGCCCTGACCCAGGATGCTGCCTCCCTAAGGCCTCTGGGCAGCCTCGTGGCTTGTTAGTTGGTCTCTTGGGCCTTCCTGGGAAGCAGCTGAGGCCTCAGGGTATCGCTCTGAAGCTGTGCCCAGAGTACCTCCAGGGATCAGCAGACAACCCACAAAAGGCCCCAGCTTATCTCAGCTAACCCGAGCCACCTCCCGGTCCCGCATGGAGTAAGCCTAGGAGGACCACGGCAGATGGAGCTCGATTGCCATCTTGGAAAGAGCCTCCTTGGTCCCTCCCAGTCTGAACCGGATAGTCCTGGGCTGCCCGTGGCCCTGCGGTCACTGCCTGGTGGCCTCTCGAGAAGCTGGAGCCCAGGGCTGTCCTTCTGCCTGTACTTTCAGGCAATAGTATTAGAAGTCAGGGCGGGCATGGTGGCTCACGCCTGTAATCCCAACACTTTGGGAGGCTGAGGCAGGCGGATCACCTGAGGTCAGGAGTTTAAGACCAGCCTGGCCAACATGGCGAAAGCCCATCTCTACTAAAAATACAAAATTAGCCAGGCATGGTGGCGCATGCCTGTACTCCCAGCTACTTGAGAGGCTGAGGCAGGAGAATCACTTGAACCCAGGAAGCAGAGGTTGCGGTGAGCTGAGATCATGCCATTGCACTCTAGCCTGGGCAACAAGAGCAAAACTCTGTCTCAAAAAAAAAAAAAAAAAGTCAGGACTTTGGGGCCAGACACAATGGCTCACGCCTGTAATCCCAGCACTTTGGGAGGCTGAGCCAGGAGGATTGTTTAAGCCCGGGAGTCCGAAACCAGCCTGGGCAACAAAGTGAGACCCCATCTCTAATGAAATATAAATAAAATTAAAAAAAAAAGAGAGTAAGGACTTTTGCATACCTTGCTGGGATTTCCCCAAACTCTAAAGGAATCAGGCCATTCCTCCCCAAAAATGAACTGTCCCTTCTCCAGAAAAAAAAGAACTCAGGTTCTAAGGAAGCCCTTCAATGTCTTGGGCAGTTAAAACCCAATAGGGGTGAGCAGAAAATTCCTGTGGCTTTGAAAGTGTGTGTTCACAGAAATCCCCAGGTACCTGGGTGGGAAGGGCCCTTGGAAATATTTCTGGGTTATCAAGGGCTAGATGGGGAGATGAAAGCCCAGACATAGGGGCGGGTGGCTTTGCCCAGAGGCCTCTCGAGAGGTGGGGGTTTGGGAGTTCCTTTGAAGGGCTTTGCTCTTTCCCCAGGGTGTGGGGACGGCTGTCAGATGGTCCCTCCCAGAGACACAGGAGAGGCAAGGCCCTGACCTGCTATGAAAGGCAGGACCCGAGCTGTCTGAGGAGGAAGGGACTGGAGGGAGCTTGGGGTTCGGGTCCATAGCAGGGGCCACTGCTGCCTGCAGGGTCCAGGCAGGAGAAGGAGAAAGGGGATGGAAAAGGGAGCAGCTGCTGCTCGGAAACAGCCCAGCGTTGCCAGTGGGGCCTGATCTTCCAGCGCACTTTCCACAGGAAGCCCAAAATGCAAACTTCAATATGAAATCTCCTAATCTTAAAGAGTTCGCAGCTAATTCAACAGAGTTTTAGAACACAGTGAAGGCCAAACAAAATGTGGGCCAGCAGCACTGGGATGGTCTAAGAGCTTAGTTTGCAACCTCTGATCTATACTACTAATGCCCAGAGTTCCTGGTGAACTCCTACATATTCGTCAAGACCCCATGCATAGAGACCACATCTGATTAACATCTTCCCTGATTCTCTCCAGTTAGATCTTGTGTCTGTGCACTATTTTTTTTTTTTTTAAGATGGAGTCTTACTCTGTCGCTCTGTCGCCCAGGCTGGAGTACAGTGGCACCGTGTCAGCTCACTGTAACCTCCATCTCCTGGGTTCAAGCAATTCTCCTGCCTCAGCCTCCCGAGCAGCTGGGATTACAGGTGCCCACCACCATGCCTGACTAATTTTTGTGTTTTTTAGTAGAGACGGGGTTTCACCATGTTGGCCAGGCTGGTCTCGATCTCCTGACTTCGTGATCCACCCACCTCAGCTTCCCAAAGTGCTGAGATTACAGGCGTGAGCCACTGTGCCTGGCCGCCCAGCTAATTTTTGTATTTTCAGTAGAGATAGCGTTTCACCATGTTGTCCAGGCTGGTCTCGAACTCCTGACTTCAGGTGATCCGCCTGCCTCAGCCTCCCAAAGTACTGGGATTACAGGTGTGAGCCACCACACCTGGCCTTAAGCTTCTATTTATGTGTATCTTCTCTTCAGCCCCATCTGTCTGACTCTGTTCCCAGGGCTGAGCTCCACGGCCAGCAAGGCACAAAGTTAGCTCTCAGTAAATGTTGGATAACTAGACATCCAGGGTTGCTCCTTGGTGAAGCTGGGCCAGGGAAAGAGGAGAACTGGCGCGATTGAATGCCGGCCGCATATCCGTCACCTGTTGTATGTGGTCTTGGGTGGAGACATGGAGTGTGTGGCTGCCGGGTGGTTCCGGAGCATCCCTGGAGGCGCTGCAGAGGAGATCGGACATTGAAGATGTCCTCTGAGGACACAGCCCACCTAAATTGTGGCATCAGCAGACGCCTAGAATACTTTCTTTGGAAATTAAATCCTCCAACATTTCCTCCCCTTGTTCTTGGGTGGGAAGAAGCCCCTCAGCTGCCCAGACAGCTTGCGAGGGCGGCCGGGGTCAGATTTCAGTTTCCCACTGCATGGAGGCCCCTCCTCTGCTGCCCCGTGCTGACTCCGACCCCAAGGCTGGGCAGGGTCAGCTTGCTCCCCCAACCTGGGCCTGCTGTGTGTGGCTCTGCTGTCACCTGACGTGCCCCAGCAGTGGGTGTTGTCTCCTTTCACACGTCCTTTCCCAGAACAGCCGGTTCCAGCCTCCCACAGGGTGTGAAGCCTCTCGGCTCTGCCTTCTGGAATCCCTCAGCCTCCTGTCCAGGGCACATTCAGGCTGGAGTTAGTCCCCTTCTCCCTGTGCTGCTATGGGGTTTTTCTTCTTCTTCTTCTTTTTTTTTTTTTTTTTTTGAGACAGGGTCTCACTTTGTTGGAGACACTGCCTTAAGTGCAGTGGCACAGTCTTGGCTCACTGCAGCCTCCACTTCCTGGGCTCAGGTGATCCTCATGCCTCAGCCTCCTATGTAACTGGGACTACAGGGGCAAGCCACCATGCCCAGTTAATTTTCTTTTCTTTTTTGTAGACATGAGGTCTTGCTATGTTGCCCGGGCTGGTCTGAATCTCCTGGGTTCTAGTGATCCTCCTGCCTCAGCCTCCCAAAGTGCTAGAATTAGGAGTGTGAGCCACGGTGCCGGGCCTATGGAGTTTTTCTTGAGGTTGGGAAGGACGTCTGTTTCCTCTCCCTTTCCCTGTTCTGGAGCTTTTTCACTGCTGTCCTGACCTCTGTCTACTCCTGGTTGGTCACGGGACATTGGTGGCTCAGGAGTGTTGGGGACACTCCATTCCTTTGAGAGTGTGGGCTACCTGTAGATTGACTGGCTGACTTGCAAAAGCTTCCTTGTGATTAAGAAAAAAAAGGAAAATAACTGTTGGCAAGAATATAGAGAAATTGGAACCCTTGTGCATTGCTGGTGGGAATGTAAAATAGAGCAGCTGCCGTGGGAAACGGTTTGACAACTCCTCAACAAGTTAAACACAGAATTAGCCCATGACCCAGCAATCCCACTCCCAGGTATACAACCAGAAGAACTGAAAACAAGTGTCCACACTAATACAGTTCTTAGCATTGCTATTCACATTAGCCAAAGAGTGGAAACCACTCTGATGTCCGTCAGCTGAAGAATGGATAAACACACTGTGGTACATCTGTACAGTGGAATATGGCTCAGCCATCAAAAGGAGTGAAGTGAGCTGGCGGGGTGGCCCACCCCTGTAATCCCAGCACTTTGGGAGGCTGAGGTGGGTGGATCACCTGAGGACGGGAGTTCAAGACCAGCCTGACCAACATGGTAAAACCCCGTCTCTACAAAAATACAAAACTTAGCCCGGGCATGATGGCGGGTGCCTGTATTCCCAGCTAGCTACTCGGGAGGCTGAGGCGGAAGAATCGCTTGAACCCAGGAGGCAGAGGTTGAAGTGAGCTGAGATCGTGCCATTGCACTCCAGCCTGGGTGACAGAGTGAGATGCCATCTCAAAAAAAAAAAGAGTGAAGTGCTGGTGTGTGCTGCAACGTGGATGAACCTTGGAAACACCGTGCTAAGTGAAAGGAGCCAGGCACAAAAGGCCACTTAATGTATGATTCTGTTTCTGGGAAATGTCCATGGTAGGCAGTCCATAGACAGAAACTACATTGGCATTTGCCAAGGGCTCAGGATAGGGAAGTAGAGAGTGACTGCTTAATAAGTACAGGTTTTCAGCCGGGTGCGGTGGCTCACACCTGTAATCCCAGCACTTTGGGAGGCAAAGGCGGGTGGATCACTTGAGGTCAGGAGTTCAAGACCAGTCTGGCCAACATGGTGAAACCCTGTCTCTACTAAAAATACAAAAATTAGCCAGGCATAATGGCAGGCGCCTGTAATCCCAGGTACTCAGGAGGCTGAGGCAGGAGGATGGCTTGAACCCGGGTGGTGGAGTTTGCAGTGAGCTGAGATCGTGCCACTGCACTCCAGCCTGGGTGACAGAGAGATTCCGTCTCAAAAAAAAAAAAATTGCCGGGTGTGGCGGTACACACCTGTAATCCCAGCTACTCGGGAGGCTGAGGCACAAGAATCGCTTGAAGCCAAGGAGTGGAGGTTGCAGTGAGCTGAGATCATGCCATTGCACTCCAGCCTGGGTGACAGTGAAACTCCATCTCAGAAAAAAATAAAATAATAAGTATGGGTTTTCCTTTTGGTATGAAGAAAATGTTCTAGAACTGGACAGAGGTGGTGGTTGTGTGACATGTGAGTTTACTAAATGTCACTTCCAAATTGTTCACTTTTAAAAGGTTCAAATGGTAAATTTTAGATGATGTATATTTTACCACATTTTTCTAAAAAGGCTCCCTCGCTATGCAAGAAGGTGAGAGGATGGGTGTGGGTGTGACCTGGGGCAGGTGACTTAGCATGATGCTGGGATCTGTTGGTCACCCGCATCACAGAGAAATGGCCGAGTGTGCACCCCCGCCGGGCTTCCACTGAACTCCAGATACTCAAAGCCACTGGGGAGGAGAGGACCTAACCAGAAGGCCCATAACAACAGGGAAAATGGATATGACTTACTGTCAAATGAAAAAGGAATGGAGAATTGTGTGTAGGCTGAGATTCCAGCCACTCTGGCCAAATTAGCAATGGTCTTAGTAAGGAGATGAAAGGAGGCCTGGAAAGGGGGAAGCAGCAGATGTACGAGGGTGGGGGCAGGGGAGGTGTGACAGCTCCTCCCTGGATGCCTTGTCATGTTTGTAATGAAACCCCAAGTCGGGTGGGGAGGTGCGGGGTCCGTGGGTTCGGCTATTGGGAAGGCGAACAATGAACAGGTGGCTGCTGGCTTCCACCTCCAGAGGGAAACTGTACAGAACGTGAGCAAGGGCCGCCTGCGAGTGCTGAAAATAGCACCCTCCACAGGCTGCTGGCACCCCGGGAGGGGGAGAATTTGGGCTCCTTCAGGATAGAGAGTGGGTGCTGGCAGTGGCTGCCAAGAATTCATTAGCAGCATCTCTGCCTCCTCCAGACGGAGCCGGTGGGAGAGGAGAGCATCTCCGACGCAGAGAAGGTGGCCATGGATCTCAAGGACCCCAACCGCCCCCGGTTCACCCTGCAGGAGCTGCGGGACGTGCTGCACGAGAGGAACGAGCTCAAGTCCAAGGTGTTCTTGCTGCAGGAGGAGCTGGCTTACTATAAGAGGCAAGTGTCCCTGGGGCTGGATGGCCCGAGCTGGCTCCTTACTGAGGTTAGCCAGAGTTTCTGTACAGTTACCTTCTTACCCCCTGGAAGACAAGCATTTCATCAGTGTTTTTTTTGGGTAC
The DNA here is from genome assembly GCF_000001405.40 of Homo sapiens. NCBI lineage: Eukaryota > Metazoa > Chordata > Mammalia > Primates > Hominidae > Homo > Homo sapiens. The sequence goes on along the minus strand of NC_000012.12, from coordinate 123,485,510 downwards.
CCTCTCTGGCCTAAAGAACTTACATACAAGCTCACAACCCCTTTCTGAAACTCTTGGGCCCAGGCCGGGCACCAGAGCTCACACCTTTAATTCCAGTATTTTGGGAGGCCGAGGCGGGAAGATTGCTTGATCCCAGGCATTCGAGACTAGCCTGGGCAACAAAGCGAGACCTCATCTCTTTTTTTAAATGAATGAATGAATGAAACCCGGCCCCGGTGTTAATGGTCTATGTGGCCCTTTTCACCTCCTACATTATCCTGTTCACTCTCATGCTTGCTTTATTGTAGGTTTCCACATGAGACCACAAGCAACATGAGACCAGAAGTCTTATTTATCTTGTCCATGGCTAAGTTCCCAGCACTTAGAATGGAGCTTGGCACACAGTAGGTGCACAACAAATATCTGTTGAATAGAAAGCTGGAAGGAAGGACCCATGCACCAGAGGTGGTCCCTGCTCCAGTGGGGAAGATAAGAGATGCATAAAAAATATAATACCACACATTTTTATTGAAAGGTTTACTGACTGTATACTGGATGTTCAAAGATGGGAGAGGCCGGGCGCGGTGGCTCATGCCTGTCATCCCAGCACTTTGCGAGGCCGAGGCAGGCGGATCACTTGAACCCAGGACTCGAAACCAGCCTGGGCAACATAGTGGGACCCCCATCTCTACACAAAAATTTTTAAAAATTAGCCAGGTATGGTGGCTCACCCTGTAGTCCCAGCCACTTGGGAGGCTGAAGCAGGAGGATCATTTCAGCCCAAGGTCAAGGCTGCAGTGAGCTATGTATGTTTGTACCACTGCACTCGAGCCTGGGCAACAGAATGAGACCCTGTCTCAAAAAAAAAAAAAAAAAAAAAAGATGGGAGAGTGGGAGAGATCACTTCTTCGAGTTTGTGGATGGGGTGGAAATCGGAAGGCCTCCTGGAGGAAGCAGCATTTGAACTGGGCCTTCCTGAAAGGATAGGGTAGTATTTAGATATGGGAGATGTTGAGGAGTGACAGGTATATTCTGGGTAGAAGAAACCACAGAGGTGTAGCGACAGGGAAGCCTGTGTAAGGACAGGAAACGGGGAGTGGTTCTATTTGGCTGGACTCTTCAGAATAAACTGGAAATACAGATGCGGGTCCCCTAAAAAGCATGCACCCTCTCAGACCATCAGACACTTCTCTTCTGGAATGTTCCAGTTCTCAAGGAACTTTTGACTCTTTTATCTCACGCCTCTCATCTCCTTCCAGTGAAGAAATGGAAGAGGAAAACCGAATACCCCAACCCCCACCCATCGCCCACCCGAGGACGTCCCCCCAGCCGGAGTCGGGCATCAAGCGACTGTAAGTGATGCGCTGCCAGCTTCTGCGCTCGGCTGACCTGGCGGTTCACGTGTCCTTTGACTTTTCCTCCTTGGCACCTGCTCCCAGGGCCAGGCTTGTGACTAACCACATCCTGCTGAGACGTCTGGCCTGGCCCCCGACTTTGAGTTCATCTCCCTTCCTGAATGCTGAGTCCCTCCTGGGGGTCTCTGGGCAGAGAGGTTTGGGGAGTGCGGGAGGCGAGAGGGGAGAGGCTTGGGCCAGTGGCTGATACTCAGGAGCTTGCTGGAGTGTGTTTCATGGGGGTGGGGTGCATCTCTGGGCCTTTGAGGACAGGAAATAAGGGTAGCGAGGTAGGGGTGGGTTGTGCATCTGAAGCTTGAGACCTCAGCTCTGAGATGTCAGGTGGCCCTGGGTCCACCCCATCTATGCAGTTCTCTGATGACTCATCCATGTAGCCCTCTGTCCATTAAGCAGGGGTTACTGCATAACGCATGCAGAGTCAGGCCTTGGTTGCTGCAGGAGAACCCCGCAAAAAAGAGTGACCTAGTCCCTGCCCTCAACTAGACTTTAAGCTACTTCAGTGGTTCTTGGCATCAACAGATTCCTTTGAGGTTGTGATAAAACCTCCTGAAATTTCCCCCAGAGAAATCTGTAAAATTTGTGAACAATTTCAGGAGGTTCATGGACCTCTAAGACTCTTCAGATAAAGGGTTAACACCTCTGGTTTTGTTAGACAGTATCTACTAAGAAGCTAACACGTGCTGGGTCCTGTTCCCACAGAATATCTCATTGAGTCCTCAGCATGGTGTTGTGGGGTGGAAGCATCATCATTCCCATTTTATAGTTAAGGAAACAGAGGCACCTGCCTAGGGTCATTCAGCTAATAAGAGGCAGAACCAGGGCTCAAACCCAGGTAGCCTGGCCCCAGAGCCCACACTGTGAGCTCTCTGCAAGACAGCCTTGTGCTTGCAGTGTTGGAGCTGCATTCTCTCCCCTGAGACGGTCTTCCAGGCTCTGGGCCTGCCTTCCAGTTCTATCCAAGGCTTAGTACAGAAGAGGTTTCAGTTCTTTCCTCCAAAACCCACAAGAAACTTTGTGAAAACAGGGCGTGTGGGTTGGAAAGCCAGTCGGATCGTGTAGGGAGAGGAAGTGGAGTGTTACCCATATACCCCAACCTTTAAAATCCAGTTATGTTTGGAAATTCTTGGTTAGTTCTTGCCCTGTGAGTAGACAATGCAGAGCCGTGCAGGTTTGTCACTGCTGGGCCCTCTCCTCTTAGAAAATGGTGCCCTTGGGGCTGGGTGCGGTAGCTCACACCTGTAATCTCAGCATTTTGGGAGGCAGAGGTGGGAGGATCACTTGAGCTCAGGAGTTCAAGACCAACCTGGGCAACATGGTGAAACCACCTCTCTACAAAAAATACAAAAATTAGCTGGGTATGGTCCCAGCTACTTGGGAGGCTGAAGTGGGAGGATTGTTTGAGCCCAGGAGGTTGAGGCTTCAGTGAGCCAAGATTGTACCACTGCACTCCAGCTAGGGTGACAGAGCGAAACCCTGTCTCGAAAAAAAAAAAAAAAGAGAGAGAGAGAGGGATAAAAAAGAAAGAAAGAAAATGATGCCCTTTGCTGGGCATGGCAGCTCACATCTGTAATCCCAGCACTCTGAAAGGCCAAGGCAGAAGGATCACTTGAGGCCAGGAGTTTGAGACCAACCTGGGCCACGTAGTGAGACTCTGTCTCTACAAAAAAATTTAAAATTAGCCGGATATTGCTAGAGAGTACAGGCTGGTGCACGACTCCCTTCCAGCTTCATTCAGGCTGCTTAGGAGTTTGGCCCCAGGTCCCTGATGCACTGGGGAGGGAGTGTGGCCCCAGTTCTGGTTAGAGATAAACATTTCCTAGGGAAGACGCATGGCACCAGAAAAGCTTCCTCTAGATCCCAACACCATTTAGATCATGGATTCAGTAGTAACCTTCCATTTGCAATTGAAACTCAACTCAAAGTAACCTAAGAAAACGAATTTGGAGGCCAGGCGCAGTAGCTCACGCCTGTAATCCCAGCACTTTGGGAGGTCTAGGTGGGTGGATCATGAGGTCAGAAGTTCAAGACCAACCTGGCCAACATGGTGAAACCTCATTTCTACTAAAACTACAAAAATTAGCTGGGCGTGGTGGTCACATGCCTGTAGTCCCAGCTACTCAGGAGGCTGAGGCAGGAAAATTGCTTGAACCCGGGAGGCAGAGGTTGCAGTGAGCTGAGATTGTGCCATTGTACTCCAGCCTCTGAGCGACAGAGCGAGACTCCATCTCAAAAAAGAAAAAAGAAAACAAAACAAATTTGGGGCTGGGCTCGGTGGCTCAGGCTTGTAATCCCAGCACTTTGGGAGGCCGAGGCGAGTGGATCAGCTGAGGTCGGGAGTTTGAGACCAGCCTGACCAATACGGAGAAACCCCATCTCCACTAAAAATACAAAAATCAGCCGGGCGTGGTGGCACACACCTGTAATCCCAGCTACTTGGGAGGCTGAGGCAGGAGAATCGCTTGAACCTGGGAGACAGAGGTTGCAGTGAGCCAAGATCGTGCCATTGCACTCCAGTTTGGGCAACAAGAGTGAAACTCCGCCTCAAAAAAAAAAAAAAGAAAACAAATTTGGCTAAGGAACTAAAAGTTCCAACTTGCCACAGCGTGGGGCTCAGCTGGATCCAGGCCTTGTTTCCTCCACCCCTGGCTTGGTTTTCCTCTGTGGGCTCCATTCTTGGGTGTCCAGTCCAGCCTGAGGATGGCAGCATGGCAGCCCTTGGCTCAGGTTTCATTTTCTTTCTTTCTTTTTTTTTTTTTTTGAGAGGGAGTCTCACTCCATTGCCGAGGCTGGAGTGCAGTGGCACAATCTCAGCTCACTGCAGCCTCCACCTCCCGGGTTCAAGCAGTTCTCTCCTGTCTCAGCCTCCCGAGTAGCTGGGATTAGAGGCATCTGCCTCTACGCCCGGCTAAGTTTTGTAATTTTAGTAGAGACGGAGTTTCACCATGTTGGCCAGGCTGGTCTCTAACTCCTGACTTCAGGTGATCCACCCGCCTCGGCCTCCCAAAGTGCTGGGATTACAGGCGTGAGCCACCGCGCCCGGCCAGGTTTCATTTTCTTCTGTCTGAAACTCCAGTGCAGAGTCTCTGTTCCCAAGATTTCCATCAGTCACAGAAATGAGTCCCATTGGCTCCAGCTGGGTCACATGACTATCCCTAACCCAATCACAGGACAGCACATTGATCGTCCGGGTCTGTGACTCCTCACCCTTGACGCTCAGAGCACTTTTACCTCCATCCAGTTCAAGTGGCCTGAAAGTAGGGGAAGGGATGGGTCCCCAAGCAATATCAGAGTGCTAGATAGACAGAAATACGGGGTGCCCACGGTAGCCTCACGTTGGGAGGAGGAAGCCCTTCAGTCTTGATTCTCTGCAGTACTTAGTGCCCAGGAAGGGTTTCTCATGCAGTGCTTGGTAGGAAATGGGACTGGCTTTGCTTAAACTCCAACTCACTCGCCAGCCCCACTCCTATGTGAGGATGAGCAGAATCTATCTTGTATGCTTTGATAGCTACAGCTTTGAGTTTCAGGCCTGGAGAAACTGCAAGAAGCTTCATGAGCCCAGATAGTCTCTGCATGGGCTGAGGGAGGGGGAGATCAAGAGACTTGTGTTCTGCATCCTTCAGCCATTTGTTCCCAGGTCGTTAAGAATTAGCCTTTCAGGCCGGGCACGGTGGCTCAACCTGTAATCCCAGCACTTTGGGAGGCTGAGGCAGGTGGATCACAAGGTCAGGAGTTCGAGACCAGTGTGGCCTACATGGTGAAACCCCCATCTCTACTAAAAATACAAAAAAATTAGCCAGGTGTGGTGGTGGGCACCTGTAATCCCAGCTACTCAGGAGACTGAGGCAGGAAAATTGCTTGAACTCCAGAGGCGGAGGTTGCAGTGAGCCGAGATCACACCACTGCATTCGAGCCTGGACAACAGAGCGATACCCCATTTAAAAAAAAAAAAAAAAAAAAAGAATCAGCCTTTCTAGCACCTTCACTTTCACTTCCAATGTACTGCATTCAGAGCCTCCAGCACCCACGGTCATATGTAATTCTAAAAATTCCTTCCAGAGCCGAGTTTTTCTAACTGTAATTTTCTACTCTGGGCCCCTTTCTCTAAACAGACAATTAAGTTGGCTTTGCAAATTTCGTATTGGGTGAAATCCAGAGGAAAGTTATCAGAATTAGCCAACGAATCTTTCCACTAGTTCTTCTGCCCACACCTGAATAGGCTGTGGTGTCTGTCCTTCTTTTCCAGATTGTTCCAGAAAGGACGCTGGGGCCCTGTTTTCAGAGCTCTTCCCCACTTAGGTTGGCTTCTGGTTGCTCAGGAAAGTGTGGGGCTCTGAGCCGGGCAGGGACAGACTCAGAGAAAGACGAGAGAGCGAGACCAGAACCTCCCAGCCACAGGGTGCGGGTGACCAGTCCCGTGGCAGCCCCACTTGCTGGGGGATAACTGGGAGAGCAAACTGGCACAAAGGGCTTTTGACCAGTGCAGGCAGGACACTGGTCGCCTTTGTCCACCTCTACTGCTGGTTGGAAGCTGTACCAGAGCAGCCTGTGAGCCCAGAGGCTGGGAGGGGCCTGGGCAGGGACAGATCTTCCCTGGGCTGGCGCAGGGAATGACAGTTTCTGAGGCGGTTCTGAGCGTCCTTCCATCCTTCATTCCTCCTGCACCTACCTGGTCTGCTGGGTCTCTTCCGTCCTTCCTCCAGGGAGTATTAGCCATGCGGTCTGCTCAGGGCGGCTCTTCAGCTCTGCTTCCCACTGTTAACTGGTTTTTCCCACCCCTCCTCCTGCAGCAATTCACAGTCGCCAAGGAGTGTTCAGGGGCTTCGGCAGCTTAGAGTACTTGAACTAAAGTATCTTCCATCCTGTCAGGGACCCAGAGCTGGGATAATTATCCCCATTTCTCAGATGAGGGAACTGAGGCCCAGAGAAGCCCACTGACATTTAGATCAAACTGCTGGGAAGGCTGTCTTCAGATTTGAACCCATTCCTTTTCTGCTCCCACCCCCGCCACCATTTTCCCGCTCCCCTCCCCGAGTCTCTGGTGGTGGCCCCTTGTCTGCACAGTGCATCATGAGTCACAGGCGTCAGACTTCACATTTCTAGACTGAACCGGACAAGGGAACTGTTTTGCTGCCAGTCAAAACAGTGTGCCCGGAAGATGTTCCAAGAATAGTTTGTGATTGAGCAGCTGCTGTCCAGAGAGGCCAGGCTGGCACTGCCCAGGAAGGTCACGAGGGAGTGCTGGAGTGACTTCAGCCTCGTCCCCAGTGAACACCAGGCACCAGTGCCCCCTTTTGCGTGGTCCCTGTCTCTCAGTCATGGTCCCATGGACGCACACACAGTTGCCTTTTGCAGGGCGGGGGCTAGGGGCTGATCAGGAGATAAGAAGACAGGTGGGTATAGAGGGGGGACCGGGGAAGCAGGGGATGAGAACTGGCCTCGAGGACTGGAAAGGTTGGCTTTGGAGTGGGTGGCCACCCAGGTGTCCAGGGGTAGCAATGACAGTGCATTCTATCCCTGTCCTCCCACCCACCACCCCCCTCGCTCCAGCCCAGGAATAGCTTCTTCACAGCCGCCCATTACACTGCCTGAAATGCCACTGGTAGAACTTCATTTGGTTTGAGTCTTCCAGAAATATTTGGCGGGGAGCGGGGAGTTAAAACCAGCTACAGGATATTCAAGACAAACTTCGGGCCAAAACAAGTCAATCTTTTTATGGAAATAGCTGTACCTCTAGAGGAGATGGCTTCCGCAGGGCAGCCCCTGGAATAGTAAGGGAAGGGGCCATCCGCTCAGTGAGCACAGCAAGACACAGACAGGGCCAGGCGCGGTGGTTCATGCCTGTAATCCCAACACTTTGGGAGGCCGAGGTGGGGGGATCGCTTGAGGCCAGGAGTTTGAGATGAGCCTGGGCAACATAGCAAGACCCTATCTCGAGGAAAAAAATTTTTTTTAATTGGCCGGGCATGGTGGCACATGCTTGTAGTCCCAGCTACTAGGGAAGCTGAGGCAGGAAGATCACTTGAGCCCAGGAGGTCGCGGCTGCAGTGGGCCCAGATTGCACCACTGCACTCCAGCTGAGCAGCAAAGCGAGACCTGTCTCTGAAAAAAAAAAAAAAAAAAAAAAAAAAAGACATACAGATGGAGTAACTCAGTCAGAACACTCCAGGTGTCCCAGGCCCCCGAGCATTGGTCACCCCCTGAAAAGGCCCTAAATGAAGTCCAGCATTCCCAGTGGCAAACATCTCTTGAGGCAAAATGTCCCCCGTGTTTGAGGCCACTTCCCACACAATGACTGTATCTTTGTGGGCACCCTCTTTGGGTGTCCTGGCAAAGGTGGGTACAAAATGGTGTTGCTTGGAGCCCCTGGAAAGCTAACTGTGTCCGGTAGTCTGGCCTCTGGGGCCCATTCACTTAGCAGAAGGCATCTCATCTTCTCCATGTCATTGTGAGAAACCATCCAGGAGGTTCTGCAAAGACACCAACTCCTGGCCAGGCGTGGTGGTTCACTCCAGCACTTTGGGAGGCCAAGGCGGGTGGATCACTTGATGCCAGGAGTTCAAGACCAACCTGGCCAACACAGGGAAACCCCGTCTCTACTAAAAATACAAAAATTAGCCCAGCAGGGTGGTGCACGCCTGTAGTCCCAGCTACTGGGGAGGCTGAGGCAGGAGAATCACTTGAACCCAGGAGGTGGAGGTTGCAGTGAGCAGAGATTGTGCCACTACACTGCAGCCTGGGTGGCAAAGCGAGACTGTCTCAAAAAAAAAAAAAAAAAAAAAGAAAGAAAGAAAGAAAAGATACCAACTCCTAACTCCTAGCTACTCTGTGAAGCACATCAAAGGTAATCCAAACACCTGGAACATCGCCAAACCTCATTTGAGACAATTATTTTATCTTTATCCAACCAACTTTTTAAAAAAATTATAGCTTTTCAAAATAAGCTCTAGTGGCATGGTTGGAGTTTCATCTTCATTTCCTCTGCCCAGCTGAGAAACAGATGAGCATTTACTTACCGTGGGCTTAGACCAGAATATCTGATGATTCTGCAGCCTCTGCCTCAGCCCTCGTCCTGCCTGGCCCCTCTGCTTCAGTCTCTCCTGGTTCTCGCCTGGCGCTTAGGGTCATGGCGCCTGCAGCTCATCGCAGTTGGGGAGGACACTGAAAGGCCCCCTTGCCAGGGCATCACCACCACCTCCCACAGCGTATTTTGCCTTCTTCGTTCCCCACACACAGCCCTACATTTTAGCCCTGGGGAGCCACTCTGTCATCCCTCGTTGGCTGTCATATACTGCATCAGTTTCTAGAACTGCTGTAACAAAATACTGCAGACTCAGGGGCTTCAATAACAGTCAGGTATTGTCTCCCACTTCCGGAGGCCAGAAGGCCACGATAAAGGCGTCAGCAGGGTCAGCTCCTTCTTCGGACTGTAAGGGAGAATCTGCCCCACACCTCTCTCCATTTCTGGTGGCTGCTGGGGGTCTTTGGCAGTCCTTGGCCTGCAGAAGCCTCACCTCAGTATCCACTTCCACCTTCCTCACATGCCATCTCTGTCCAGATGTCCCCCTTTTATAAGGATACCAGTCATATTGGATTAGAACCCACCCTACTCCAGCATAACCTCATCTTAACTAGTTACATTTGTAAGGACCCTATTTCTTTTTTTCTTTTTTTTCTTGAGATGGAGTTTTGCTCTTGTTGCCCAGGCTGGAGTGCAATGGCGCGATCTCGGCTCACCGCAACCTCCACCTCCCAGGTTCAGGCGATTCTTCTGCCTCAGCCTCCCTAGTAGCAGGGATTACAGGCATGCGCCACCACGCCCGGCTAATTTTTGTATTTTTAGTA